>NC_000002.12:110216890-110519921 GCF_000001405.40 Homo sapiens
TTTCTCTGTGTCTCACTTGACTCATTTGTAAAATAAGGAGTTTAGTGTTACTCAACAGCTCTAAGACATTTTAAAGAGCCACTTTTGGCAGCCTCAAGTTGCATACTTGGGCCACTGGTGTTACTGCAAATTTGAACCTCACTTGGAATTCTGGCCTCATCCCTAAGATGTCTTTAGACTAAAAATAAGCTAGATCATGTATACCAGAGTCTTGAGTATGGGAAAACATTAGACACACAGAACTGGAAGAGACTACAGACATGACTTTGTTGAAGCAGAAGGAAACTCTGGCCACTGGGGAGAATACAGCTACTGGGGAGAAGGCAGGGACATAAATGTTAAAATCCCTCTTAAAGAGCCACTGTGTCCCCAGCTTGCCACTTTGTGTTTTTCCCCTGAGTGAATTGTTTCAATGGAGCATTTTAGTGGACTTCACAATGGTAAACCAGCTTTGAGGTAATGCTTAAATTTGGATTAACAGGCTGAATAGTCAAGCATAGTAAGTTAATTGATTGCAAGAATGCCTTTTGAAAGATACATTAGCTGCTACTGTTGAGTTTGCTGTTTGAAGGGCTTGCCAAGGGGAAAGATTTTATCATTTATAGTGTTAGATCTTTATCGATTGTAAATAAGTTCATTTAAAGTGTATAAAAGAAATCAGTTTCCTCTGCAACTCCCAGACCATAAACAACAAAATGATCACTTTATATTTTAAATTTAGCCCCCATAAAAGGTATAGCTTTGCCATGACTAAAATGGAGCACTCACCTCAATAAATTCTTGAGTTCTGGCCCTAAAGACTCTCGCTGGGCCTGTTCCACCCGAGACACAAGCAGACAGCCCAGTGTCTTGGGGGTCTAATCACCAGGTCCTTTGTCTCCCATTCTCTTCCTCTGAGCTGTTGGGAATGGGAAGGGAAATCCCTGTAGGGTTGGGTGATATGCTCAAGTTCTTCACCTGCCCCCACAAGTACCAGCAAACACACACACCCACTGTCAGGCCTCTGAGCCTAAGCCAAGCCATCACATTTTTTGTGACTTGCACGTATATGCCTAGATGGCCTGAAGTAACTGAAGAATCACAAAAGAAGTGAAAATACTTTGCCTTGCCTTAACTGATGACATTCTACTACAAAAGAAGTGAAAATGGCTAGTCCTTGTCTTAAGTGATGACATGACTTTGTGAAAGTCTTTTTCCTGGCTTATCCTGGCTTCAAAAGCTCCTCTACTGAGCACCTTGTGACTTTTACTCCTGCCCGTCAGAGAACAACCTCTTTGATTGTAATTTTCCTTTACTTACTTAAATCTTATAAAACTGCCTTACCTTTATCTCTTTTTGCTGACTCTTTTTTCAGACTCAGCCCACCTGCACCTAGGTGATTAAAAGCTTTATTGCTCACACAAAGCCTGTTTACTGGTCTCTTCACACGGACGCACATAAAATTTGGTGCCGTGACCTGGATCGAAGGATCTCCCTTAGAAGATCAATCCCCTGTCCTCCTGCTCTCTGCTCCGTGAAAAAGATCCACCTACGACCTCAAGTCCTCAGACCCACCAGCCCAAGGAACATCTCACCAATTTTAAATCAGGTAAGCGGCCTCTTCTCAGTCTCTTCTCCAACCTCTCTCACTATCCCTCAACCTCTTTCTCCTTTCAATCTTAGCGCCACACTTCAATCTCTCCCTTCTCTTAATTTCAGTTCCTTTCATTTTCTAGTAGAGACAAAGGAGACACGTTTTATCCGTGGACCCAAAACTCCGGCGCCCGTCACGGACTAGGAAGGCAGCCTTCCCTTGGTGTTTAATCATCGCAAGGACGCCTCTCTGATTATTCACCCACGTTTCAGAGGTGTCAGACCACGCAGGGACGCCTGCCTTAGTCCTTCACCCTTAGCGGCAAGTCCTGCTTTTCTGGGGGAGGGCCAAGTACCCCAAACCCCTTCTCTCCTTGTCTCTACCCCTTCTCTGCTTTTCTAGGAGAGGGGCAAGAACCCCTCAACCCCTTCTCCTTCACCCTTAGCGGCAAGTCCCGCTTTTCTAGAAGAAGGACAAGAACCCCTCAACCCCTTCTCCTTCACCCTTAGTGGCAAGTCCTGCTTTTCTGGGGGAGGGGCAGGAACCCCAACCTCTTATCTCTGTGCCCTGATCCCTTATTTCCACGCCCCGACCTCTTATCTCTGTGCCCCGATCCCTTATTTCCACCCCCTGACCTCTTATCTCTGTGCCCCTATCCCTTATTTCCACCCCATGACCTCTTATCTCTGCACCCAAACCCCTTATTTCTGTGCCCCAACCCCTTTCCCGCTGGGCCTGTTCCACCTGAGACACAAGCAGACAGCCCAGTGTCTTGGGGGTCTAATCACCAGGTCCTTTGTCTCCCGTTCTCTTCCTCTGAGCTGTTGGGAATGGGAAGGGAAATCCCTGAAGGGTTGGGTGATATGCTCAAGTTCTTCACCTGCCCCCACAAGTACCAGCAAACCCACACCCCACAAGGCTGAGACTTAGAGGAAGTAGGCAGGAATACTAAGTAGATGGGCTAGGTGTGTGATTTCCAAATGTGGATAATTTTCTCCCAGTGCAGGGCAAGAACACAAAGGGTTCCATAAGGGAAGGCTGAGCCTCGAGCTTTGATCCTTCTTTTTCACAGGAACAAGCACTTCAAGTCTGCCTCTCCATTCTGTAATTCTGAAGACACAGTGTACAATAGCCTTCTATAACCCTTTCAGGAAGAACAGGAAAATCCTTCTAAGTAACACACCCACCAGTCTCATAATTAATTCCAAGGTTAAGTTTTCATCTATGATTCACTGATTATTCCAACAAGTATTTCCTCAGTGCATACTGTGTGCCAGATGTTCCATGCTGAGCCAGTATCAAGGATCTTACTCTCTAGGAGAGAGAATGACAACAATCAAATACTCACACAAATAAACACAGTGGTACAAACACTGAAGAGTGTTCTGATAAAAAGTACTGTGTGCCATGTCTGTGTACCATGAGGGTGCACAGAGGAACCTAACTGAGACTGGGAGGGTGGAAATGGTCAGGGGAGGCCTCCTATAGCTAAGACCTTAAGTGAGAAACAGAAATAGAAATGAGAGGGAAGGGATTTTTGTGGGCTGAGAGAATGCATTTGTGAATATTCTGTGGCTGCAAAAAGCTGAATCAGGCTGGGTGCAGTGGCTTACACTGGTAATCTCAGCACTTTGAGTGGCCCAGGCAGGAAAACCACTTGCCTCCAGGAGTTTGAAACAAGGCTGGACAACATAGTGAGACCCTGTCTCCACAAAAAATAAAAAAATTAGCCAAGTGTGGTGGTGCATGTCTGTATTCCTAGCTATGTGAGAGGCTGAGGTGGGAGGATTGCTTGAGATTGGGAGGTCGAGGCTGCAGTGAGCCATGATCTCATCAGTGCATTCCAGCCTGGGTGACAGTAAAACCCTGTCTCAAACAAAATTATATGTTTAAAAAATGCGGAATCAGCAAGAGTTAGAAGAATAGGAGTGGAAGAAAGGTAGAACAAGTAGACAGAGGCTTGCAGGCCATGTCAATGGCTTTGGATTTTATTCACAGTGAAATCAGCAGCCTTTTTTTTTCTTAAGCAGGAGAATTGCATAATCCTGTCTACATAGTAAAAACATTAATTTGATTTCAGCTGGAGAATGGATTGGAAGTCACCAAGGATGGAAGCAGGGAGGCCAGTTGGGACACCATTCCAGTAGTTCACATAAGAGACAATAGTAGTATAGCCTGTGGTAGGTGATGTTGGGTAGATTTGGTGTTGTTCTGTGTGGGAAACACGTGAGGGGAGAAGAAAAGACACATGCACAATACCTTTAATGGTAAATAACCTTTATCCCATATAAATGGCAATGCAGATATAATAAGCAAATGATATAATAAGCAAATTGATATAATAAGCAAATTGCAATGGGAAGGGGAGAAGGGAAATGATATATATATATATATATATATGTATATATACACTCACCAGACTATGGAGGATTCATTGCCAGACTGAGAAGCAACAGCCTGGGCCCCAGAGTTGGACACTGCACTCACCAGACTATGGAGGATTCACCACCAGACCAGGAAGTAACAGCCTGGGCTCCAAAGTCGGCCACTCATCCATGCACAGATGAGGAGAGGTCTCATGAAGCTAAGGCACGGTCTGAGACCCTAGCTCTTTTTATAACAAGTCATGAGGGCCCTTCATGACTGGGCTCAAGGAACACAAAAAGGTCAACTTGGTTTTACGATTGTCTATTGTTTTTCAATAACTAGGAACAGATTGAAATAGATATTTCTCTGAAACAGCACTGGATGAATGCCTCAAGGGGCTCACACAACCTGTTCTAGGACTTGGTGACCATTGTTTGTGTCCATGTTCAATTGAGTTCAAATTTAATATTTAACTTTTCCTCCACAGGTGTAGATGATAAAGCAACTCCATCTTGGACGCTACTCTACCATACTGACTTCTGATTAACCCTTGTTCTGGGAATGCCTCTGAGATTTCTACTTTTTCTACTGTTCATTCTTGCCTCTCTCTGAGGGGTTGATTTCAATTGTTACACATTCCTTCCCTGTGGTATGTAATCCCTGGACCTGGGGGATAAGGGCTCAGGGATCCACTATCCCTTCTCATGGCTGCCAAAGGATATCACTTCTGTTTGTAAGTCCCCCTTAAATATTTCTTTCTGATAAGCCGGATATGTCAGCCTTCTTCTTTCACCTCTCAGCTTCCTGGGCTTTGGGGTTAAGTTTGCATAGACTCGCTCACCACGGAACATTTATGGTTGACAGTTTTTTTCTTTTAGCACTTTAAAGATGTTCCATTGTTCTGGCTTATGTAGTTTTGGAAAAGAAGTCTGTTGAAATTCTTATCTGTATATAATGTATCTTTTTCCCAATAGCTGTTTTTAAGACTTTATAAGGATGTGTGAGCAATTGGTCATGATATATTTTAGTATGGTTTTACGAAGTTTATTCTGTTTCAGATTTGTTGAGTCTCCTATATCCATGGGCTTATAGTTTTTACCAAATTTAGAAAACTTTTGGCCATCATTCCTTCAAATATTTTATGTCTCCCTTTTTTCTCTGACTTCAATTACGTGCATCTTAGACTGATATCCCACAGGTCACTGAGGCATTATTCTCTCTCTGTTCGGCAACTTTATTTCCTATACTTTGCCTGTAAATTCTAGCCACCTGTGCCTCCCAGGGTGCCAATCTCCATCTCCTCCACTCAGTGGGGGCTCTGTTTGCTTTTGCTGTCCCTGCACGGTGGCCTGGAAACTCTCTCCAGGCAGTAAACCGGAGCAATCACAGGACTAAATTCATTTGTTTTCTTTCCTTTGGGGATCATAGTTCTGTGCTACCTGTTGCACCATGTCTGAAATTAGTTGTTCAATGAAGTTTGTGCATTCTTAAATAGTTATTTATGGTGGGCAGGCAGTTCCTATAGCTTATAATCTTTCATGGGTGGACACAGTTATACATTTTATATATTTTGGTATGCCTATTTGATTAATGTCTGCCCTTCTCCACTAGACTGTAAATTTCATGAGAGCAGGGACCATTTTTGTTTCTGTTTAACATGTTTCCTTATAGTATGTGCTCAATAAGTACTTGCACAATAAAACAATTATTTTTAGACCAAAAATGCTTATTTAGAATGAGGAATCACAAAAATCATATTTTTTAAAAATTTAACAAATACCATCAATAATACAATGTCCAGACAAATGATATAAAATTGTAATTATGTTGAAGGAAGAGGCCACTTCTTAATATCAGAAATAAAAAAGCTGAATTGATTACTTTGTAAGCAAAGTTAGAGCTGTACCTGTAAAGCACAGTCTCTCTCAGCAATGCAGAATTGGTCTTGTAATACAGACTTCAGGGATTGGAGGATTTTCAAAAACAGGAATGTTGGCTGAGTGCGACAGCTCATGCCTGTAATCCCAGCACTTTGGGAGGCCAAGGTAGGCAGATCACTTGAGGTCAGGAATTCAAGACCAGACTGGTTAACATGGTGAAACCCTGTCCCTACAAAAAAAAAAAAAAAATACAAAAATTAGCAGGGCATGGTGGTGCATGCCTGTAACCCCAGCTACTTGGGAGGCTGAGGCATGAGAATCGCTTGAACCTGGGAGGCAGAGGTTGCAGTGAGTTGAGATCCCGCCACTGCACTCCAGCCTGGGTGACGGAGTGAGACGCTGTCTCAAAACAAAAAACAAAAAACCCAGGAGTGTTTAGGGTGTTTTTTGTTGTTGTTGTTTTTTAATGCTTAACTGTGAAAGCAAGTAACACCATTGATGGCTGGCTAACTTTCAGAAGCTTGTTCACTGAATAGAGTGAAAAACTGTTGCTAATTGGCTGATTTCAGGAAGTGTATTTACTGATGTGAAGTTGTCATGATTGATTAGGATGGGTTTAAAACTGGCTTTGGTCGTTATTTGTTGCCATGGTCAGATAATAATAATTCCTTTCTAGGAGGATAGAATTTTTTTTTCTCAATCCCCCTTTATAATCCTCCATCAGTCAGAGTTGCAGAAAATAATCTAGGAATTCTCCAGAGCTTTACCACTCTTCCTGATTCTTCTTAAAGATGGTTTTTATTTTCAGTGGTTTGATTTTCTGTTACGTATCAATCAACATATTCATCTTGTTTTGTCTTTGATCAATAAACATTTGTAACACTAGATAACAGACACTGAGCTATGAGAGAGACAAAAATAACTAATAATAAGATGGGACTAGTGGGCACTTAGAAACCAATCACCCAATGTGTTTTCTCAGGCTTGAAGACAAGTCTCAGATTTGTTGAGTCAACAACTTCCTAAGTCTACCTAAGGTGGACAGGTTGCCTTTTCTCTTAGTTGTCCCAGCACCATTTGTTGAAAAGACTATCCTTTCACCATTGGATGGGTTTTGGCAGCCTTGTCAAAAGTAAGTTGACCATTATGTCTGTCTTTACACCAATAGCATACTGCCCTGATTGGAGCAGCTTTGTAGTAAGTTGAAATTAGATACCATGATTCCTCAACCTCAGTCTTCTTTTCCATAATTGTTTTAGCTACTCTAGATCCTTTGCTTTTATGTATAAGCTTTAGAATTATTTATTAAATCATCAATTTCTATTTCAAAAAGCCTGCTGAGATTTTGATTATAATTGTATTGAATTTACAGATAAATTGGGGGAGAATTGATATCGTAATGATACTGAGTGTTCTGATCCATAAACAAAGTATCTTTCTATATTTATTTACTTATTTTTCTTCATTAATGTTCTGTAGTTTTCTTCATAAAAAATTTTCACTTAGATTTTCTCTAAATATGTAATGATTTTTGATGCCACCATAAATGGTAGTGTTTTTTACATTGTAATTTGTAATTTATAATTTTTATTGCTAGCATATAGAAATACATTTAATTTTTGTATATTGCTTTTATATACTCTGATATTGCTAATCTTCTGGTATTGTTTCTCTAGATTCTTTGGAGCATTCTATGTAGACAATCATGTTGTCTATGAATAAAGACAGTTTTGTTTCTTCCTTTCTAATCTGTAAAATGTTTTCCTCTCTCACCTTATCGCACTTGCTAAGCCTCCAGTACAATGTGGAGTGAGTGGAAATCCTTGCCTTGTTCTCAATCTTAGGGGGAAAGCATTACACTTTTTCCCTTTTTTATCAGAATTAAATTTTATTTCACATTGAAATAAACTGTGAAAAGGATTTACATTTTCCCGTATTACAGCACAACATCTTAATGAACTATTTCTTGCCGTAAATAAGATCTTGTTAGTTTGAATAACTGAAACAACAGTTTATGTTCTTCAAGGTAAAGCAAAATGACTTAGCAAATAATAGTTTAAAAGTTTTCAATCCAGACATAAACATATGGCTTCATTATTAACATCCTTTATAGTCCATTACAAAATTATTCCCATTATCAATTAGCACCCATTTACAAAGTTGCATTCCTAACATCATTTTGGTCAGTTGGAAAACAGCAGAAAAATTAGCAAAGTTCAGAAATCTCAAGCATACATTTTTGCTGCATAATAAACTGTGTGGTAACTACACCATACAGTCACAGTTCTAGCTAATCTTTATTATCCACAAATTTGTTTTCAAATAATTTTTACTAATCTGAAAAATTTGACTATTTAGAAGCAAATGATTGTAATTTTTATGGTTGCACAAAATACTAATTTTTAAGTCATTTATGCTAATATTTTAGAAAATAAAGAAAAGAATTAAAAATACGTTCAGAATGTCAATTCTAGTATTTAAAAAATAAAAAATAAAGAAATTAAAAATTAAATATTATTTATTCAAAAAGTGAAATTTTCAAATAAGTTCATTAGCAAATAAAATAATGAAATTTTCTAATAGATTGCTGATTTTCTACAGTAGTTGGCTTCAAAAATACATACAAAATAAGTAAATGTAAACTTTTACTTATTTAGTAACAAGGAGAATCATCTTAGAAATTAGTTTTGAGATCAGTCTTAAATATTTCAGAAAATACTAGAATATGACCTATTTAGTCTTTCAGTTAATTACAGAAAGATAAAACCACAGAATTATTCCTATTAACTGGATTGAAAATTTTAATTACTAAATAGTTCTAAATTTGGACTAAAGTACAGTTTTTTGAAATAAGTAATGTAGAAAGTTTTGAGTAACATCTACTCTCTTTATAAAGTATACATACACTTTAAATACCATGTGTCTGTAATTCAGGATGTCAAATTATAGCATGCATTGACAGTACATGTCTATGGCAGGGAGATAGTATTTGGTCTGTTAGGGACAGTAAAGGAAGAAAGAATATTTCTTGAGAGAAAAAAAGAATATTAAATAGAAACATCAGGGAAAAGAAAAGCCTGGTCCTCAAAATAAAAGGGCCATTAACTGAAGAGAGCAATATTACTCTTTACTGACACTTAAAAGCATTATCTCTGTTATTAGGAATCATGTAATACTACCTCATTCTTATTACATATTACAATCATGTATATTTGTGCTGTGTGTGTATATATATCTACACACACTCAACATATATATTTATGTATATTTATCTATGTGTACACAAACTACATATAGTATAGTATATATACTGTGTGTGTATATATGTAGTATAATATATATAGTGTGATTGTGTGTGTGTGTGTATATATTCTGACACTGCATGATGACATGGTGTATTTTAGCAATTTTTAAAAAATCTTTTTATTTTATTTTACTTTAAGTTCCAGATACATGTGCAGAATGTGCAGGTTTGTTACATAGGTATACATATGCCATGGTGGTTTGCTGTACCTATCAACCTGTCATCTAGGTTTTAAGCCGTGCATGCATTATGTATTTGTCCTAATACTTTCCCTCCTCTTGCCCTCCACCCCTCGACAGGCCCTGGTGTGTGATGTTCTCCTCCCTGTGTCCATGTGTTCTCATTGTTCAACTCCCACTTATGAGTGAGAACATGTGGTGTTTGATTTTCCATTCCTGTGTTAGTTTGCTAAGGATGATGGTTTCCAGCTTCATCCATGTCTCTGCAAAAGACAAGAACTCATTCTTTTTATGGCTGCATAGTATTCCATGGTGTATATGTACCATATTTTCTTTATCCAGTCTATCACTGATGGGCATTTGAGTTGGTTCCATGTCTTTGCTATTGTAAATAATGCTACAATAAACATACGTATGCATGTGTCTTTATAGTAGAATGATTTATATTCCTTTGGGTTTACACCCAGTAATGGGATTGCTGGGTCAAATGGTATTTCTGGTTCTAGATCCTTGAGGAATCACCACAACGTCTTCCACAATGGTTAAACTAATTTACATTTCCACCAACAGTGTAAAAGCATTCCTATTTTTCCACAGCCTCGCCAGCATCTATTGTTTCTTGACTTTTTAATAATTGCCATTCTGACTGGCATGAGATGTTATCTCATTGTGGTTTTGATTTGCATTTCTCTAATGATCAGTGATGACGAGTTTTTTTTTCATATGTTTGTCGGCTGCATAAATGTCTTCTGAGAAGTGTTCACATCCTTTGCCAACTTTCTGATGGGGTTGTTTTTTTCTTGTAAATTTAAGAATGTTTGTAGATTCTGGATATTAGACCTTTGTCAGATGGGTAGATTTCAAAATTTTTCTCCCGTTCTGTAGGTTGCCTGTTCACTCTGATGGTAGTTTCTTTTTTTATGCTGTGCAGAAGCTCTTTAGTTTAATTAGATCCCATTTGTCAATTTAGGCTTTTGTTGCCACTGCTTTTGGTGTTTTCATCATGAAGCCTTTGACCATGCCTATGTCCTGAATGGTATAGCCTAGGTTTTCTTTAAGGGTTTTTATGGTTGTGGATTTTACATTTAAGTCTTTAATCTATCTTGAGCTAATTTTTGTATAAGTTTAAGGAAGGGATCCAGTTTCAGTTTTCTGCATATGGCTAGCCAGTTTTCCCAGCACCATTTATCAAATAGGGAATCTTTTCCTCATTGATTGTTTTTGTCAGGTTTGTCAAAGATCAGATGGTTGTAGATGCGTGGTGCTACTTCTGAGTTCTCTGTTCTGTTCCATTGGTCTATATGCCTGTTTTGGGTACCAGTATTATGCTGTTTTGGTTACTGCAGCCTTGTAGTATAGTTTGAAGTCAGGTAGCATGATGCCTCCAGCTTTGTTCTTTTTGTTTAGGATTGTCTTGGCTATAAGGGCTCTTTTTTGGTTCCATATGAAATTTAAAGTCATGTTTTTCTAATTCTGTGAAGAAAGTCAATGGTAGCTTGATGGGAATAGCATTGAATCTATAAATTACTTTGGGCAGTATGGCCATTTTCACAATATTAATTCTTCCTATCCATGAGCGTGAAATGTTTTTCCATTTGTTTGTGTTCTCTCTTATTTCCTTGAGCAGTGGTTTGTATTTCTCCTTGAAAAGGTCCTTCAGGTCCCTTGTAAGCTGTATTCCTAGGTATTTTATTCCCTTTGCAGCAGTTGTTAATGGGAATTCATTCATAATTTGGCTCTCTGCTTGTCTATTGTTGGTGTGTAGGAATGCTTGTGATTTTTGGACATTGATTTTGTATCATCAGACTTTGCTGAACTTGCTTATCAGCTTAAGGAGTTTTGGGGCTGAGACGATGGAGTTTTCTATATATAGAATCATGTCATCTGCAAATGGAGACAATCTGACTTCTTCTCTTTCTATGTGAATACCCTTTATTTCTTTCTCTTGCCTGATTGCCCTGGCCAGAACTTCCAATACTATGTTGAATAGGAGTGGTAAGAGAGGGCATCCTTGCCTTGTGGTGGTTTGTAAAGGGAATGCTTCCAGCTTTTGCCCATTTAGTATAATATTGGCTATGGGTTTGTCATAAATAGCTCTTATTATTTTGAGATATGTTCCATCAATACCTAGTTTATTGAGAGTTTTTAACATGAAGTGATGTTCAATTTTATCAAAGGCTTTTTCTACATCTATTGAGATAATCATGTGGTTTTTGTCATTGATTCTGTTTATGTGATGGATTACATTTATTGATTTACATATGTTGAACCAACCTTGCATCCAAGGGATGAAGCCAACTTGATCATAGTGAATAAACTTTTTAATGTGCTACTGGATTCAGTTTGCCAGTATTTTATTGAGGATTTTCACATCAATGTTCATCAGGGATATTGGCTTGAAGTTTTCTTTTTTTGTTGTGTCTCTGCCAGGTTTGGGTATCAGGATGATGCTGGCCTCACAAGATGAGTTAGGGAGGAGTCCCTCCTTTTCAATTGTTTGGAATAGTTACAGGATAAATGGTACCAGCTCCTCTTTGTACCTCTGGTAGAATTTGGCTGTGAATCCGTCTGGTCCTAGGCTTTTTTTGATTGGTAGGCTATTAATTACTGCCTTAATTTCAGAACTTGTTATTAGTGTATTCAGGGATTCAATTTCTTCCTGATTTAGTCTTGGGAGGGTGTTTGTTTCCAGGAATTTATTCATTTCTTCTAGATTTTCTAGTTTATTTGCGTAGAGGTGTTTACAGTATTTTCTGAGAGTAGTTTGTATTTCTGTGGGATCAATGGTGATATCTCCTTCATCATTTTTTATTGTGTCAATTTGGTTATTCTGTCTTTTCTTCCTTATTTGTCTAGCTAGCAGACTATCTATTTTGTTAATTTTTTCAAAAAAACAGCTCCTGGATTCATTGATTTTTTGAAGGGTTTTTCATGGTCACTACATGGTGACATTTTAGCAATTTTAGAATAAATCCATAGACTAAATCACAGCATGCATATATCATTTATATCTTAATGGCTCGTTTAATTATTTTATTTTATTTTACTTTTTTTAGAGACAGGGTCTTGCTCTGTTGCCCAGGTTGATAGGCAGTGGCAATTATAAGTCACTATAGCCTTGGACTCCTGGGCTCAAGTGATCCTTCTGTCTCAGCCTCTTGGGTAGTTGAGACTACAGGTGTACACCACCACACCCTGCTAAATTTTTAGTTTTTTGTAGAGACAGGGTCATACTGTGTTGCCCAGGCTAGTCTTAAACTCCTGGCCTCAAGTGATCCTCCCCCTTTGACCTCTCAAAGCACCGGGATTATAGGCTTGAGCCACCATGCCTAGCCTTAACTGCTCATTTAAACCTGAACAAATCTTCATTAAGCATACTAGTAATTTTTTTTCTTTTACTGAGCTCTTTCGCCCAGGCTGGAGTGCAGTGGCTCCATCTCAGCTCACTGCAACCTCTGCCTCCCAGGTTCAAGCAATTATCCTGCCTCAGTCTCCCAAAAAGCTGAGACTTAAAATGAATGGTTGGGAAAGAATAAGGCTAAGCAGTATGGATTGAGATGCAGGGTGGGGCCCATAGACATCTTTGAGGGTCTGCACTGTCCCCTAAGATATGCACTATCCCCATGCCAGAGGGAAGAGGGACTGTAACATTAAATAGCAAATAAATAGCAATGTGACAAGGAGAGAGGAAGAGAAAAGGATAAAAGAGAAAAAGGAGAGAGGAGAAGTGGGGAGACTTACCTGAGGAACAACAAAATAATTTATGCTTTAATGTCACGTTTTGCCTGCTTTTTGGACAGAAGGGCTCACATTTTCACTTTGCACTTGCCCCTCTGAGGGCAGTGTCTCTCCATACTCCCTTCTCCTCCAGGCAGGAGTTGCTCCTCCCCCTTCTCCCTTGGGCCTGAGGACAGGGCTGAGAGGGTGGTGCTAGCTCTGCCTCCCCAGCCCTAGAGATTGTTCTGGACCTGCTACATTTCACCCCCCACCCCCACCTTTGTAAGTAGTCCTTTGATTAAACTCTCCTCATATCCTCCTAATTTGAGTGTCACATGTTTTTACTGCTTGAATGCAGAGCAATACATCCTCCCACCTCCACCCCCAAAGACCTGATTGTTGTCCTGCATTTCATATGAAGTTGAGCTGCATAATTTAGAGCTCTGCGTCGGTTAATTTGGCACATAAAACAACGTTGTATATTGACTGATTGATGAAAATACTGTGACCAGAGACTTGCAGGAACCCAAACCTGTATGTCCTCTAGGAGCAATGGTTCAGTATTTGCTAATTCACTGTTTGTGGTCACTTTATAACCAGAATAATGAGA
Source organism: Homo sapiens (assembly GCF_000001405.40). Taxonomy (NCBI): domain Eukaryota; kingdom Metazoa; phylum Chordata; class Mammalia; order Primates; family Hominidae; genus Homo; species Homo sapiens. Next base: position 110,230,521 of record NC_000002.12, read on the forward strand.
ATCAAATGTACTTCAACTTTTGAGTTTCAATACACTTCTAAAAATCTAATTCCCTGCTCACCAGGGCTTTATTTTTCTAGTCTTTTTTCCCATGCTGAGGTAATGGATTTTGAAAATACCAGGTTTGAAGACTACAGCCACTGTAAGCCCCCCAAAAACCCTGGTGAATTGTTTGTAATTAGCAGTGCAGATCAGTGGCTCCCCTACTCTACCAGGAATGGAAACCACCTGTGGACTTGTTTCAAAATACAGTGCAGGGGACCCAACACCAGACCTAAGTCAGCATTTTCAGAGACAGGATTTGGGCATCTAAATTTTAAACAAGTGCTGCAAATGATTCTACCTGGCAGCCAGGTTTGGGAAACGCTGATGTAACTCTTACTTATTATGTATCCATATGTTTATGTTGTTTGTTTCTTTTTGCTCGTCTCCTTTTCTGCCTCCTGACAGCCCCATTATGGTGTCATTGGCTTTATTGTATGTCTCCTATTATTTTACCCCTCTCTCTCCAGTTTCTAGAAAATTTCTCCACAAACTGAGAGCTCCAGAATTGATGACTCAGAGTGAACCGAGGAGATCACTACTGTGCACAAGTTTGCCTCCAAACAACTGGGTGATGCCTCCAAACAGGTCAGATGTTTTTCACCATATTTTAGAGACAGGAACATGTAGCTATTGGGTACCTGATGTGTGACCATGAAAATCCCAGGAATTTTAGGGGATATCTTAAAGTAACTCTCAATATTAATGCTGCTAAATTTAAGGAGTCAAATTGGAAAGAGTTGTACATTTTAAAAATATATTATGGATAATTTAAAATATATACAAAAGTAGAAAGAAAAATATAATAAACTCTCATGCCACTGTCATACAGCTTCACACTGATTAACTCATAGTCAACCATGTTCCATTTGTATGCCCCCTCACTCCTCATCATTTTATGTATAAACATCTCTAAAAAGATATGATCATCTCTAAAAAGTAAGACTTCTTTATAAAATGTAATAACAACATCATTATCACATCTAAAAATGTAATAATCCTTTAAAATTATCAAATATCCAGTTAGTTCAATTTTCTCTGTCACATAATTTTTTTAACAATTTTTTTGTTCAAACTAGGATCCAAATTGAAATTGGCCAATTGGCCAATATGTCTTTTAAGTCTCTTTTGAGGCTGGCTCATGCTTGTAATCCAAGCACTTTGGGAGGCTGAGGCAGGAGGATTACTTGAGGCTAGGAATTCAAGACGAGCCTGGGCAACAGAGTGAAACTCCGTCTCTACAAAAAAAATTTAAAAAACTAGCCGGGCATGGTGGCACATGCCTGTAGTCCCAGCTACTCTGGAGGCTGAGGTGCGAGGATGGCTTGAGCCTAGGAGTTCGAAGTTGCAGTGAGCTATGACTGGACCATTGCACTCCATTCTGGGTGACAGAGTGAGACCCTGTCTCAAAAAATTTTTTAAAAATTTCTTTTGATCTATAGATTTCTCTCCACTCCCCTTTGTTTGTTTGTTTGTTTGTTGAAAATGGATGGTTTGTCCTCTAGAGTTTTCTGCAATCTGGATTTTATTAATTACATCCCTCTGGTGTCATTTAGCACATTCCTTGGTTGCCTGTATTCCTCAAAACTCAGCATTAGAACTGGAGACCTGGACAGATTCAAGTTCTAATTTTTGGCAAAAGTGTGTCTTAGGTGTTAGTGTGTTCTCGCATTGGGAGAAAAAGACATTTTTCTTTTTTGTGTGATGTTAGTAGTCACTGATGGTCATTGCCCATATCCACTAACTCATCAGGGATTGCTTGTGGTTATATTTTAATTGTACATTTCTTTTTCATTTCTCAGCTGGAATACTTCAATAAAGAGAAGCTTTCCATTATCTACAGTTTGGTTACTCTGAATATAGTTTGACTCAGAAAAGCAGTATCCCACCTTTCAAGATGCTTGAATCTTCCCCTCTGCTTACCAGTTTTCTAAATAATGAAGTGATTTTCTAAGCATTCTCTAGTTATATATCTGTATCATTAGAAATGCACAGACTTTTAGCATACTTAATATGTTTCAATGTTTTGCCATTATTATCCTTATTGGTGGAGAAATGGCCTTATTCTGGCTAGCAGAAGCTCTTTAATTTTGTCCCTGAGCCCTTCGGACATGCTGCTAGCCATCTCAGACAGCCTCCTTGGTTCCTGGTATGACAAGATGTTTTAGGTTTATTTGTGTATTTCCTTCTCCAGACCTGGAATCATCCATTTCTCCAAGGATCTCTGCTTCTTCTTGTAAAATAGGCTATTTAAGGACTACAATCTGAGCATTAAGGGTGAGTCCTTTTCCTCATTCTTCCAAAGATAACTTTGAAAGAAGTTTTTAGTATGTCCTGCCTTTGGTATTTTAATATAAGCAAATATGTTTATATATTCATATTCTATCTTAGATGAATAGCAATATGCTATACACATTTATCTCTACCTTGCTTTTTCACTGAATATATCCTGGCCATCACTTCATAGTATCCAGAGACAGACTCCATTTCTTTTTATGGCTGAACAGTACTCCATTATGTGAAGGTTCCACTTTTTCCCACCAGTCCCCTCTTAATGGAAACCATTCCACACCACTTACAGAAAGTCTCATTCAACAAACAGTTTTTGAAAACCTTCTGTTTTCTGGACACTATTTTAGGTGCTTGGGAAATACCTGTGCACAAATTAAAGATCTCCACCCTTGTGGAGATTGTGTTCTATCAGGAGTACACAGATAGTTAAGAATAAATGGAAGATATAAAGAATCATATCGTGTGGCAGAAGGTGATAAGGGCAATGCAAGGAAGTAAAAGATCAAGGGGGAGGGGAGCAGGAGGGCAGCGGTGGGCTGAAGAGTTCAGTAGGGTGGGGATCAGGGTCTGCCTCCCTAAGAAGGTACGATCTGAGCAAACACTTGGGTGTCTGGGGAATGCATCATCCAGGCTAAGGGAATAGCTAGAGCAAAGGCCCTGGGGAATGTTTGAGGAGCATAAAGGAAGCCATTGAGGCTGGAGTGGAGTGGAGTGAGTGAGGGGAAGGGGAAGGAGATGGAGCCAAAGACAGCAGGGCTCCTGCGTGCCCTGCCTTGTGAAGGCATTGGAGAAGGTTTGGCCTCTATTTTCAACCACCACTGTTGACTTTGCCCCTACCTCTTGATTGTCACATTGCAGTGTTTTAAAAAGAATTCCACAAAATCCTGTGGAATCTAGGGGATAACTGGCAAATAGAATTGGGTGGAATTCTCAGGCTGAATATGGACTTTGTTCATTTTCCCAGCTGAAACTACCTAGTAGCTGCAGAGTAGAGTAGAGATGCCTCTGTGCTAGTAGGTCTGGGTTTGCAATCCCAGTGCTGCCATTTTCAAGCTGTGTGACCTGAGGCAGTCTGATGCTCCTCTCTGAACCTGCATTTCCTAAGCTCTAATGTGGATGTTGTAATCAGTACTTCTTATGGGCTGAATTGTATCTCCTCAAAATTCATGTGTTGAAGTCCTAACCCCCAGTATCACAGAATATGGTAGGGTCTTTAAAGAGGTAATCCAAGTAAAATGAGGTCCTTAGAGCAGGCCCTGATCCAATAGGACTGTCCTTATTAGAAGAGGAAACTTGGACACAGATACACACAGAGGGAGCACCGTGTGAAGACACAGAGAGGAGATGGCCAGCTACCAGCCAAGCAGAGAGCCCTTACTGTAAACCAACCCTGCCGCATCCTGATCTCAGAATTTTGGCTTCCAGAACTGTAAGGAAACACATTTCTACTGTTTAAGCCACTTGGCTGGGAGTACTTGGTTATGGCAGCCTGAGCAGACTAAACCAGCACCTCAAAGAGTTGTTATAGGGTATGCTTAGTGGTAACTGGTTCCTAAAGGCCTTGCTTTCTAAGGCTGACTCCTCACCCTGCAAGGATGCATTCTCCCCACTGGCAGATATGCAACCAGGAACAGGCATTAACACGCTTTATTCCCAGAGTTTTAATATTTTCCATTGCATAAAATATTTGTTCATGAAAATGACAAAATTGCTATTAGATTCTATCACCACATCTCTGTTGATTTTACTTTCTGCAAACACATACAAGTAATGTAGGCATACAGTTAAAAATGAAACCTTATCCTGTAGTTCCAGCTACTAGGGAGGCTGAAGCAAGAGAATGGCATGAACCTGGGAGGCGGAGCTTGTCGTGAGCCCAGATCAGGCCACTGCACTCCAGCCGGGGCAACAGAGCGCAACTCCGTCTCAAAACAAACAAACAAAACAAAACAAAAAAAACTTATAGACAAGTACAAAATGAGAAGAAAAAGTCCCTTTCCCTTCATGCCTCTACTTCCTGCTGTATTCTCAAAGGTAAGCACTGATTACAGTTTACTTATGGATCTTTCCAGGAAAATATTTTATGCATTTATCAGAAAATGTAAGTATATGCATCCTTTAAAATTCTGCATAAATCAAACTCTGCAGGGTACTATCTTCCCATCCTCATTTGATATTTTGTAGATCTTTTCCTATTGGCTGTACAGATCACCTCATTCTGTCTCCTGGGTCATACAATATAGCTCACATAATTCTAAGTCTGAAGGTTGGTCCAAATGGTTCCAAGAATGCAGGTACCAAAAAGTAGTCTCTTGAAGAGGCCATCAGAGACCTGGCTGTTTGTATCTTCCTCCTCTGCCATCCACAGTGTCATCTTCACCCAAGGTGGCTGGAGAAGCTGTTAGGAATATGTGGTTTTTTAAAAATTACATTCATAGGAAAAGGGGAGGGAAGAGAAGAAGAAAACCTCTCCCCCTAAGCTCATGGCTCTTTTTAGTCAGGCTGAGCCAACTAAAGTCATGTACTTCCCTTAGATAGGTAACTGTTGCCAGGAAAATGCCCTGTGTGGATTGGCCTGGACTAAGCAGGATCCTCCTTTAAAGAGAGAGATGAGATGAATGCCTGACCCAAGTCTGGGATCTTGGGTGGGAAGCGTGTGGATAGTAGGTCAGAGGTCAGCAGTGTCTGTGGTGTAGGATGTAATCCCATCTCCACAGAGCTGCATACAAGTGTGTTTAAGTGTGTGCAAGTGATTAACTTTGATTAGTAGTTTCAACTCTTTACAATGAACATATTTATCTTTTTTAAAAAATAAAGCCATTTTAAAAGATCTTGCCATAAAACAATCATTCCTTAAGTCACCACTTAGGATAGACCTAGAATATTTGTCCTTTCTCAAGAGCACCAGAGAGTTTTCTGGTAATCCACGCAATAAACAGTTATAAAAGGTAATTGTTGAGATCAGGGGAAGATGGCAGATAGGAGGCAGTGCTAATGTGTAGCTCCCACATGGATGGACAAAACACCATGTGGAGACTCACACTGTGACCCTGTTGTGCTCCAAGAACTATCATAGGAACATACTGGGAAAACCAAAAGAATTCACGGATCCTTTGAAAGAAGACGCACACCACTGTAAATTCTGTGGAACAGGAGAAAAACTGTGAGTTCCCAAAGTGTAAGAAGGGGGAAACCTACCTTTGAACACACATCCCCACTGGGGAATCTAAAAATCCAGATCATAGGAGAAGGATTTAATCTTAACCAGAGATGAAATGAGTTTAGGGAGATGTAAGAAAAATAAAAGTATGAGAGTAGTAGTGGGAAGTGCCTTGAATGGACTCCCAGTCTCCAGCTTGAGCCCTAGGAAGCCATCCCTGACTGTATCTCACACAGCCACTCAGGGAAGGCAGCCAGTGGAACTGGAGAGGAGTTGCAGGGCAAAGGAAGCTCTCAACTGAAATTGGTAGTGGTTTTGACCGGGCACAAACTTTCTCGAGCAGAGTCTGGAGGATGAGCGGGAACTGCTGTGGATACAAGCAAGCGAGTGCAGGAGTGCAGGAGCTGCTGCTGGCAGAGTGGGCAGACAGGGAGGGGTGAGGTCCTTAAGCCACGCTTGCTTTCTCAGCAGGGTAGCTCACGGCCTGAGCAGGAGCACTGTGGGAGTGAGACCGACCTCGCCAACTGCTTGGGAACTGGGCGAGAGCTCGTATTAAGGGCTATCCAATGCTTTCCTGGAAAACTATATAACACAGCAGAGGGCCAAGATCCACTCTAGAACAGTACTCCATTAGCCTAAGAACCACTCCTTCATTCCCCCACAGTGGCTACTGCAAGCCCTGTCCAAGGAGAGTCTGACCCCAGACCCACCTAACCCTGCCCCCACTTGATGGTATTTCCCTAGCCACCCTGGTAGCCCAGCACAAAACACAGAACCTCTTGGGAGCTTTATGGCCATGCCCATCACCTGAGAAACCAAAATGCTTACCCTGGCCACCTTAGGACAAGCTTAGAGCCCCCTACTACTATGGCAGCTGGTGCTCTCTTGAAAGTGCCACCTCGTCGCTGGAGGCCAACCAACTCAAGCCATTACAGCAACTCATGACAGAATAATGCTGATCTTAGGAAGGAGAAGACAACACCTAATTCTACTGCCTGCAACATCCTGGCTAAACAGAGGTCCTGAAGATGTCCACGTGACAATTTCACTGTTATGACAACCAGCATTCAAGAAAGCCAGCACACTAAACCTATCTATAACCAAGGACTCTCACAGAGTCTACTTCACTTCCCTGCCACCTCTACCAGAGCAGGTGCTGGTATCCATGGCTTGGAGACCTGAAGACAGATCACATCACAGGAATCTTTGCAGACATCCCCCAGGACCAGTCCAGAGCCTGGTATCCTCACTGGTAGCTAGACCCAGAAGACAAATAACAATCACTGCAGTCCAGCTCTCAGGAAGCCCCATTCCTAGAAGAAAGGGGAGAGCACTACATCAAGGGGTTACCCAGTGGGACAAGAGAATCTGAACAGCAGGCCTTGACTTTCAGATCTCCCCACTGTATTAGTCTACCCAATTGAGAAGGAAGAAAAGTAATTCTGGTAATATGACAAAACAGGGTTCTAGAACACCCTCAAAAGATCATACTGGCTCGCCAGCAATGGATCCAAACCAAGAAGAAATCTTTAAATTGTCAGATAAATAATTCAGAAGGTCAATTATTAAGCTATTCAAAGAGATACTAGAGAAAGGTGAAAACGAACGTAAAGAAATTGAAGGCCAGGTGTGGTGGCTCACGCCTGTAATCCCAACACTTTTGGAGGCCGAGGCGGGTGGATCACAAGATCAGGAGATCAAGACCATCCTGGCTAACACGGTGAAACCCCGTCTCTACTAAAAATACAAAAATTAGCTGGGTGTGGTGGTGGGCACCTGTAATCCCAGCTACTTGAGAGGCTGAGGCAGGAGAATTGCTTGAATCCGGGAGGTGGAGGTTGCAGTGAGCCGAGGTTGCACCACTGCACTCCAGCCTGGGTGACAGAGTGACCCAAAATAAATAAATAAATAAATAAAATAAAGAAATAAAAAAATACAGGATATGAATGAAAATTTATCCAGAAAAATAGATATCATAAAGAAAAAACAATCACAATTTCTGGAAATGAAAGACACCTAGAGAAACACAAAATGCAATGGAACATTTTAACTATAGACTTGAACAAGTATAAAAAAGAACTTCAGGGCTCAAAGACAAAGCTTTCAAATTAACCCAATCAGACAAAGACAAAGGAAAAATAATTTTAAAAAATGAACAAAGCCTCCATGAAACTTGAGATTATGTTAAATGGCCAAACCTAAGAATGATTGGTGTTCCTGAGGAAGAAGAGAAATCTAAAATTTTGGAAAACTAATTTGAGGGAATAATTGAGGAAAACTTCCCTAGCATTGACAGAGATCTACACATCCAAATACAAGAAGCTCAAAGAACACCTGGGAAATTCATTGCAAAAAGACCATAACCTAGGCACATAGTCATCAGGTTATCTAAAGCCAAGACAGAGGAAACAATCTTAAGAGCTGTGAGACAATAGCACCAGATAACCTATAAAGGAAAACCTATCAGATTAACAGAAGACTTCTCAGCAGAAACCTTACAACCCAGAAGAGATTGGGGTCCCACCTTTAGCCTCCTGAAACAAAATAATTGTCAGTCAAGAATTTTGTATCCAGCAAAACTAAACATCGTAAATGAAAAAGAGAAAAGTATTTTTCAGCCAAACAAATGCTGAGAGAATTTGCCACTACTAAGCCAGCACTACCAGAAATGCTAAAAGGAGTTCCAAACCTTGAAACAAGACCTTGAAATACATCAAAATAGAACCTCTTTAAAGCATAAATCTCACAGGGCCTATATAACACGATGAAAAAAATTATTAAGGCAACAACTAGCATGATGAATAGAACAGTACCTCACATCTCAATACTAATGTTGAATGTAAATGGCCTAAATGCTCCACTTAAAAGACACAGAATGGCAGAATGAATAAAAATCCACCACTAAGTGTGTGCTGTCTTTGAGAGACTCACTTAAATGTATAAGGACTCACATAAATTTAAGGTAAAGAGGTGGGAAAAGATATTCCACGCAAATGGAAACCAAAAGTGAGCAGGAGTATCTATTCTTATATCAGACAAAACACACTTCAAAGCAACAACAGTAAAAAAAAGACAATAGGCACATTATACAATGATAAAAGAAATAGTTAAATGGGAAAATATTACAATCATAAATACATATGCACCGAACACTGAAGCTCCCAAATTTATAAAATAATTACTAGTAGACCTAAGAAATGAAATAGAAGGCAACATAGTAATAGTGGGGGACTTCAATACTCCATTGACAGTGCTAGACAGGTCATCAAGACAGAAAGTCAATAAAGAAACAATGGACTTAAACTAACTCTGGATCAAATGGACTTAACAAATATTTACAGAAGATTCTACCCAACAACTGCAAAATATACACTCTTTTCTTCAGCACATAGAAAATTTTCCAAAATAGACCATATGATAGGTCACAAAGCAAGTCAGTTAACTTAAGGAAATTGAAATTATATAAAGTATTCTCTCAGACCACAGTGGAATAAAACTGGAAACGACTCCAAAAGGACCCCCTAAAACTATACAAATACATGGAAATTAAATAATTTGCTCTTGAATGATGTTTGGGTCAACAATGAAATCAGGATGGAAATTTAAAAATTCTTTGAGTTGAACAATGACAGTGAAACAACTTATCAAAACCTCTGGGATACAGCAAAAGTGGTGCTAAGAGGAAAGTTTAAAGCATTAAATGCTTACATCAAAAAGTCTGAAAGAGCACAAGTAGGCAATTTAACATCATACTTCACGGAACTAGAGAAACAAAAACAAACCAAATCCAAACTCAGCAGAAAAAAAGTAAATAACAAAGATCAGAGCAGAACTAAATGAAATTAAAATTAAAAACACAAAACATAAATGAAACAAAAAGCAGTTTCTTTGAAAAGATAAAACACAATTGATAGACCATTACTGAGATTAACCAAGAAGATAGAAGATCCAAATAAGCTCAATTAGAAATGAAACTGGAGATATTACAACCAATACCCCAGAAATACAAAAGATCATTCAAGGCTACTATGAACACTTTTATGCACACAAATTAGAAAATCTGGAAGAGATGGATAAATTCCTCCCATATTAAATCACGAAAAAATAGAAACTCTGAACAGACCAATAATTAGCAAGATTGAAACAATAATAAAAAAAATTGCCAACAAAAAAATGTCCAGAACCAGATGGACTGACAGGTGAATTCTATTAGACATTCAAAGAAGAATTGATACCAATCTTACTGAAACTATTCCAAAAGATAGAAAAAGAGGGACTCCTCCATAAATCATTCTATGAAGCCAGTATCATCCTAATTCCAAAACTGGGAAAGGACATAACAATAAAAGAAAACTACAGACTAAGATCCCTGATGAACACAGATGCAAAAATACTCAACAAAATACTAGCTAACTGAATCCAACAGCATATCAAAAAGGTAATACAATAGGATCAAGTGGGTTTCATACCAGAAATGCAAGGATGGTTTAACATTCACAAGTCAACAAATGTGACACATCACATCAACAGCATTAAAAACAAAAATCATATGATCATCTCAATCAATGCAGAAAAAGCATTTGATAAAATCCAGCAAAACTGGTATACAAGAGACATACCTCAAGGTTATAAAAGCCATCTATGACAAACCCACAGCCAACATGATACTGAATGGGGAAAAGTTGAAAGCTTTCTTCCTGAGAACTGGAACAAGACAAAGATGCCCACTTTCACAACTTTTATCCAGCGTAGTGCTGGAAGTTCTAGCCAAAGCAATCAGACAACAGAAAGAAATAAAGGGCATCTAAATTAGTAAAGAGGACGTCAAACTGTTGCTGTTCACCGATGATATAATTGTATGCCTAGAAAAGCCTAAAGACTCACCCAAAAAGCTCATAGATCTGATAAATGAATTCAATAAAGTTTTAGGATACAAAATCAATGTACACAAATCAGTAGCACTGCTGTACACCAACAACAAGACTGAGAAACAAATCAAGAACTCAATCCCTTTTACAACAGCTGCAAAAAATAAAATAAAATACTTTGGAATATACTGAACCAAGGAGGCGAAATATCTCTACAAGAAAAACTGCAAGACAGAAAGAAATCACTGATAACACAAACAAATGGAAGCACATTCCATGCTCATGGATGGGTAGACTCGATACTGTGAAAATGATCATGGTGCCAAAAGCAGTCTATGGATTCGATGCAATTCCCATCAAAATACCATCAGCATTTTTCATGGAGCTTTAAAAAGCAATCCTAAAATTCAAATGGAACCAAAAAAGACCCTACATAGCCAAAGCAAGACTAAGCAAAAAGAACACATCTGGAGGCATCACATCACCTGACTTTATACTACAAGGCTGTAGTTACCAAAACAGTATGGTACTGGTATGAAAACAGGCAAGTAGACCAATGGAACAGAATAGAGAACCCAGAAATAAAGCCAAATACTTACAGTTAACTGATCTTTGACAAAGCAAACAAAAACATAAAGTGGGGAAAGGACACCCTATTCAACAAATGGTGCAGGGATAACTGGGAAGCCACATGTAGAAGGGTAAAACTGAATCCTCATCTCTCAACTTATACAAAAATCAACTCAAGATGGATCAAAGACTTAAATCTAGGCCGAGCATGGGGGATCACAACTGTAATCCCAGCACTTTGGGAGGCCAAGGTGGCCAGATCACATGAGGTCAGGAGTTCAAGACCAGCCTGGCCAACATGGTGAAATCCTGTCTCTACCACAAATACAAAAAATTAGTCAGGCGTGGTGATGGGTGCCTGTAATCCCAGCTACTAGGGAGGCTCAGGCATGAGAACCTGAGAGTTGGGAGTTGCAGTGAGCGGAGATTGCTCTACTGCACTCCAGCCTGGGTGACAGAGTGAGATTGTCTCAAAAAAAAAAAAAAAAAAGAAAAGAAAAGAAAAGAAAAAAGACTTAAAATCTAAGACCCAAAATCATAAACATTCCAGAAGATAACATCAGTAAAACTACCCTAGACATTGGTTTAGGCAAAGAGTTCGTTAACTACCAAGAACCCAAAAGCAAATGCAACAAAAACAAAAATAAATACATTGGACCTAATTAAGTTACAAGTTTCTGCATAGCAAAAGAAATAATCAGCAGAGTAAACAGACAACCCACAGAGAGGGAGAAAATATTCTCAAACTATGCATCTCACAAAGGACTAATATTTAGAATCTACAAGGAACTCAAACAAATCAGCAAGAAAAAAACAAATAATCCCATCAAAAAGTGGGCAAAGGAAATTAATAGACAATTCTCAAAAGAAGATGTACAAATGGCCAACACACACATGAAAAAATGCTCAGCATCACTATCAGGGAAATGCAAATTACAACCACAATGAGATACTACCTACTCTTGCAAGAATGGCCATAATTTAAAAATCAAAAAACAATAGATGTTGATGTGGATGTGGTGGAAAGGGAACACTTTTACACTGCTGTTGGGAATGTAAACTAGTACAACCACTATAGAAAACACTGTGGAGATTTTTTAAAGAGCTAAAAGTACAACTACCATTTGATCCAGTAATCCCACCACTGGGTATCTATCCAGAGGAAAAGAAGTCATTATATGAAATAGATATTGCACACTCATGTTTATAGCAGCACAACTCACAATTGCAACAATTTGGAACCAGCCTAAATGCCCATCCACCAATGAGTGGAAAAAGAAAACGTGGTGTATATGTGTACATATATATACATATACACCATGGAATACTACTCAGTGATAAGAATGAATGAAATAATGGCATTCACAGCAACCTCATGGAGTTTGAAACCATTATTCTAAGTGTAGTAACTCAGGAATGGAAAACCAAATATTGTATATTCTCACTTATAACTGGAAGCTAAGCTACGAGGATTCAAAGGCATAAGAATTACAAATTGGACTTTGGGGACACCGGAGAAATGGGGGAAGGGTGGTTAAGGATAAAAAACTACGTATTGGGCACAATGTACACTGCTCGGATGATGTGTGCACCAAAATCTCAGATATCACCACTAAAGAACTTATCTATGTAACAAAAACCACCAGTTCCCCCAAAACTACTGAATTTCTTTTTTAAAAAAGGTAATTAAGATACCTTGTAGACAAGGACCTTTGATTACACACTGGTAGAAATTTCACTTTACCATTTCAGCCACCATATGCCTGCTGTCTGCCCGGGGCTTGGGATTCAAAGACAAATGTTTCCAGTTCCCTTCCTCCCACAGGTGCTTGTGGCCTGGTGGGAAGCAGGCAACATGTGCACATAGATCAAAGGAAGCACCAAGTAGCTGTTTTCACGAAGGGTGTGGTGAGCACAGAAAGGAAGCCACCTGTTGGCCTGGAGAAGTTGAGGAAGGGCTCTCAGGGGATGTTAGAACTGAGTGGTAACAGTCAGAGGAGAGGGGTGAAGTGCCATGCCTGGCATGCCTGCCGAGAAACTGTGGCCACATGCAGTTCTCATTGCAGGCCAGCCTCCAGCTAGGACACAATTCTGGTGTTGCAATGCAGGTCAGTGTCCTGTATTACTTTTCTATGCTGCATAACACATTGCCACATGGATTCTCTGCTCGGTGTCTCACAAGGTGGGAATAAAGGTGTCAGCAAATTGTGTTCCTTTCTGCAAGGCCCTGGGGAAGAATTCACTTTCGAGCTCATTCAAATTGTCAGCAGAACTTTAGTTCCTTGCAGTTCCCTTCATCCTCGAGGCAACAGCGTCCCATCCAGGCACACTGAGTCTTTCATAAGCTTCAAATGTCTCCTCTCCCCTGTCTTGCTCTTTAGGGTTTAAGGGTGATTCCACCAGGCCAACCCAGATAAATCCAGGATAACCTCCCTATTTTAAAGTCAACTGATTAGAAACCTGTCCACAAGGCTCTTTTGCCTTGTAAAGTAACAGATTCATAGTCCCAGAAATTAGGGTTTGAATTCTCTTAGAGGACTATAATGCTGCCTGCCAGTCTCCCACCTGGAACTTGCCAGAAATCAGCACCTAGCACTAAGTCTTTATTTAATTTTTTATGTTTAGAGAGCAGTATTGCTGTTGCCCAGGCTGGATTACAGTGGTGCAATCACCACTCACTGCAGCCTCAACCTCCTAAGCTCAAGCCATCCTTCATCTCTGCCTAGACTAGCCAACTATAGGTTTGCCACCATGCCCAGCTCTTTTTTTTTTTAAAGAGATCTGGTCTGGATATGTTGCCTACGCAGGTATCAAACTCTTGGGCTTGGACAATCCTCTTGTGTCTGGAGTTGGTTCCTTCCGGTGGGTTCCTGGTCTTCAAGAATGAAGCCATGGACCTTGCTGGTGAGTGTTACAGCTCTTAAAGATGGCAGGGACCCTGCAGTAGCAAGGTTTATTGTGAAAACAGAAAGAATAAAGCTTCCGCAAAGCTGACCGGGACCCAAGCAGTTGTCGCTGCCGGCTGCGGTGGTGGCCAGCTTTTATTCCCTTATTGGCCCCTCCCATGTTCCGTTTCTGTCCTATCAGAGTGCCCTTTTTTCAATCCTCCCCGCAATTGGCTACTTTTAGAATACCGCTGATTGGTGCATTTTACAGAGCACTGATTGGTGCGTTTTACAATTTTCTTGTAAGACAGAAAAGTTCCTGATTGGTGCATTTTACAATCCTCTTGTAAGAAAAGTTCCCCAAGTCCCCACTGCACTCAGGAAGTCCAGCTGGCTTCACTTGTCACTCCCGCCTTGGCCTCCCAGAATGCTGGGATTACAGGCATGAGCCACTGGCTTGGCCTAGCACCAAGTCTTGATGAACCACCCAGAGGGACATCACACCTCATGCCAGGTGACAGGGATTGTCACAGTCCCGCCAGGCTTCTCCCTCCTCTGGGAGGAGTCAGTGAAGTTGGTTGGTACAGGAGCCCAGGACCACCTGCTTTGCCCGCCAGGGCTTACCTGACAGTTGGCCGGCAAGTACTTACCATTATTATTGTTTTAACTTCATGATCAACGTTTTAAAAAATCAGGAGCGGTCTCATTAAAACTCAGATTTCCGCTTTCTCTTGAAAATTCAGCAGCTCTGGCAACCCTGAGTTCCAGGTCAGGCTGGAACTGGGGGCGCCCCATGGGAAGAGGGGAGGGCGCGCGCCCCCTCTCGGGAGGTATTTGCCTCGAGAGGCCCCACTAGGAGCCCACACTACGCTCTCCTGGGGGGTCCCCTAGGACGGGGAGGGAACTAATAATTACTGGGCCCTCCCCAGCGGCAGCCGTGGCTCCTACATTAGCTGGTTTAATTCTCCAAACAGGTCTTGGAGGAAGGCATCCTTCTATTCTACTGATCAGAAAGCTGGACAAAGTCCCACTGCCAGGCTACACAGTTGGTGCCATTTGCGGAGGTGACCTTTGACCTTTAACCCACGCGGCCACCCGCCCGAGCTCTTACCCCTGCTGCCCCTCGCGCGTCCCACTCCCCGTCCCTGCCGGATCCGCTTCCCTGCGCTGGGCCCAGCGCGCCGCCAGGGAAGGGGCCGGAGCCTGGGAGCCCGCCCCGCCGTCGCCCGTCCTCCGCCCGCAGGCCCACCCGCAGCGGTCACGTGAAGGACCGAGCGCCGCGCGCCCAGGCGGGGCCTCCGGCCTGCACGAGGAGGGCAGAGTCCGTTGCGGCTGCCGCCCCGACGCCCGCGCATCCCCGCTCGCCGCGCCCGCCGCCGCGATGTCCGGGGCCGGCCTAGCCGCGGTGGTGAGCTGCCTGCGCCCGCAGCCCGGCGAGGAGCCGCAGACCCATGAGGTAAGGAGGACTTCCTGGCTGTGCTCGGAGGGCGCCCGGACGGCAGCGCCTCCTGCCCCTTCGTTGCCCTCCTGGTGCCGGGCGCCTCCGGGACTCCCAGGGAGAAAGCGAACCCGCTGGAAGCCACGGCCGGCTGCAGAGAATGAGGGCCCTTGGGGGTCAGCGGGACTAGGAACCCCTCTGCTTTCGGTCTTTCTCGGTTCCCTGCTCATTGGGCTGCTCAGCTGGGAGGCGCACCGCCAGCTAGAGCGCAGCCCGCACGTTGTAGTCAAGCGACCCGACAAGCCTCCCACTCTCCGGGGCTGAGCAGGGATCGGTGCTGGGGCTCCAGATTAGGGGCCATTCTCACTCAGTGAGGCGCGCACCCTTGTTTGGTGACCAATGCGCGTCCCCACAGAACTCCAAGGCAGCAGGAAAACGCCCGGAAAGAAGGCTGCAGGATGTGGGCCCCGGGAGTGCTGATGCAGCCCCGGGTCTTCCGATGCCTGCGGGACACAGCAGAAGGGCTGCGCAGCCGCTCAGGGTCTGTTTCGCTGCGATAGCCTGAGCTTCTTCGAAAGAGTTTGAGCTTCCAAGCGACCCTTCTTGATCTATTTTCTTGCACTGGACAAGAAGTAAGACAGTGGAGAGGGAGGCAGGACTTCAATGGCAGGAGCCCCTGCTCTGATTCAGGAAATCTGAGGCCTGAATTACAATATGATGGGCCGTCAGAAGTCATGAAGACCATGGGTGACAACGTCGGTCAGGCCCTGGCACAGTGCCTGGCACAGTGCCTGGCACAGTCATGACAGCCAATCTTTAGACCCCTCAGGGTCCATGCTGCATCTCCTTTGCGTTGTGCAAGTGTGTGGGAGGTGGAGAGCGTTTTTGTTCAGTCTCCCTCTTAGTCTTGAACTGGCCCCCTTCAGCTCTGGGCTGCTGCATTATCACCCCTGCCGCTTCCCACTGGGCTCTTGAAGCCTGCTGGAGAGGGTCCACAGGGCAGGCTTGTGTGTGGAGTTGAAAAGCTCTGCCAGTCAGGGTGAGGTGGCTCAAGGCTGTAATCCTAGCTGCTCCACAGACTGAGATGGGAAGATTGCTTGAGGCCAGGAGGTTGAGGTTGCAGTGAGCTATCACTGTGCCACTGCACTCCAGCCTGGGCAAAAGAGCAAGACCCCATCTAAAAAAAAAAAAAAAAAAAAAAAGCTCTGGTGCATACGTCTCCCTCTCTGGCCTGCAGGTCAGAGAGGTTTTGATGGAAAAACCTCCACACCAAAGGGGCTTGACCACATCCAACAGATGCATTCTACCATATGTCCTATCCCTCGAGAGAGCAGGTAAAGGAAAGGAGGGGGAAGTTCCTTTGTCCCCAGCTTTGGCCTTGCTTCTGCCATCTGAGATAACATCATTGATTGAGTCATTAAATCAGAGAAGGCATCTAGATCTTCTTCCCTCCCCAGGTTCTGACCTCGGGCACTCAATGGCCAATATAACTGGGTTAACCTTATTTAAGAATTAGTTTGGATTCATGTAACTAGAACCTGCCTAGTCACCTGAAATGCATTAACCCCCTCTCCTTTCAAATACTTATTTTTAAGACTCTTTTGTGATTGGAGTTTCTTTTTTTTTGGCTACTAAGATGGCAATCTACTTCTTTGGGGGAATTTACCAACAC
This sequence comes from Homo sapiens, assembly GCF_000001405.40. Classification (NCBI taxonomy): domain Eukaryota; kingdom Metazoa; phylum Chordata; class Mammalia; order Primates; family Hominidae; genus Homo; species Homo sapiens. The sequence goes on from NC_000002.12 coordinate 110,247,448, forward strand.
TTTGAACTTTGAAATAGAAAGAACCCAATGCTAGTGATTCTCAATTTTGCCATTGGTTAGCATTAGCTAAGGAGCTTTTAGGACTGTATCCAGTTCAGCCTCTACCCCTGAGATTCTGATGTAATTGATATGGATGCGTCCTGGGCAGTAGTAAGTTTCAGGCTACTGAGTGATTCAAAAGTGCCACCAGGGTTGAGAGCCTGTGTCTTATGCCATTCCTTTGTGACAGTTCTATGTTAACCTCTTGATACTTTTATGTGCTTCTTTTTGAATGTTCTTGTTCTTAAACCTGTTCGTGCAGATCCTGCATTACCCTGCTTTGCGGTCTTAATCCACTGGTGCTCCCTTTTAGCAATTTGCAGAGCTGTTGTTTGCAGTAACCAGGAGGGCTTGAGAAAGTGTTCCACTCAGGTGGTCCAAGGAGCAACATAAAGCCAGTGGGCTAGGTAGCAATGATTCAGTGAGGGAGAGGAGTGGGGTTTGTGATGACCTGATGGCATGTCCCCTGCCCAAAGAAGACCACAGCTACCCACCTCCAGTTGACCACGGCTATCATAGATTGCAAAAATGGCCAGAAAGTCTTCCCATCCCTGAATACATACCCTTTTTGCAATGTGCCTTTGCAACTCCTTATATCAAGAGGTGGGATCTGTTTCTCCAGCGCTTGAATCTGGGTTTGGCCATGAGACTTGCTTTGGCTGATGGGACATTAGTAGATGGGATACAGGCAGAGGTGTGAAAGGCACTCAGACATTGGTGCTTGCTCTCCTGATGCGCTTGGGAAACTTTGACCACGACCGGTGGAAGAGCCCTGGCTAGCCTGCTGCAGGATGCACATGGCCAAGATATGTGAGCAAGGCTGTTCTAGACCATCCAGTCCCAGATGACCACAGAGATCAGCTAAGTTGGCCCAGACCAGGACTGCCCAGCTGACCCACAGAATTGGGGAAAATAATAAGTGTTTATTTAGGTGACCAAGAATCAGGGTGGGTAGCAAAAACTTATTGAAATACAGCGCAGCATGGCTGAATGTTATAATCTTTTAAAGAGAAGCCAGAAGTTCAAATTTTTGTGTAAGCTCCAGCTTTTAAAAAATTGGAATGAGTAACCAGCATCTAAAAACACTCTCTGGGCCAAACAAAACACAACTTTAGGCTGCACTTGGCCTGTCAGTTGTTGGTTTGCTACTTTCTTTATAGAGGAACATAAGGTCTTTACCCTAACACCTCATTGCCACCTACTCAGTCACCCTTCTCCCACAACTGCTGTGCCCTGTCCTATCCCCCGCAGCTGTTTCTTCGTATAAAATGTCCACAATGTGTGTCAAGACCCCAGCTTTTCCAGGCAGTCTTTTTGTGTGGAAATAGAAGCTGCTGGGATTGCCAATCTTCATGGAGAAAGTGAAATTTGAGACAGGTGTCCAGTGAAGGAAAGTGGAAAAAATTACTCCTGGTTTTAAGTGAGCGTGAGATCAGGCACGGAGGTGGGTTCATAGAGGGACAGTGGACAAGTCCACCAATTTTGGCCAGAGAAAAGTGTTCCTATAGGGGAAGTGAGGGAGATTAAATTGGAGACAGGAGTAGAGGAGAGATTGTGGAGCCCCCAAATGCTAAGCCAAGGGTTTTGCACTCGATTGGACAAAGAGAAATCGCTTTAGGCAGAGAGAAATCACCTGATGCTTTTGAATGGGGGGGTCTCATGAGGAAAGCAGTAATCTATTCTATCAGTATGCAGGAAGAGCTTGTGGGAGGACACGGTGTACTGAGGGAGACAGAAGGTACAGTAGCCTCTCTTATCCATGGTTTTTTTGGTTTTGTTTTCTGCGGTTCCAGTTACTCTAGGTCAACTGCAGTCCAAAAATATCCAATAAAAATTTACAGAAATAAACAATTCATAAGTTTTCAATTGTGCACTGTTCTGAGTAGCATGGTGAAATCTCCGGATGTCCTGCTCTGTCCACCTGGGACGTGAATCATCTCTTTGTCCCACGTATCTATGCAGTAGACACTACCTGCCCACTAGTCACTTAGTAGCTGTTGGGTTATCAGATTGAAAAGACATAGTATATACAGGGTTTGGTACTATGCTCAGTTTCAGGAACTAACTGGGGGTCTTGGAACCTATTCTTCTCAATTAAGGGGGGACTACTGTGTAGTGTTTTTAGTAAGGAAAGGAGCATTGGAATTGGAAAGAAAAATGGAGAAGTGGAAGAATTTAACTTAAAATTTATGGGAACTTCTCTTTACCTTAAGTTATAGTTAATTATGTTAATGTTCTTACCTGTATAACCAAGACATATTGGCTGTTTTCAAAACACTTCTTCTTTTTCTTTTTTTTTTTTTTTTTTTGTTGTTGTTGTTGTTGTTGTTTTGAGATGGAGTCTTGCTCTGTCGCCCAGGCTGGAGGGCAGTGGCGCGATCTCGGCTCACTGCAAGCTCCGCCTCCCGGGTTCACGCCATTCTCCTGCCTCAGCCTCCCGAGTAGCTGGGACTACAGGCGCCCGCCACCACGCCTGGCTAATTTTTTGTATTTTTAGTAGAGATGGGGTTTCACTGGGTTAGCCAGGATGGTCTCGATCTCCTGAGCTCGTGATCCGCCCACTTTGGCCTCCCAAAATGCTAGGATTATAGGCGTGAGCCACCACACCTGACCTCAAAACACTTCTATCAACAACTTTGCATTTTGCCTAGGTTATTTTTGACTGACTTAAAGGTATTTGGGGGCTTACAATGGTTTATTACTACCACAGTTAATACTGAAGGAGACATTTGCTGGGTTCATAGAGAAGGAACTTTCTGGCTCTCTCCACTGAGAGCCTCTGGAATCTTATCTTTCCCTCCTTCCTGCATTCTTTTCACCCTCTAAGGGATTCCAAGGGATTCATCTTCCCCAGAATGAAGGCTTACTGAGTTGAGGGGTGGGGATGGAAGAGAAAACACAAAATCCTTAACAACATTTTTAAGTCTTGGGAGGAGGAAAATAAATATCACAGCTCTGAGAAGAAGAGAAAGAGAAAATCAAGAGAAGGCAATTATTGTCATGGTGCAATTAAAATAGAAAACAGGAGGGGTGCAGTGGTTGTTACCTGTGATCCCAGCACTTGGGGAGGCCAAGCTGGATGGATTGCTTGAGCCCAGGAGATTTTGAACAGCCAGGACAACATGGCAAAACCTGTCTCTACAACAAAAATTAGCTGGGCATGGTGGCGTGCACCTGTAGCTCCAGCTACTCAGGAGGCTGAGGCAGGAGAATCGCTTGAGCTTGGAGGTGGAGGCTGCAGTAAGCCATGATCATGCCACTGCACTCTAGCCTGGGCAACAGAGTAAGACCCTGCCTCAGAAAAAAAAAAAAAAAAAGAAAGGAAAGGAAAATAGAAGAAATACTAGGAAAATGGCTATATTTACATCAGTGGTTTTCAGTCTTGACTGCATGTTCAAATCATTTGTGAACTTTAAAAGATTAATCGTGGGAGGGTCCATTCCAAGATGGCCAAATAGGAACAGCTCCAGTCTGCAGCTCCCAGTGTGATCGATGCAGAAGACGGGTGATTTCTGCATTTCCAACTGAGGTACATGGTTCATCTCATTGGGACTGGTTGGACAGTGGGTGCAGCCCATGGAGGGCGAGCTGAAGCAGGGCAGGGCATCGCCTCACCTGGGAAGTGCAAGGGGTCAGGGGATTTCCCTTTCCTAGCTGAGGGAAGCTGTGAAAACTGTACCTGGAAAAACAGGACATGCCCACCCAAATACTGTGCTTTTCCAATGGTCTTAGCAAATGGCATACCAGGAGATTATATCCCGCCCCTGGCTCAGTGGGTCCCACACCCACGGAGCCTTGCTCACTGCTAGCGCAGCAGTCCAAGATCGAACTGTGAGGCTGCAGCCTGTCTGGGGGACGGGCATTCACCATTGCTGAAGCTTGAGTAGGTAAACAAAGCATCCAGGAAGCTTGAACTGGGTGGAGCCCACCACAGCTCAACAAGGCCTGCCTGCCTCTGTAGACTCCACCTCTGGGGGAAGGGCATAGCTGAACAAAAGGCAGCAGAAACTTCTGCAGATTTAAAACATCACTGTCTGAAGAGAGCAGTGGTTCTCCGAGCACAATGTTTGAGCTCTGAGAATGGACAGACTGCCTCCTCAAGTGGGTCCCTGACCCCCGTGTTGCCTAACTTGGAGACACCTCCCAGTAGGGGCCGACTGACACCTCATACAGCCAGGTGCCCCTCTGAGAGAAAGCTTCCAGAGGAAGGATCAGGCAGCAACATCTGCTGTTTTGCAATATTTGCTGTTCTGCAGCCTTTGCTGGTGATACCCAGGCAAACAGGGTCTGGAGTGGACCTCCAGCAAACTCCAACAGACCTGCAGCTGAGGGACCTGACTGTTAGAAGGAAAACTAACAAACAGAAAGAAATAGCATCAACATCAACAAAAAGGTCATCCACACCAAAAACCCATCTGTAGGTCACCATCATCAAAGACCAAGGGTAGATAAAACCACAAAGATGGGGAGAAACCAGAGCAGAAAATCTGAAAATTGTAAAATCCAGAGCACCTCTTCTCCTCCAAAGGATTGCAGCTCCTCACCAGCAACGGAACAAAGCTGGACAGAGAATGACTTTGACGAGTTGACAGAAATAGGCTTCAGAAGGTCGGTAATAACAAACTTCTCTGAGCTAAAGGAGGATGTTTGAACCCATCGCAAGGAAGCTAAAAACCTTGAAAAAAGATTAGACGAATGGCTAACTAGAATAAACGGCATAGAGAAGACCTTAAATGACCTGATGGAGCTGAAAACCATGGCACAATAACTATGTGACGCATGAAGAAGCTTCAGTAGCCAATTCGATCAAGTGGAAGAAAGGGTATCAGTGATTGAAAATCAAATTAATGAAATGAAGTGAGAAGAGAAGTTTAGAGAAACAAGAGTAAAAAGAAATGAACAAAGCCTCCAAGAAATATGGGACTATGTGAAAAGACCAAATCTATGTTTGATTGGTGTACCTCAAAGTTATGGGGAGAATGGAACCAAGCTGGAAAACACTTGTCAGGATGTTATCCAGAAGAACTTCCCCAACCTAGCAAGGCAGGCCAACATTCAAATTCAGGAAATACAGAGAACACCACAAAGATACTCCTCGAGAAGAGCAACCGCAAGATACATAATTGTCAGATTCACCAAAGTTGAAATGAAGGAAAAAATGTTAAGGGCAGCCAGAGAGAAAGGCCGGGTTACCCACAAAGGGAAGCCCATCAGACTAACAGCGGATCTCTCGGCAGAAACTACAAGCCAGAAGAGAGTGGGGGCCAATATTCAACATTCTTAAAGAAAAGAATTTTCAACCCAGAATTTCATATCCAGCCAAACTAAGCTTCATAAATGAAGGATAAATAAAATCCTTAACAGACAAACAAATGCTGAGAGATTTTGTCACCACCAGGCCTGCCTTACAAGAGCTCCTGAAGGAAGCACTAAACATGGAAAGGAACAACCGGTACCAGCCACTGCAAAAACATGCCAAATTGTAAAGACCGTCGATGCTAGGAAGAAACTGCATCAACTAACAGGCAAAATAACCAGCTAACATCATAATTACAGGATCAAATTCACACATAACAATATTAACCTTAAAGGTAAATGGGCTAAATGCCCCAATTAAAAGACACAGACTGGCAAATTGGATAAAGAATCAAGACCCATCAGTGTGCTGTATTCAGGATACCCATCTCACATGCAGAGACACACATAGGCTCAAAATAAAGGGATGGAGGAAGATCTGCCAAGCAAATGGAAAGCAAAAAAAAAGCAGGGGTTGCAATCCTAGTCTCTGATAAAACAGACTTTAAACCAACAAAGATCAAAAGAGAAAGAAGGCCATTACATAATGGTAAAGGGATCAATTCAACAAGAAGAGCTAACTATCCTAAATATATATGCACCCAATACAGGAGCATCCAGATTCATAAAGCAAGTCCTTAGAGACCTAGAAAGAGACTTAGACTCCCACACAATAATAATGGGAGACTTTAACAACCCCCTGTCAATTTTAGACAGATCAACGAGACAGAAGGTTAACAAGGATATCCAGGACTTGAACTCAGCTCTGCACCAAGCAGACCTAATAGACATCTACAGAACTCTCCACCCCAAATCAACAGAATCTACATTCTTCTCAGCACCACATCGCACTTACTCCAAAATTGACCACTTAGTTGGAAGTAAAGCACTCCTCAGCAAATGTAAAAGAACAGAAATTACAACAAACTGTCTCACAGACCACAGCGCAATCAAATTAGAACTCATGACTAAGAAACTCACTGAAAACCGCACAACTACATGGAAACCGAACAACCTGCTCCTGAATGACTACTGGGTAAATAACGAAATTAAGGCTGAAACAAAGATGTTCCTTGAAACCAACGAGAACAAAGACACAATGTACCAGAATCTCTGGGACACTTTTAAAGCAGCATGTGAGGGAAATTTATAGCACTAAATGCCCGCAAGAGAAAGCAGGGAAGTTCTAAAATCGACACCCTAACATCACAATTAAAAGAACTAGAGAAGCAAGAACAAACACATTCAAAAGCTAGCAGAAGACAAGAAATAACTAAGATCAGAGCCGAACTGAGGAAGATAGAGACAGAAAAAAAAACCTTGAAAAAATCATTGAATCCAGGAGCTGGTTTTTTGAAAAGATTAACAAAATTGATAGACCGCTAGCAAGACTAATAAAGAAGAAAAGAGAGAAGAATCAAATAGATGCAATAAAAAATGATAAAGAGGATATCACCACCGATCCCACAGAAATACAAACTGCCATCAGAGAATACTATCAATACTTCTACACAAGTAAACTAGAAAATCTAGAAGAAATGGATAAATTCCTGGATGCATACACCCTCCTAAGACTAAACCAGGAAGAAGTCGAATCCCTGAATAGACCAATAACAGGCTCAGAAATTGAGGCAGTAATTAATAGCCTACCAACCAAAAAAAGTCCAGGACCAGACCGATTCACAGCTGAATTCCACCAGAGGTACAAAGAGGAGCTGGTACCATTCCTTCTGAAACTATTCCAATCAATAGAAAAAGAGGCAATCCTCCATAACTCATTTTATGAGGCCAGCATCATCCTGATACCAAAGCCTGGCAGAGACACAACAAAAAAAGAGAATTTTAGACCAATATCCCTGATGAACATCGGTGCGAAAATCCTCAATAAAATACTGGCAAACTGAATCCAGCAGCACATCAAAAAGCTTATCCACCAAGATCAAGTTGGCTTCACCCCTGGGATGCAAGGCTGGTTCAACATACACAAATTAATAAATGTAATCTATCACATAAACAGAACCAAAGACAAAAAACACACAATTATCTCAATAGATGCAGAAAAGGCCTTTGACAAAATTCAACATCCCTTCATGCTAAAATCTCTCAATAAACTAGGTATTGATGAAATGTATCTCAAAATACTAAGAGCTATTTATGACAAACCCACAGCCAATATCATACTGAATGGGCAAAAACTGGAAGCATTCCCTTTGAAAACTGGCACAAGACAGGGATGTCCTCTCTCGCCACTCCTATTCAACATAGTGTTGGAAGTTCTGACCAGGGCAATCAGGCAAGAGAAAGAAATAAGGGGTATTCAATTAGGAAAAGAGGAAGTCAAATTGTCCCTGTTTGCAGATGACATGATTGTATATTTAGAAAACCCCATCATCTCAGCCCAAAATCTCTTTAAGCTGATAAGCAACTTCAGCAAAGTCTCAGGAAACAAAATCAATGTGCAAAAATCACAAGCATTTCTATACACCAATAACAGACAGAGAGCCAAATCATGACTGAACTCCCATTCACAATTGCTACAAAGAGAAAAAAATACCTAGGAATCCAACTTACAAGGGACGTGAAGGACCTCTTCAAGGAGAACAACAAACCACTGCTCAATGAAATAAAAGAGGACACAAACAAATGGAAGAACATTCCATGCTCATGGACAGGAAGAATCAATATTGTGAAAATGGCCATACTGCCCAAGGTAATTTATAGATTCAATGCCATCCCCATCAAGCTACCAATGACTTTCTTCACAGAATTAGAAAAAACTACTTTAAAGTTCATATGGAACCAAAAAAGAGCCCTCATTGCCAAGACAATCCCAAGCAAAAAGAACAAAGCTGGAGGCATCACGCTACCTGACTTCAAACTATACTACAAGGCTACAGTAACCAAAACAGCATGGTACTGGTACCAAAACAGAGATATAGACCAATGGAACAGAACAGAGGCCTCAGAAATAACACCACACATCTACAACCATCTGATCTTTGACAAACCTGAGAAAAACAAGCAATGGGGAAAGGATTCCCTATTTAATAAATGGTGCTGGGAAAACTGGCTAGCCGTATGTAGAAAGCTGAAACTGGATCCCTTCCTTATGCCTTATACAAAAATTAATTCAAGGTGGATTAAAGGCTTAAATGTTAGACCTAAAACCATAAAAACCCTAGAAGAAAACCTAGGCAATACCATTCAGGACATAGACATGGGCAAGGACTTCATGACTAAAACACCAAAAGCAATGGCAACAAAAGCCGAAAGAGACAAATGGGATCTAATTAAACTAAAGAGTTTCTGCACAACAAAAGAAAATGCCATCAGAGTGAAAAGGCAACCTACAGAATGGGAGAAAATTTTTGCAATCTAGCCATCTGACAAAGAGCTAATGTCCAGAATCTACAAATAACTTAAACAAATTTACAAGAAAAAATCAAACAACCCCATCAAAAGGTGGGCAAAGGATATGAACAGACACTTCTCAAAAGAAGACATTTATGCAACCAACAGACACATGAAAAAATGCTCATCATCACTGGTCGTCAGAAAAATGCAAATCCAAACCACAGTGAGATTCCATCTCACACCAGTTAGAATGGCAATCATTAAAAAGTCAGGAAACAACAGGTGCTGGAGAGGATGGGGAGAATAGGAATGCTTTTACACTGTTGGTGGGAGTGTAAATTAGTTCTACCATTGTGGAAGACAGTGTGGCGATTCCTCAAGGATCTAGAACTAGAAATACCATTTGACCCAGCAATCCCATTACTGGGTATATACCCAAAGGATTATAAATCATGCTACTATAAGGACACATGCACACATATGTTTATTGTGGCACTATTCACAATAGCAAAGACTTGGAACCAACCCAAATGTCCATCAGTGATAGACTGGATTAAGAAAATGTGGCACAAATGCACAATGGAATACTATGCAGCCATAAAAAAGGATGAGTTCATGTCCTTTGTAGGGACATGGATGAAGCTGGAAACCATCATTCTGAGCAAACTATCGCAAGGACAGAGCACCAAACACCATATGTTCTCACTCATAGGTGGGAGTTGAACAATGAGAACACTTGGACACAAGACGGAGAACGTCACACACTGGGGCCTGTCATGGGTTGGGGGGATGGGGGAGGGATAGCATTAGGAGAAATACCTAATGTAAATGACGAGTTAATGAGTGCAGCAAAACAACATGGCACATGTATACATGTGTAACCTGCACGTTGTGCACATGTACCCTAGAACTTAATAATAATAATTAAAGATTAATCCTGGGTTCTACCTCCCAGAGGTTCTGATGCAGTTGGGGTCTGCATGTGACCTGGACTTCAGTAGGATCTTTAAAAGTTGTTAAGATGATTGTCATATGCTGTGGGGATTGAGAATCACCACTCCCACAGTTGCCAATGCCTCCCATAGTTGGGATGCTGTTTTGAGGTTTGCAGCCACATTTAAGCTGCATCTGGGGAAACATCTGCTATTTGGTCTTTGCTATTTTCATGGTAGATATGGACAGTGGTTCGCATGTAAACTTGAAAAGTATGTGAAGTTGTGGAATTGGGTGTCTAACATAATCCACATTCTTGGGTTGGGTAAAAACAGTTTGTTTTATGGGAAAATACAAATGGCCTTAGTTCAAATAAACATGCTTATTACAGTAAAGTCTGTCTTCTAAGAGTACCGCTTCCCACACGGAACGCAGGACACTTAGAAGTTGCGCACAAATGGGAGGGAGGAGGAGAAGGAAGGCAATTAGAACCAAAGCATAAAGGAGATGCGATTTTAAAAGGAGATAGATGTCAGAAATGTAATACCAGTTAAGAATGGGAAAGCTTTGAAACGTTAGTGTAAGGGTGAAATGGCTATTATGATAGAATCAGCAGATTTTAAAACAGCAAGGATGAGTTCAGATGGCAGTTGGTGGGGGTGATGAGGTGCTGGTCATTCAATGTCTGGGGTCTGGGATCTGTCTCATGGAGATGACCCCGAGGGCCTGACTGGCTGAGGCATTGCTGGTGAGTGTTTTTTTCCTTTCTCTACCTGGAGGGCATATGAAGGATGCATCTCAAATCCGTGAGTGTTGAACTGCTTATGTTTGTGGACAAATGGCCTCACTGGGACTGTAAGGATGTTTGTAGCATCACTGGGGACAACAGTGGCCTTAAAAGATCTTTGCCAGAAATTTTTTTAAAAAGCCTCAATGTCAGAACTCTTCAAGTATGATCTTTTTGAGGCTTAATGGAATTTTCTTAAAGTTGGTGTGTGTTCATTAAAAAAAAAAAATCAACTCTTGCTGATGCGAGGCATTTTCTACCTAAAATATATTTCTAAGCATGTCCTGGGAACTGTATTCTTCCTCAGTGTTAAAGATTTTCAATGAAAAAAATAATTGATATTAATGGTTTTCCTACTAGAATGTTTTTTAAATATGTAAAAGAAAAATGTTTGGCTGGGCATTGTGGGTCACGCCTGTAATCTCAGCACTTTGGGAGGCCGAGGTAGGCGGATCACTTGAGGTTAGGAGTTTGAGACCAGCCTGGCCAACATGGTGAAACACTGTCTCTACTAAAATTAGAGAAACTAGACTGGCATGGTGGTGCGTGCCTGTAATCCCAGCTACTCAGGAGGCTGAGGCAGGAGAATCGCTTGAAACCGGGAGGCAGAGTTTGCAGTGAGCCGAGATTGTGCCACTGCACTCCAGCCTGTGTGACAAAGTGAAACTCTATCTCGAAAAGGAAAAAAAAAAGAAAAATGTGTGATAAGTGTTAAACACATTTACATGGTGCTTCTTAGATTTTAATAAACTGCCTGTAAGAATTGCCATACCAACCCTGAGCATACCTGTTACTCAAAAAGCGATCGGCTCTTACGGTAGTTAATTCATCTATGAGATTATTGTTCTACATCAACTTTTTTAATCCAAGTATTTGTCTTTCATTTTGGGCATTTTAACAGCTTTTTTAGATTATAATAGACATACACTAAACTACATTTATTTGAAGTATGCAGCTTGATGAGTTTTGGTGTATGAATGCCCTTGGGATAGTAATGCCATGATAAGAATAATGAACATATCAGTCACCCCTATATGTTTTCTTATGCCTATTTGTAATCTCTCTCTCTCTCAGTTCTCTTCGTTCCACTCTTTTTTTTTTTTTTTTTTTTTGAGACGGAATCTCTCTCTGTCGCCCAGGCTAGAGTGCAATGGCACAATCTCGGCTCGCTGCAACCTCCGCCTCCCGAGTTCAAGCTATTCTCCTGCCTCAGCCTCTCAAGTAGCTGGGATTACAGGTGCATGGCACCATGCCCGGCTAGTTTTTGTATTTTTAATAGAGACGGGGTTTCGTCTTGTTGGCCAGGCTAGTTTCAAACTCCCGACCTCAAGTGATCTGCCCACCTCAGCCTCCCAAAGTGCTGGGATTATAGGCATGAGCCACCATGCCCAGCCTGTTCCCATCTTCCTCCTCCTGCCAACACACGACCACTGATGCGGGTTCTGTCACTGTAGGTTAGTTTTCATTTTCCAGAATTTTATGCAGATGGAATCATACAGTGAGTACTCTTTTCGGGGGGTGGTTGGCTTCTTTCACTCGGCACAGTTATTTTGAGATTCATCCATTTTGTTACATCTATTAGTTACTCATTCCTTTTTATTGCTGAGTAGTATTCCATTGTAGAGATACAGTACACTTTGTTTATCCACTCACCTGTCTGTGGACATTTTGGTTTCTAGTTTTGGGCTGTTAAGCTGGGATGAACGTATGTGTATGTGTGCAGCTTTGGGATGAGGTGTCTAACATGAGCCACATACTTGGGGTGGATGTACTAGTCTTTGTGTGGACATATGCTGTCTTTCCTTTTGGAAAACACTTCAAAGTAGCATGGCTGGGTCATACTTTTTAACGTTTTAAGAAACTACCAAACTGTCTTCCAAAGTAAATGTGCCATTTTCTATTCCAACCAGCAACGTATGAGAGTTCCAGTTGCTCCACATCTTTGGCAAAACTTGCAAATATAAAAGGAATTTTGTGTTTTGTGTTTATATGTATATAAATATATAATGTAGTGTAAATACACATAGTATATAATTTTGTGTTACAGATTTGTTTGTATGTATATGTATATATACAGTAATGCGTCACTTAACAACAGGGATATATTCTGAGAAATGGATCACTAGGGGATTTCATCATTGTGCAAATATCATACAATGTACTTACACAAACTTAAATGGCATAACTTACTAGACACCTAGGCTGTAGACTATTTTTCTAGGCTACAAACCTGTAGAGCATATTACTGTACTGAATATGGCAGGTAACTGTAACACAATTGTGTATTCGTGTATCTCAACATAGAAAAGGTACAGTAAAAATATGGTATAAAAGGTAAAAGATGAATAGGGCACTTCCCATGAATGGAGCTTGCGGGACTGGCAGTTGTCCTGGGTAAGTCAGTGAATGAGTGGTGAGTAAATGTGAAGGTCTAGGAATCACTGCACACTACTGTAGACTTTAGAAACACTGTACAGTTGACTACATTTATAAAAAATATTTTTCTTTCTTCAATAACAAATTAACCTTAGCTTACTATAAATTTTCTACTCTATAAACGTTTTGATTCTTTTGCAATAGCAGCTTAAAACACATTGCATAGCTATACTAAATATTTTCTTTCTTTATATCCTTATCCTATAAGCTTTTTTCTATTTTTAAACTTAAAAAATGTTAACTTCATAAACTCTTTATTAAAAACTAAGACACAAACGTATGCATTGGCCTAGGCCTACACAGGGTCAGGACCCTCAATATCACTGTCTTCCACTTCTGCATCTCGTCCCACTGGAAGGTCTTCAGGGGCCATAACACTTATGGAGCTGTCACCTCCTGGAATAACAATGCCTTCTTCTGGAATCCTCCTGAAGGACTTGCCTGAGGCTGTTTTACAGTTAACTTTTTTTTTTAATAAGTAGGAGTGCAATCTAAAATAACCATAAAAAGCATAGTGTAGTAAATACATAAACCAGTAACATAATCATTTATTATCATTATCAAATATTATGTACCATACATAATTGTATGTGCTAGAATTTTATACGACTGGCCGTGGAGGTTTGTTGACACCAGCATCACCACAATTTTGTATTTTGTTGTGCTATGACCTCACTAGGTGGTAGGAATTTTTCAGCTCATTATAATCTTATGGGAACCCTGTTATATATGTGGTTCATTGTTGACCAGAATGTTATGGGGCACATGACCGTATATATATTTGTATATACATGTGTACCTAACCATATATTAATATATGTATGTATGAATATACCATTTAGGTACAAATACATGCTCTAGTCAATGCTTATTTACATTTCCTCTGAGAGCCTATATTTGAATTCAAGAAAGTGGAGTGTGTCTGGACCTGGTCCCACTGCAGGATTCTCGGTGCTCAAAGAGACATTGGAGGTGTGGAGACAACACTGTTTAGATGTTGGCTACCTCTGGGAGAGTGGGTCTGTGGAGAGGCGAAGGGGAGCTTCCTTTTATACTCAGTGCATACTTAACAAAGGAAAAAGAAAAGTATCCTCTCCTCCTCTGACTTGGTCTCCCTTACTCTGTCTCAATGGGGAACAGGACCTTCTCCTGGCAGCTGCCTATGTTTTGGATGCCCAGTACAACAGAAATGTTCCATTTGAAACTCACCTCAGGCCATCAGGTAACTAACATGTTAAACCATCATGTGGAACCACCTGTCCTTCAGCACTTGATACTCTTGAACTTGAACCCAAACTGAAGGCATTGTTTACACAGATATTTTGAGAAGTATATAGGGTACAGCACATAGATTTGGACGTAATCCAATACTTTTTTTTTTTTTTTTTGAGACAGGGTCTTGCTTTGTTGCCTGGGCTGGAGTTCAGTGGTGTGATCATGGCTCACTGCAGCCTTGAACTCCTGGGCTCAAGTGATCCTCCCACCAAGGCCTGGGATTAGATATGTGAGCCACCATGCCTGGCTGAATTTTTTTTTTTTTTTGAGTTATAAGAGCATGGGCCTCACACGCAGGGAAGCATTCAATAAATAGATTAAGATCAGACAAATGAGTAAAATGAGCAATACCCAGCATAGAAGCTAGGGCATTCAAGGGAAGAACTTGCCATTGTCTTTTCCTTTTATGTCATCCTCTTAGAGTTACCTCAAGTGAAAAGGCTTTTTTGTCCTGTCCATTGTTTTGTGATGCAATCCATATGTTTGCTCTTCTCATGGGAATTCAGCTTTTTCTCTGTCACCCCCTACAGGTGCTCAGCCTGTTTATCACTAGGGCTCAGCCTCAGGGCCTCCCAAGGCAGCCAATACCTCATCCCTGGATGTTGCCGAGCATGTTTGGGGTACTGTCCCCACCTGGGGAGAGACTGGCATGACCTTTTGCCAGATCTCTTCTGAGTCTATCATGTTAAGATGGGATGATGTACATTTTAAAATTGGGTTAGGCCACCATGCCACATCATAATAGGCCACTTTAACTGAGGGTTTAATCTGTGTCCGTCACTGTTCAAGTCCTCTGCAAGTATTCTCTTATTACTATCACAACAACCCCATGGGAAGGTATAATCTTAGCTTGAGACTGTTAAGAAAATGTGCTTTGAGTTATGATCATATGCTTGATTTTTTTGTGTTAGTGTTTATAGTATATGATCATTAAATACTGCCTCCTGCTCCCTAGAATTTAAAGGAAACATGACTAAGCCTTAACTTTCTTATTTTACCCAGCATTAGTTCTTTAAAGAGATGTTTGGGTGCTGTGTAGCTCCTGTTCGTTGTTTATAATCACTTTTGTCTTTTTCTCCTCCAGACGTTACTATTTTTATAACCACTAGACAACGCAGGTTGCCGCATACTTCTTTATTTGTGTAGACCTCGCTCTTGCCCTGTTTGAAGAGTCTGAGTTGCTTCCCCTGCCTTTCTTGGTAAGCAAGCCATAGCAGATGGCTAGCCAGATTTGGTCATAGATGATTGGGCCTTGTGCCTCTTCTTTTTTTCCCCTCAAATTTCAACAAATATGAATTAGATGTTATTTATTTTTTTTGCTGGGGGATTAGAGAAGTTCTGTCTACTCACCAAACACATGCTTCCTTCATAACGCATTTTAAGTGCAGTGGGAGATTTTGGTCTTCTGTGCACACACACACAAAATCAGAGATGGTTCAATGATGTTTTCAAAGCCAATTTACTTACTGCCAAGTAGATGATGTTCTCATATAGTGTAATATGCAACTTGTACATGCCACATTTTCAGCTTTTTTTCATAGTCATAAATTATTAGAGTATTTATTGGTGCTTAGGGGCTGATCACATTTGATTTTGAGTAATGTATCAAATTCACCAGCCAATCCAGAGAGGTCTAAATAGTAGACCAGTGCCCTGCCCATGTTGATTTCTGATTCGTCATTACTCTTACCTCTGTCTTAATAGCTGTCATTTGCTCCCTGCTTGCTATCTGCTGGGTGATCTCATGCTTTCTCTGTATTCTCCTTAAGCCTTACAGGGACTCAATGGGATGTGCCTGCTGTTATTATACCCATTTTAACAGATAAGGAAGCTGAGCCTAGAAAGATTGTATAACTTGTCCAAGGTTACTAGGCAACAAAGGCAGAACTAGGCTTCAAGCCTAAGCCTGATTTCAAAGCTTTTGCTTTTTAACAACCACACAGACCCTTTTTTATTCTACCTTATTTCAGTTATCAATTGCACAAACATATTTACAAACCATCCTAAAACTCAAACACTTAAAACAAGGGTTGGGAAACCATGGCCTGTGGGACAAATTCAGCTGCTGCTTATTTTTGTACAGCCTATGAGCTAAGAATGGTGCTACAAATGGAATGTTTGTGTGTTCCCAAAATTCGTATTTCAAAACCTAGTCCCAGTGTGGAGGTATTTGGAGGTGATCAGATCATGAGGGCAGAGCCCATCTCATGAATGGGATTAGTCCCCTCATAAAAGATGCTTCAAGGAGCTCCCTTGCCCCTTCTGTCAAGTGAGAACGCCACAAAAAAATGGCTGTCTGTGAACCAGAAAGTGGGCCCTCATCAGACACCAAATTTGACAGTGCTTTGATCTTGGACTTCCCAGCCTCCAGAGCTGTGAGAAATAAATTTCTGTTGTTTATGAGCCACCCAGTCTATGGTATTCTTTTATAGCAGCCTGATCAGACTAAGACAAATAGTTTTTACATTTTAAAATGACTAGGAAAAAGGACACTGAAGATTAATATTTTGTGACACATGGAAGTGATATGAAATACAAATTTTGCTGTCTGCAAATAATGTTTTATGGGAACATAGCCACACTTATTAATTTATGTGTTGTCTTTGGCTGCTTTGGAGCTACATCAACAGTTTAGTGGTTGTGACAGAGACTGTAAGACTTGCAAAGCTTCACATGTTTACTTTAACAGAAAGAGTTCACTAACCCCTAGCTTTAGAGAACAACAGCCTTTTATTATCTCCCATGACTCTGTGGGACATTGGCTCAGGTGGTGTGGCTGGGGTGGTAGATGTCTGGAAGCTCTTAGATCTCTGGAGGCTGGAACATCAAGGTAGCTCTCTCACGTGGCTGGCAGGAGCTGCTGGCTGTAGCTGTGGCCCCGGCCCTCTTCTATGTAGCTGCTCCACGTGGCTTAGGCTTTTCCCAGTGGGTGGCTGGGTCCAGGAAGGAGCATCCCAGTGTGCTGCACCATCAAACCTCTGCTTGCATCACACTTGCTGATGTCCTGTTGTCAATCACATGCCAAAACCTGAGTCAACTTGGGAGGCCACTGCAAAGGGGGTGAAAACTGTAAGTATGGCTCACTGGGGCTGCCCAAGTGACATCCACCAACTGTCTTACAATAAAGATCCGGCAATTAATGAATTCTCTGGATAGAAGACTTTTATCCCAATAACAGTCAACACAAACACAAAATCTGAAGAAACAGAGCTGTGCATTCACAAACCTGGACAGAGTGTTGTCTATCCCTCCTTAGCACTGGTCCACTCTGGCCAAGGTAGGAATCCCACAGAGTGGTCTTCTTAGCCATTTGCCTCTTTTCCTGAGTCCTCATCCCCTGTCTGTTATTGGTCATGTATAACTTTGGGTTGGCTGCCTGAGTTTCAGAGTGTTCCTTCAGCCAGCCCTTGTACTGTAAATCTCCAAAGTCCAGTGTGTTCTGAGGGCTTTGGCCCCCATCCAGCATTACCACGCAAGTCTTGTTTTAAGCAAGGATGTCCTGAAATTGCCTAAGGCCCTTTTGCAAAGCTGGACTTGACATTGGGTCTCTATAGCTCTTCAAGAGTCAACAGACTGAGAGCTAGAACATTTGCAAGGGGCTGCAGCCCAGTCTGTGCACAGACCCATGAGGGCTGGAACTAGGGGGCAATGATAGTGTCCCCTGCTGCTTTCAGGCCCACAGCCAGCCCCTTCCTCCTGTCTCTAGCTCTCACTCAAGACTTTTCCCTCTTTTTAGCCTAAGTCAAGTTGTCCCTTTCTCCATCTCTTCCTATCTTCCACCTGTCTCTCCCTATTGATGGAGGAACGTGCCCTTGTTAGGAAGTTGTTACTGCATCCCAACAGCCTCAGGCAAACCTTGGGCTGCAGTCATGGGCTTCAAGTCTAGCAGGTACAGGAGTCTGGAGTTGGCACCCGTAATCTACAGAGGGAGGCCCATCAGGACTTCGGTCTTGATCTCAGTGGGCTCCATCCTCGTCTCTAACCAGCCTCATATAGGCAGCAGGGCTGCAGTGGCAGTGATGTTTATGGAAGGACCCATTATTCCCAAACACATCTTTGGGGAATTACCTTACCGTTAGAGAAATGGGACTTCTAGGTGTCTGGAATTTGAACATGGGGAATTTGAGAGCATAGACGATCTCTGCCTCTGACCTCCCCCTTTTCTGGGGAAATGTGTTCTTGGTCCTCAGCCTGCTGGTGCAGCCCCTCCCAGGAATCCCTGCCAGTGTGGGTCATGGAGATTGTGACTCAGTGGCAGATTTCCCTTTCAGAGGAAAAAGCCATTCTAACCGGCAGAAAATGTTGCTGCAATTTTCAGTAAAATTAAGGGACATGGCAAATTCTCAGAGGGTGCCAGGCAGGAAAGGTAGGGTAGTGGCAGGGGACAGGGGGTGGTACTGGATAACTAAAGCTGAGCCTCCCCATGGCAAGCCCTCGTGCTCAGCCTCTGTTTTCTCCTTGCAGGCCACCTCAATAGCAGAAGTACTCTGCCTGACTGCATACTTTGGCAGACTGGTACATTTTGCAAAAGTCACTCCTCAAATGGTTTTCTGGAAGGATACAAAAGACATCTGCACCATGGTAACCACAGTGGCGAGTGTTCATTGTAGTACCTGTAAGAGTTTATGACCGAAGGCAGGAGCCATGAAGAAAAAAGACTCAATAGATTTGCTTTTGATGAAACAACAACACTTCCATACAGTGAACGCCATAAGCACAACTGCAAGCAAACCCCAAACTGAAGAACAAATAGGGCAAAATGTGGCAGTGCAGACATTTCAGCATATCAAGAGCACTTCCAAATTACAGGAAAAAAAAGATATCTCAATAGATAATTTTGCTGAAGATAAGTGAAGGCAACTCATAAGGAA
The DNA here is from genome assembly GCF_000001405.40 of Homo sapiens. Classification (NCBI taxonomy): domain Eukaryota; kingdom Metazoa; phylum Chordata; class Mammalia; order Primates; family Hominidae; genus Homo; species Homo sapiens. The sequence continues at coordinate 110,266,438 of NC_000002.12, forward strand.
AAAATATGTAAAATGGCCGATAGGAAAGATGTTTAACGTCACTAATTAAAAATTATAGAATAAAACGACAATAAAATACCATGTGTTTGCCTATAAAAAATCTTAGCAAGATTGAAAACAAACTTTTTGTAATTTCAATTTTTAGTTTAGATTCAGGTGGTACATGTGCAGGTTTGTTACATGGGTATATTTCGTGATGGTGAGGTTTGGGGTACAACTGATCCCATCACTCAGGTAGTGAGCCTAGAATCCAGCAGGTAGTTTTTCAACCCTTCCCCTCCTCTGTCCCTTCCCCTCAGGAATCCCCAGTGTCTACTGTTGCCATCTTTGTGTCCATGAGTACCCAGTGTTTAGCTCCTACTTATAAGTGACAACATGCAGTATTTGGTTTTCTGTTCTCTGTTAATTCACTTAGGATGATGGCCTCTGGCTGCATCCATACTACTGCAAAGGACATAATTTCATTCTTTTTAAATGACTGCATAGTATTCCATGGTGTATATGTACCACATTTTCTTTGCCTAACCCACCATTGATGAGCACCTAAGTTGCTTCCATGTCTTTGCCATAAAACAAATGTTCTTACACCCTACAAGAGAGAGGAATAAAACTGTCTTTCTGGAAGGCTCTTTGGCAGCTCCTTTCAAAAGCCTTGAAGGTGAATATATTTTAACCCTGGACTTCCATTCCTGGGAATTTATCTGTAGGAAAGAAGGATGCATTCAGAGATTTAGCCACAAAATTGGTGGTGGCTGACGGTTTATAATATTGAAAAATTGGAAACAACCTGATTTCCAGACAAAAATTATAAGACATATGTCTTAAGTAGAATGTGATATATTCATGCAGCCTCCTGTGCTGTCCTCTCACTCCTTTGCTCCATCTGTTATTTGAAAGGCCCTGGGAATGAGACCTGCCTTTTTAGCCTGGCCTGCAAAGCCACCTTCCATAGGTCCTTATCACTTTCTGCTGCTTCCCTTTGCCACCACTCCCAGGACCCTCTGCTTCCCAACATGCCAGCCCAGTACTTCCTCAAGAGTCCTTTTATTCTATCTTCTTGTCTAGCTCTTGACCTTCCTGAGTTTTTATTAAAGCTCTGCTGTGCTGTAGGTTACATCAAAGAGTGCCTCCTCCATGAAGCCCCTCAAATATCTTAACCCTTGGTGATCCACCTGTCCTCGCTCCCCTGGGACAGCCACACTGGTTTCCTCCAGTGCGGCAGTTGTGAACCAGCCTCATTTCTTAGCTGTTTCCCCCGCCTGTGGGCGGCAAGCCACTCAGGTGCCAAGGCAAGAGACTGAAGGCAAAAACTGTTCCAGTATAATAAAGAAAATATACAGAATAAGAATAGTTATACTAGAAATAGATTATAGATATGATTATATATGAATATCATTAATCATTAGTTTGTTAACATTACTCTTTATTCCAATATTATAATAATCTTTGTTCTACAATTATAACTTAGGAAAAGCCAGGCCATACAGAGATAGGAGCTGAAGGGACACGGTGAGAAGTGACTGGAAGACAAGAGCGTGAGCCCTCTGTTACGCCTGGAAAAGGCCACTAGAGGGCTCCCTAGTCTAGCGGTAACGCCAGCACCTGGGAAGACGCCCCTTACGTAGCGGACCTCGGTCTAGCGGTAGCGTCAGTGCCAATGGAAGGCACTATGGAGTCTCCCTTTCCTTGGGGGAGTTAGAGAAGACTGCTGTACCACCTCTTGTGGAAGGCCTGACATCAGTCAGCCCCGCCCACAGCCATCTGGAGCCCGGAACGTCTCCCTGTGATGCTGTGCTTCAGCGGTCACGCTCCTGGTCCACTTTCATGTTCCACCCTGTACACCTGGCTCTGCCTTCTAGATAGCAGTAGCAGAATTAGTGAAAGTACTAAAAGTCTTTGAAATGCATAGAAGAAATAATGGCATAAGCTGTCCTCTCTCTCCGCCTTACTGCCAAACAGGGAGGGCCCCCTGTCCGGTGGACACGTGACTCATGTGACCTTATCAATCATTGGAGATCACTCACACTCCTTACCCTGCCCCTTTTGCCTTGTGTCCAGTAAATACCAGCACAGCCAGGTATTTGGGGCCACTATAGGTCTCCGCGTCTAGGTGGTAGTGGTCTCCCGGGCCTAGCTGTCTTTTCTTCTCTTTGTCTTGTGTCTTTATTTCTACGATCTCTCATCTCTGCACACGAGGAGAAAAATCCACAGACCGTGTAGGGCTGGACCCTACACCCGCCCCGTGCGGCGTGCCCTTTGAGGGGAAGGAGCTCACTAGATCCTCTGTGCCTTACCACCAAAGGGGCTAAATTCAAGTTTTTTTGATGATGGTACATTGTTCTTTTCTACTTATATTTTTCTAAAATACACTAGGTTCTTCTTTTGGCCATCTTCACCTTAATCTCTTGCCCATAAACCTGACATTAATAAAGATTAATAGGGGTTGTCTGTATTCTAGATATTCTCATCTCTGTTACTAGGCTACACCTCCTTTCTTTTACATGTCAAATTGAAGAGAAGGTCAATAGGGTGTAGTGTGGAAGGATGTCCCAGTGTGATTAATAGCAAGGGCTGAGCCCTCAGACTGTCTGGGTTCCAGTCCCAGCTCTGCCCTGGATAGCTGTGTGATCAGGGGCTACATGCTTACCCTCTCTGTGCCTCAAGCTCCTCCTCCAGGAATAGTGCCCACCTAATTGGTGTGGTGAGTCTAAAATCATCTACAAGAGGTGCTTGTTATAGTACATGGAACACAGTAAAACGTCAAACATTAGTTATTATTAATGTCGTATTACAAAAGTGGTACTATGCTGTCTATGAAACGTGCTTTTTCACATAACATTGTACCTCTCCTGGGTTGGTGAACACCCATCCACTGTCCTTGGACAGTGTAATACTGACATCTCTGGCCTGTGTCTCTCACAGCTGACCTTGATCGATCTGATTATCTGTGGGTCCCTGGAAGCTATTAACATCCACAGCATCAGATGGTCAAGGGCCTTAAGGCCGGTCTTCCTAATTAACTTCCCTGAAAGTCGTCAGGTAAGCATATGATTTAGGATACGTGATGGTTTGTTTTTGCCGAAAGTTAGCTGGTTTCTTGTAAGTAAAGTAACATTTTGTCTCCATAGATCTGCAGGGCTTTCCAAAGCCTCCAGAACACCCTGCCCAATATCCTCTATGTCTTCTATTGTTCATGTTCAGTGTGCTGATGTTCTGCCTGATGGCCTTGAAGCTTTTTGGGAATCGATGAGCACACTTCTCTGGAAGTTTCTGCCTGGGAATTCTCCCATATTTAGGTTGAGCCTGTTGGCGGCACAGTCTGTCACCAAACACAATCTTCCATGTTCAAACACTGCAGGAGTGCTCTTGAAAGGGAAAAAGTGTATCAGTGTATTAATTTACGTGTGTGGTTTTCACTTTATGTTTTTGGTTCCTCTTTAGTGGTCTGAAAACAGCAGAGGGATCGCCTTAGTTTGAAAACATTCTGGAGATAGCATTTGAGCTCTACGTGCTGGTCACTACAGCGAACAGCCCTGACATCATGTCCTCGCATCCTTGATCCGTGTTCATGAACATCTTTTACCATAACAGAATTCACACTATTCAAAGCGGCTGTCTCCTGACTCTAGTAGGGCTGTGAGAGGACAAAGAGTGATTTTCTGTTTAGTCCTATTCACTGTAAAAGTTTTGAAGAATATAAAATTTTACACCACTAGTAGCCTATCCTCTCTACTTAACACTAAATTTAAATGAATTCTTTCAAAATGGAAAGGAACAGGAGACATCTCTTGAGATACAATTCTTAATATTTGAGCCCACTTTCTATTCTGGAATCTTCTTTGAGTCTTGAATTTAAAGACATAAGCCATCTTTGTAAAGGAATCATGTCTGGTTCTCCTAAGCATTGATGCAGTTTTTTGGCTACATCAAACAGGAAATAAATGTAAACATCACTAATTGTTGGGGTGATCAGACCCAACACCAGGTTGTGGGGGTGACAAAGTCCGGCGGAGTCAAAGGATTGAGAAAAGACAGTTTGAGAGACAGAAGTGGGACCAAGGGGCCATCGCAATCATGGAGGCTGCAAAGGCCCCAAGCTCTGGGAGCCCAGTGCTATTTATTGGTAATCCAGCAAAGAAACAGGTGGTGAGAATGTGGAGGTTGAAAGGGCGCATTGCATTAATCACATGATTTACACCTGTGATGGTTTAGCATTTGCTCTGCTACTTGAGATAATGGAGAGCATGTTCTTTTAACTCAAGATACAGTCGATCCTGGGAGAGCAAGGAGCATGGAGCCAGCAAGTGTAGACACGTTCCAGAGCCACGAGCCCTGGATTCTATCCAAGTCACGAGGGGTTTTATGCCCTGGGCTTAGATTATGGTGCATCAGGGTAGCCTTCCACCCTTTAGCACAGAGCTTGGTGTTCCAAAGGCCACAAGGGGTTTTAGACCCTGGACCCCAGACATGTTCCAAGACTCTTTTACCTTATGTCAGACTTGCAAGCCCTGCCTCAGCTTCTCCCAACACTCAGCTTTTTCCCAACAGTAATTGCCACCTTGCTTGCAAAATGCCAATTCTCCACACGTGTGGAAATTACTTAGGAGAAAAACCTCATGGAATGACTTCTTGTTATGGATTTACCTCATGCATAAGGGTAAAGTTATTAAGTGGTACTGCACAGAGTAGCTAGCTCTCCAGCTCTAGAGAGTGGGCAGAGCCTCACTGCAAACGTCAGTCCACATCTGCTCCAATAGTGACCTCAGAGAGGCAGGTTTTCTGTCATCTTGTGATGTGTAGGTTCATCAGATCAACTTGTTCTTGGTTGTTGCTCACTCTTGGGCCTGGCCTTGGCCCTGGCCCTGCTTATGTTCTCTTGGGTCTTTCCTCAGACCCCTGGCTGACAGCCTAGCCAGCACCCCTTGACGTCCCCTCCTGTAGGAAATTAAGTTTCCATTAAAGGTAGAGTGAGCACCTGTCACAACTTGCCCTTCCACAGTTATCACCGGGTACCTTTCATGCATCGTCCCCTGGGTGGTTAGAATATGATCTGGCCCCAGCCAAGGCAGTTGGGTGTTCCACACAGCAAGGATTACCTGACTTTGCAGTGCACAGCCCTCTTCCCAGCCATGCTTCTTATTCTCTTTGTAATTCCTAGCAAGTCACTGTCCTTTCTAGGCCTCAATTTTCTCATTGTGGAGGGAGAAAACTGAATTGGGAGATCACTAAGGTCCTGCCACTGTGAAAATTGGTGCCTCTGTAAGGTACTAAGAATTTCAGAAGGGCAGGTGTGAAGCAAGCTGTTCAGCATTAGGGATGGTGATGGCTCTGAGGCCCCATCACACCCTATGGGGGAGAGCGAATGTTACAGGAGGCTTTCTGGTGCCTCATGCACATGGACTGTGCATGTGGGATTTTGCCTAAGGTCAGCCTTATATGCATTGTGGAACTAGGGTATGGAAAACCATGAAACATGATTATTTTCTTCTAGCATGCCTGTCTATGACTTCAACTGGTGGTATTCTTTGTACTTTATAATCTACATTATCATTAATACCTACATCTTCAAGTCTGTCTTTCTGGCCATGGTGTACAGCAATTATAGGAAGCATTTTCACATACTCTGTGTGTGTGTGTGTGTTTTGTAGTGATGAACAGAACTTGTTATTTACCCAATTCTATTATCTATCATAATAGTAAATTAGCTACTATAATAGACAAAAGTATGACTCTCAGTTAAATAAGAGATTTTTTAAAAATCTTGTTACAAAAGAAAAAAATAAAAAAAAACCATATTGTGTTTATACCCTTAGATAACTTCCCTCCTCCCCGAGTCAATTTAAATCTTTATCCCACCTCAAAAACAGCCCAGATTGACCCCTGGGAACATCCAGGAAAGCAATGAAGAGAGGGGTGAAATGCTCTAGGCCAAGAACTCCCAGCCTGCAGGCCTCAAAACCCTTGGAGGCTGCAGTTTTGGTCACATCCGTGAGTCTTTTTGAGAGTACGCTGCTCCTGATACTTGGACCGCTGCACTCCAAATGACCCCACAGCCAACCCCATGCTTTATGACAATGGCAGTGGAGGAGGAGAACAGACCACTTGATTCTCCTGATGGAGATTTTCTCTTTTCTCCCCATCAAGTCTGGATTTTCATCTCCAGGGTAACAAGGTACAGGAAGAGCAATCAATTGCTGCTGCAGCCAGTAATAACCAACCCAAGCCAGTTTATGGAAGCCCACAGGAAGCTTCTCTGAGCAGTATAGGTAAATCAATGTAGACCCACAACAGTGTTTTCCCCACTGGACCTGGTGATGCCACTTGGAGGGAAAACAGGTGGGCCCAGCCCGAACTCAAACACTGTCTGCCCTGAACCCTCAGCAATCCACACCTAAGTGGCTGAAGTCAGGGGACTTCATGCTGCTAATGTCAGGGGACTTCATGCTGCTCAGATCAGTGGCTCTCAAGTCGACCTCCACTCTGAACATGGCATTGGCAAGGGGTCTCTCTGCCAAATCGGCTCCTGCTGTATATTTGGGAGTCACACAGACACATCTACTACCTCTAGCGTCCCTCAAGAGTTTGCTGCGCACAAATACAAAATCAAGTCGTCCTGGTTTCTCAGTGTCTTTCCTGATGCTGTTTTAGATGAGTAATGCCTGCTTGCTTTGCCTAGGCTCAGGGCACTGTGCTCCTAGGACTAGTGGCCACAACCTTGTCCTGCTGAAGGCCCGCAGGAAGCCCTTGGGACATGAGCACTTCCACTGTCTGGTGCTCTTGAACTGGTTATTTTAGGGAGATAGGGTGTGTCCAGCTATGGGCTGGTCTCTGTGGGGCTGTGACAATTCAAAGTGACAGTAAAGGGACTCAGTGTTAAAAGGTTCTCTGTGCCAGGGGTGCCTGGTGGCAGAGGCTGAGATGGATGGGTCCCAACCCATCAGCCCTGCCTTACCTGTGCTCTCTAGCTACGCCCTCATCCATCTGAAGCATGTGGGTTGAAGGGGGAGGCAAGTAAGGCTATCCATGCACAAGGCTGCCCCACCCTGTGGTCTGGCAGTAGTGCATGTCTCTTTATTTTTATTTCTTTTTAAGCTCTGGGATACCTGTGCAGAATGTGCAGGTTTGTTACATAGGTATATATGTGCCATGGTGGTTTACTGCACCCATCAACCCGTCATCTAGGTTTTAAGCCCCGAATGCATAAGGTATTTCTCCTAATGCTATCCCTCCCCTTACCCCCACTCCCCGACAGGCCCCAGTGTGGATGTTCCCCTCCCTAGGTCCGTGTGTTCTCATTGTTCAACTCCCACTTATGAGCGAGAGCATGCAGTGATTGGTTTTCTGTTCCTGTGTTAGTTTGCTGAGAATGATGGTTTCCAGCTTCATCCATGTCCCTACAAAGGACATGAACTCATCCTTTTTTATGGCTGCATAGTATTCCATGGTGTATTTGTGCCACATTTTCTTAATCCAGTCTATCACTGATGGACATTTGGGTTGGTTCCAAGTCTTTGCTATTGTGAATAGTGCCACAATAAACATACGTGTGCATGTGTCCTTATGGTAGCATGATTTATAATCCTTTGGGTATATACCCAGGAATGGGATTGCTGGGTCAAATGGTATTTCTAGTTCTAGATCCTTGAGGAATCGCCACACTGTCTTCCACAATGGTTGAACTAATTTACACTCCCATCAACGTGTAAAAGCATTCCTGTTTCTCCACATCCTCTCCAGCATCTGTTTCCTGCTGTAGACACTCGAGGGAATCTCCTGGTGTGTGGGTTGCAAAAACTGTGAGAAAAGCGTAGTATCTGGGCTGGATAGTACCGTCCCTCATGGCACAGTCCCTCGTGGCTTCCCTTGGGTAGGGGAGGGAGTTCCCCAGCCCCTTGCGCTTCCCTGGTGAGGTAACACCCCACCCTGCTTCTAATCACCCTCCGTGGGCTGCACCCACTGTCTAACCAGTCCCAGTGAGATGAACCAAGTACCTCAGTTGGAAATACAGAAATCACTCACCTTCTGCATTGGACTTGCTGGGAGCTGCAGACTGGAGCTGTTCCTATTCAGCCATCTTGCCAGATCCCCTTTATTTCTATTTCTATTTCTTTTTTTCTTGCCCACTCTCTTGTCTCCTTTATCTGGCACTCCACTTGCCACAAAAGAACCATGCCTTCTCCACGCGATCCTAGTAGAAATATCTCTCAGTGTCTCACCTGCCCTAAACACATCGTCTTTTCAATATAAACATAGGAAAGAGAATCTCTCTTTCTCTTTCTGGGCTCCTGTACTCAAAGGCTCACGAATTCCACCATCTCCTTGAAACTAAGCAGAGCTGGGGCTAGGAGGAGACACAGTGCTGCAGTGCTAGTGGCATTGTTTAAAGCCCTGAGGTCCAGCTGAGTTGCAAGCCAGCTGATCCCTTGGGAAGTCTAGCTGTATGAATCAATAAATGTTCCGTTTTTACTTCAAAGAAAAGAGTTGACAGAGGGAGAATGAAAGGAAACAGGCCCTTTATAACAGTACAACCATCACTATGTAGAGACTACAATCCTCTAAAGAAGTCCTGCCTTAGGGGGCCCGGTCTAGGGACCTTTTGCCACTCATCAATCCAGAGGGAGCTGACTGAGTGACAGCTCTCCAGTGGGAGCAGGGTTGGGGGTGCTGACTGGGACCACAGTGGGGGCCTGGCAGCATGATGAAGCAAGAAAGCAAAGCTGGGCTCTAGTACCAAATCCACGTCCTAGGAAGGAACTCCACTTCTGGGACTAATGGCAGAAGCTCAGACTAAGACGTAATACGTGTTTGTCCAGAGTTGACAGCAGACTCCAAACAAGTTATCAGAAATGTGGAAGTAGGAAAGTATAGTTGAAGATGATGAAGGATTAGGATGCTCCCCTACCCATAAATGCATCAAGACCCCGAAAGCAGAATCCAGGGAAGGGTACTTGGAAAGAATGGCAGCCACAAGCTCTGCTTCCAGGGACCACAGCTCTGGGTTAGGAATTAGAACAGGATTCTGGGTCCATAAAGGTAAGCATCTAAGAGCAAGAAAGGGTTCCATGCTTTGGAGAAAGACCTGGGAATGAGAAAGGATGCAATATAGAAACAGCAAGTGGAGACCAAAGCAGGAGTCCAGTTCTGAATCTGGCACCACTGGGAGAAGAGTGACTTGACTCTGCAAGTGGGGTCCAGTTCAGATAAAGAATGAGGGTGGTTCACTCCAAGAGCAGAGACACTTTGGAAATCGCATGCCAGGACCACTCAGGTCGGGTTTAAAATATGAGTTTGTCCGGGTCAGACTTGCTCCTTTTAGCTGGCTTAACATACCCCCTCTCTGGCCAGCACACCACTGAGCTGCCAGCCCGACTCTGTCAATGACATCACTCAACAGAGCCTTCTTGACTTGCTCCCCAAATGCTCCTATGTCAGTTTAGTTCCCACCCCAATGCTGCTTCCTGGTTCCATCCCCTATCCTGAACAATTCAAGATTTGCTCTTTCCTCCATGAAGCCCTGGCCCCTTGGCTGCTTCCTTGACTTGGATCTTTTCTTCCATTTCTCTCTGCACCAAGTGTTTCCTGTGGTGACTAAACACACAGATGTGGGAGGTGTGATAATTAAAGAAAGAGGAAAGAAACACGAAGGGTGGCTTGATGGTTAACAAGGACAGGTTTATTTTAGAAAACAAACCTAGGAGGGGGTTTTGGCCAAGTTAGGTTAGAGCCCCACTATATAGTGCTATATATACTGTTTTCAGCCCCACAATATATACAGTTTTCACAACTGTAAGGAATCCAACCTAGACTACTTGAGACAGAAATGAGATCACGAACTCTACTGGGTTTCAATCCACCTGCAGCCCTTGGCTCTGGTCCCTCCTCCTGTTTAGGAGGTAGAGGGGTGTGGAAATAAGAAGTGAGTGACTTTCTTCTGCAGAACATTGATTCTGCAACACTGAAGCCATTGCAGGAAGGTTCCCATGACGTTTGAGCAGATTCCCAAATGCTCAGAGGCCCCTGGCCTGTTGTGAAAGGTAGGACAAGGATCCCTAAGCTATAGCTGGAACCCAGAGAGAGGAGGCCGCTGATGGGCTCCCTGAGACTCCAGGTGTGATGTCCCCATCAAGGCCTCTAATGCCCCAGGCAGACCTTGGCTGGGACTGTAGCAGGCCACCCTCTGGCATATTCTAGGAGCCTCTACCTGGCCCTGCCCTTGGCCTTGAAACCTGGTTTTTAGGGCAAGAACCACAACTGTCCTACACCATGTCTGAGTCCCACCACGCACTGCCTGTGTGACCTCAGGCCCTAATCCCCTCCGGTACAGTATTACCTCATGGACTGTGGCAAAGATTAAATGTGCAAATGTAAGTAACGTGCATATGGCTGTGTCTGGCCAGGGAAGCTTCTGATGGCAAGAGGGGCACCGGGACCCCACTGCAGGCACTGACTGGCAAGATGGGGCTGAGGTTCCCTTGCTGTCCCCATGCCTGGCACAGGTGAGCTGGCAGTAAGCAGTGGAAGGTGTCGAATGGTAGTTCTCTGGTCTTTCCAAGGGAGTTAGAATTGTTGTGTGGTCTAAATGAGGCAGTCTGAGTGAATGCATTTTATCAACTGTAAAGTACCTGGTGAACCACTAATAACCAGCATTGTTTGGGTGCTGTTCATATGCCAGCATCTTAATGCACTTCTCATGGCTTCTTGGCAAGCGCCTTAAAGCTGAGGCCTGGTACCTTTCTGAAGCATCAGCAGCCCTTGTCACTGGGATTGACACTCAGCAGCACAGTTGTGGGGGAGCCAGAGGACAGCGGCTTCCGTTCCTCACCACCCCCTCCCTAGGACAAGCCGGCTTTGACTCATTCTCCGGCAGTCTCAGACCAGCCTAGGACTTCCAAAATTCACTTGGATGTTGATTGTTAAGGAGGAATTTGCTACCAGAACTGGTGCTTTAAGAGGTGGCCACGCTGCTGGAGTTGTTTTCCCACCCCATAAAGCTATGATTGTGCTCCTTGCTGAGGAGTCTCTGCCTTGTGGTCAACTTCCTGTTCTCTTCTGGCTTCTCATCTCCCTTTTCTTTTTTCTCCTTAAAAGACTGTGAATATTCCATAAATCCAAAGACAACTGCCAGACAACAGCATGTGGAAACCTCAGAAGGGAAAGGGTGACATATCTATGTCTATGTATTGGCCAGTTGTAAGATAAGAACTGCTGGTCCCAGAAAGCTAAGGATATAGTTCGGAAAGCAGAACTGAAGTTGTATATCTTTTGGCTGAGCTATACAGAAGGGTGTGAAGGCAGGGCACAGTGGCTCTTGCCTGTAATCTCAGCACTTTGGGAGGCCAAGCTAGGAGGATTGCTTGAGGCCAAGGGTTTAAGACCAACCTGGGCAACACAGCAAGACCCTGTCTCTACAAAAAATAAAATAAAAATTGGCCAGGTGTGGTAGTATGTACCTGTAGTCCTAGCTACTTAGGAGGCTGAGGTGGGAGGATCATTTGATCTCAGGAGTTGGAGGCTGCAGTGAGCCATGATTGCACCTCTGCACTCCAGCCTGAGTGACAGAGAGAGACTCTCTCAAGAAAAAAAAAAGTGAGTGAAGTTGTTTGGTCTAGAAAGTTTCTAATACATCATTCAGAACTGAGCTACCTCCACGGACATGAGCTTCCAATCAAAATTCACTAAACATAAGAGGAAACAAGTGAACAAGAATAGAAGTTAATGGAAGCCACAAACTGCAGAATCAAGCTATTAAGGCCAAGTGAATGGAATTTTCAGATATTAAAATGTAGAATGAATACTAAGCAGGAGTAATAAAAAGATATCCACATCTCGACACATGGTATCACTGTTTCACAAACTGCAGAATGCCGAAGACAGAGTGAAGACTAAATATAGCCAAATAAGGAAGACAGATTCCTACAAAGCAAGAGTTCAACTGACAGCTGACCTTTCAATGGCAACAATGGAAGCCAGAATACAACAGAATATTATGGAAAAATATACAACACAGTGGAAACATATCTTGGAAGTGCGGAGAGAAAATAATTGTCAGGGGAAATTTAAGGACGTTTTCTAATAAATCAAACAGACTACTACCCTCTGACCTTCACTAAAGAGACTACTAAAGGTTGCACTCCAGGAAGAAGGAAAATTATCTCAGGAGGAAAATCTGGAATGCAAGAATATCTTCATGACTCAAAATAGAGAAGCATTTCTTTATTATTATTATTATTATTATTATACTTTAAGTTTTAGGGTACATGTGCACAATGTGCATGTTTGTTACATATGTATACATGTGCCATGTTGGTGTGCGTGAGAAGAATTTCTTAAACTTGATAAAAAACATAGTCAATAGAGGAAAAGATTGACATATTCAACTGCATTAAAATTGCGGGCTTAGTTAATCAAAGGAAACCAGAAAATATGTGAATGCTAGCAGAATATATTTGCAATGTTTATGGCAGTCCATGAAATCCACACCATTAGCAAGAATTCCTATGAATCAATAAGAAAAAGAAAAATCAATTTTAAAATATTTAACTGATTAAAAAATAAAAAACTTTACAGAGGAGGAAATATTAATGGCTAACAAATATATAAAAATAAGCTGTATCTCATTAGTAAACAATTACACAGTGTCAGTGAGCAACAGGGAATGTCCCACAGCATGGTGTGAGGTTAGTGGGGTGAGGGGATGTGGTCCACTGAGGACTCCAGGCCCTTTTTAAAGAGATAGTCACTACTCATTTCAGCCTACTCTGGCCTGAGAAATGGGTACACTGTGGCCAGAACCATGGATTTCTAAAGAAATGTCCCAAATCTGGATTTTCCATGTGAAATATCCTGTTTTGAATATTGGGAACTTATTCAGAATTGTTTAAAAAGTGTATATGCCAATACTGCTTGAGCCAAAAGACACATTCACAAGCTAGATTTGGCTGAGAGTCCCTCTGTTCATGACCTCTGCATTAACCCCTTGAATTTTCTAACAATCGGACCTGACTTTACCGTGACTCAGCGGGGCCAGCCTTCCTTCCCCATTTTCCTCTTGGTTCCCTCCTAACTTCACCTGAACTTGTAACTAGAGACAGAAAAGAGACACCCTGCAAAGGGAAACATACTCCACACTAGTTAATGAAGCCCCTTCTTTTATGCTTTTATCTTCCAGATATTTGGGTTCTTGGTCTGGACCATGGTAGCCGCCACCCACATAGTATACCCCTTGCTGCAAGGATGGGTGATGTATGTCTCACTCACCTCGTTTCTCATCTCCTTGATGTTCCTGTTGTCTTACTTGTTTGGATTTTACAAAAGATTTGAATCCTGGAGAGTTCTGGTAAGAACCAGCAGCATGGCTCTTCCTGGGTGGACGTTCTGGGTTGGGTGAGGACAATTGGCCTTTCTGGGCAGGGAGGGATCCTGGGCTAGGCTCCTATGGAACCAAGACTTTTTATCTTACCATTTTTACTACCACGCTAAAATGAAGACATTTATCTGCAAGCGTAAATAATTCCTGGTATTCCCCTTCACTGGCTTCCCTGTTAGGAGAATACACAATGACCTGTGATCAAGCATATTCTGATGTGTTTCCCCTAAATTTTCTTCCTGGTAAAATCCTTGGAGCAACACTGAAGAAAAAGCTAGTAGGAAAAAAATCACTCCATTCTCAAGGCCCTAACACAATCCCTGCGACAGGGTATTTCTTCCATATCCCACATGAATTATATGCAAAGTATATATACATATATACGTATATACATATGTATATATGTATATATATGTATATATATACTTTAATTGTACTCTACAAATAATTTTGGATGTAGATGCTTTCATTTAATATTACATCACTAATTTTTATTTATCACGTCATCTCAAAAAACCATTTAAAACTGTTCCACACTGAACAATTGAAGACATATTTAAAAGTACAGAATATTGTATTATAGGCCCTCATGTAGCCATAACCCAGATTCCAGCATTATCAAGACCTTACCACATTTGTTTCATCTAGCCTTTGTCCCCACTAAGGAATTTTAAAGCAAACACCAAACATCATGCCATTCTATTCCACACACTTCAGTATGTTTCCAAAAAAACTCCGCAAACTTTCTCACATTATCACATGTATACGAAGTAAACAATTCCTCAGCATACCTAAGACAGTATACAGTGGTCCCCCATCTCCGGAGGATAAGTCCCAAGACCCCTAGGGGATGCCTGAATCCTCAGAGAGTACTGAACTCCGAATTTGCTATGCATGCACTTCTTTTTTCTTCTTCACAATTTCACAGATAGACAATTCATTCTTACTGTAGATCTTAACAACCTCAGCATATTTTTTTCCTTTCCTTATTAAGCTGAAAACTTATACTTTTTAACTTAAAGAAAGCACCCTATGACTTCTCTTTGGCATATCCAAATTGCCAGCATCACTACTCTTGCAATTTGGGGCCATTATGAAGTAAAATAAGGATTCTTTGAATGCAAGCACTGCAGTGCCACAACAGTTGATCTGATAGCCCAGATGAGTACAAAGCGACTAACATGGGTGGCACAGACAGTGTAGACATGCTAGACAAATGTCTGATTCACATCCCAGGTGGAACAGGGCGGGACAGTGCAAGATTTCATCATTGTACTCAGAAAGGCACACATTTAATTGTTAATTTCTGGAATTTTTCATTTAATATTTCAGACCAAGATTGACTTTGCGTAACTGAAATATACTGATCTTTATTAATCTGCCATTGCTTACGACATAGATATTACATTAAAAACACTGTGTATTAGTCTATTCTCACATTGCTATAAACAACCAGAGACTGGGTAAATTATAAAGAAAAGAGGTTGAATTGACTAGTTCCTCATGGTTAGGGAGGCCTCAGGAAACTTACAATCATGGTGGAAGGTGAAGGCTAAGCAAGGCATGCCTTGCATGGCAGCAGGAGAGATGGGGGAGGGGGAAGTGCCATACTTTTAAACCATCAGATCCCATGAGAACTCATTCACTATCATGAGAACAGCATAGGGGAAACTGCCCCCATGATCCAATCACCTCCCACCAGGTCCCTCCCTTGATACATGTGGATTACAATAGGAGATGAGATTTGGGTGGGGACAAAGAGCCAAACCATATCATTATACCACTGGCCCCTCCCAAATCTCATCCTTCTCACATTTAAAAATACAATCATGCCTTCTCAACAGTCCCCCAAAGTTTCAACTTATTCCAGCATTAACCCAAAAGTTTAAGTCCAAAGTCTCATCTAAGACAAGAGAAGTCTCTTCTGCCTATGAGCCTGTAAAATCAAAAAGCAAGTTAGTTACTTCCAAGACACAATAAGGGTACAGGCATTGGGTAAATGCTCCCATTCCAAATGGGAGAAATTGGTCAAAACAAAGGGGCTACAGGCCCCATGCAAGTCCTAAACCCAGCTGGGCAGCCATTAAATGTCGACATTCCAAAATCTCCTTTGACTTCATGTCTCAGATTCAAGTCACCCTGTTACAAAGGGTGGGCACCCAAGACCTTGGGCAGCTCCACCTCTGTGGCTCTTCACAGTACAGCCCCTGCAGCTGCTTTCACAAACTGGCATTGAGTGTCTGTGCTTTTTCAAGGTGACCAGTGCAAACTGTCAGTGAACCTACCATTCTGGGGTCTACAGGACAGCTCTTCTCACAGCTGTACTAGCCAGTGTCACAGTGGGGACTCTCTGTGGGGGGTCTGACCCCACATGTCCCTTCTGCACTGCCCTAGTAGAGGTTCTTCATAAGGGCTCCACCCCTGCAGCAGACTCTGCCTGTACATCCAGTCATTTCCATACATCCTCTGAAATCATGGCAGAGGTTCCTAAACCTCAATTCTTGCCTTCTGCATGCCTGTAGGTCCAACACCATGTGTAAGCTGCCAAGGCTTGAGGCTTACACACTCTGAAGCAATGGCCCAAGCTGTACCTTGGCCCCCAGCTGCTGGAGCTGGGGCAGCCGGGTTGCAGAGTGCTGTGTTCCAGGACTGTGCAGAGCAACAGGGCCCTGAGCCTGGCCCACAAAACCATTTTTCCCTCCTAGGTCTCTGAGCCTGTGATGGGAGGGGCTACTGTGAAGATCTCTGAAATGCCCTGGAGATATCGTCCCCTTTGTCTTGGGGACCCTCATTACTCATGAAAATTTCTGCAGCTGACAGCTTGAATTTCTCCCCAGAAAATATGTTTTTCTTTTCTAACACATGATCAGGCTGCAAATTTTCCAAACTTTTATGTTCTGCTTCCCTTTTAAACATAAGTTCCAATTTTGGACCATCTCTTTGTGAATGCATATGATTGTACACTTTCAGGAAAAGTCAGGTCACATCTTGAATGCTTCAATGCTTAGAAATTTCTTCTGCCAGATACCCCAAATCATCTCTTTTAAGTTCAGAGTGCCACAGATCTCTAGGACAGGGGTAAAATGCCACCAGTCTCTTTGCTAAAGCATAGCAAGAGTGACCTTTATTCCAGTTCCCAATAAGTTCCTCATCTCCATCTGAGACCACCTCAGCCTGGATTTCATTGTCCATATCACCATCAGCATTTTGGTCAGAATCATTCAACAAGTCTCTAGAAAGTTCCAAACTTTCCTACATCTTCCTGTCTTCTTCTGGGTACCCCAAACTGTTCCAACCTTTGCCCATTATCCAGTTCCAAAGTTGCTTCCACATTTTCAGGTATCTTTATAGCAGTGCCTGACTCCTGGTACCAATTTTCTGTATTAGTCTGTTCTCACACTGCTGTAAAGAACTACCTGAGGCTGGGTAATTTATAAGGAAAAGAGGTTTAATTGGCTCACAGTTCTGCATGGCTAGGGAGGTCTCAGGAATCTTACAATCATGGTGGAAGGCGAAGGGGAAGCAAGGCACACCTTACATGGCAGCAGGAGTGAGAGAGGGAAGTGTCACACTTTTAAACCATCAGATCTTATGAGAACTCCCTCACTATCACGAGAACAGCATGGGGAAACTGCCCCCATAATCCAGTCATCTCCCACCAGGTCCCTCCCCCAACATGTGGGGATTACAATTCGAGATGAGATTTGGGCAGGGACACAGAGCCAAACCAAATCACACTGCAAAAAAAAAAAAAAAAGGCAGGACTCTAGGGGGCTGGCCTGCCTCATTTGCTCATTCTTTACTGCTATGTAGCCAGAGAGGAAAATGTTCACCTGATTGATGTGGCCATGCGTGGCTCTGCTCTGCATTTCCAGGACAGCCTGTACCACGGGACCACTGGCATCCTGTACATGAGCGCTGCCGTCCTACAAGTACATGCCACGATTGTTTCTGAGAAACTGCTGGACCCAAGAATTTACTACATTAATTCGGCAGCCTCGGTGAGTGGGCTGGCCAAGGACAGCAGTCTTGCCTGGAGGATGTTTCGTGCAGGAGGCCTAACTTTGCTTGTGCTGTATAGACCCTGAGCCCTCAAGTGGAAGGAGCCATGGGGGCAGGGGATAGGGATGTGTGTCCCTGTAAACATGTGCACCCACGTTCAGGGGTCCTCTTTTACCTTCTATTGTTCCCACTCCAGCTTTCCTCTCTCTTAGACACCCCCCACGCTGTCTGCAGAATTTTCTTTTTCCAAAACACAAATTGGAACAGATGTCTCTCTCCTACTGAAAATCCTTCAATGGCACCCACTGCCTTTGGAATGGGGCCCGCATCCCTCGGCATGGCTGAACTATTGAGAGATGAAGCAGGGAAGGGGAAAGTGGAATGTCGAGGTCTCAGGGGAGGAGGCATCAGGGAAGGCCCTGTCAAGAGGACAGAAGGAGGCAGGGGCCACCAGGCAGTTACCCCTGCTAAGGTCCCACCAGGCAGTTACCCCTGCCAAGGACCCTCTGTGTGCTCAAGGGCAGCCAGGAGGGTGGTGTAGCTGGGACAGCTGGCCATGGAGGATTGCAGGGGCCGTTGCTGGTCTTGCAAGTTTAGGAAGTTAAACTCACCTGATGAGGAGGGAAGGGAGGCAGACAGGCCAGAAGGCAGCTGAAATATCTTGTGGCCACCCCAGAGGGTCACAGTGCACTCCACAGTGGGTGGCATTTACCTCCATCTAACCCATGTATGTGCTACTCATCTATCTTGCTGCTATCTGCTTCTTATCTCTCAAATGTAAGCTCCATGAGGGCAGGAATTTTTGAATATTTTCTTCACTGTTATACCCACAGTTGCTCTTGAAGGAAAGCAGGTCCTTAAAAGATATTTGTTGACTGACTGACTGAATGAGGAGCGTGTGAGTGGACAGTGGGGCAGAGTGGGGCTGGGATGTTTGGCAGGGCCTGAAAGGTATTGAAGGTGACGGCCCTACCCTGAGAAAAGAGCAGAGCCATCATACAGCTTCAACGTGGGGCAACGGGATTGTGTTCTCCCCATGAGTGAGAAGTGTCCTCACTTGTCCACTTCTGCCTGCCCTGCCCAAATGGTGGAGCAGATTCGAGGGGCAGGGCAGGAAGAAGTGGACAAGTGAGGCCATGAGGAGTCCTGCCGAGGGATGCCGGTGGCTGAGACAAGGGAAAAATGAATGTCCCAAGAGCTAGGCAGGGAAATCAGTAGCCTTTGGGGTGGCTTTGCATATGGCTGGCAAGGGAGGCAGGAGGAGCCAGGGGCCACAGGGGTCAGGCTCAGGGAGTGGGGCGAGAGGAGGACCCTGGGGCCCACTGGGCTTGTCAGGCTTGTGAGGAAACGTCAGGGGCTCAGTGTGAGCCAGGAAGAGCTGGAGGATGTCTGAACATTCACGAGGAGCTGATAAGCAGCCGCTCAGGGCAGAGTTCTGGGCCAGCGAGGGGAGCTGTAGGAGTGTTCAGAACACAGATTTGCTGGAGGTGGGCAGAGGAGAGCGGGCCTCGGGCAGGAGGTCAGCGTGGGATATGGGCCCAGAGCTGTGGTGGAGGTGAGCCTGCTTCACAGCCAGGTGCAGATGAGGTGGAGACTGCAGTCGGGGCAGGACACCAGGACGGCCCCAGGGAGGCCCTGATGGAGAGTTTCCAGAAGAGGGAGTTGTTGGCCAGGGGTTGCTGCCCTCAGGCCACGCAGGAGGCGAGGAGGCAGGGTCATGCGTGGCCTCCTGGGCAGTGGGGCTGAGGGTACCTGAGGGGTGGGCAGGAGCTGGCGCTGCTGTCTCTAACAGTCACTCTCCACCTCCTTCCAGTTCTTCGCCTTCATCGCCACGCTGCTCTACATTCTCCATGCCTTCAGCATCTATTACCACTGATGCACAGGCGCCAGGCCAAGGGGGAAATGCTCTTTGAAAGCTCCAATTATTGGTCCCCAAAAGCAGCTTCCAACGTTTGCCATCTGGATGACAAACGGAAGATCCACTAAAACGTCCACGGGATTAACAGAACGTCCTTGCAGACTGAGCGATGACACCACACTTTGTTTGGACATTTAAATTCACTCTGCTGAATAGGAGGAAGCTTTTCTTTTTCCTGGGAAAACAACTGTCTCTTGGAATTATCTGACCATGAACTTGCTCTTCTAGACAACTCACATCAAAGCCCTCACTCCACTAATGGAGAATCCTAGCCCCACTAATGCCAAGTCTGTTTGGGGATTTTGCCTCAGCTATGGGCTTCCCTAGAGTAGGTCTAGGGGAATACTCAGTCTGATCTTTTTTTTGTTTGTTTTATTTTGTTTTTTTTGAGACGGAGTCTCGCTCTTCCTCCAAGGCTGGAGTGCAGTGACGCGATCTCCACTCACTGCAGGCTCCGCCTCCCGGGTTCCCGCCATTCTCCTGCCTCAGCCTCCCGAGTAGCCGGGACTACAGGCGCCCACCACCGTGCCCGGCTAATTTAGTTGTATTTTTAGTAGAGATGGGGTTTCACCGTATTAGCCAGGATGGTCTCGATCTCCTGACCTCGTGATCCGCCCGCCTCGGCCTCCCAAAGTGCTGGGATTACAGGCGTGAGCCACCGCGCCCGGCCTGATTCTCTTAAAATTGAAGAGGTGCTGCCAAGGCCTTCAGATCTAACGCAGATGCATAGACCTTGTTCCTGGTACTTGTTCAGCCTGTGCTGGGGAGCCGTGGTCCCGAGTTCCCTGGGAGGCTGACAGGGTCAAGCCACCCTGCCCACCACCCTCCCACTTCCCCTCCCCTTTCCTCTCCAGCATTAGGATTCAAGGGAAATTTGCATGAAGCCAATTTTGAGGGTAGACGTGTGGGGAAAATAAATCATTATACAGTAAGACCTGGGGCTTGAGGGGTGGGGAATGGGGAGGGAAGGGCATAGCCTGCTCCTCCATGAGTCTGACATCTCGGAAACTGAGCAGCTGCCGGACGCCTGGGTCAGGAATCCAAGACCCCACCTCTTAAGGACTGGTTCCTCAGAAAGCACCCTCAGGGAAAAAGGTGAAAACATTACATCCGTGGATTCTCCTGCCACAACCGCATTGGAAGAAAAGGCTGCCGCAACATCTCAGCGAGGAGTGAAGGACCCATGTCCCAGGAACCGCGCTGCGCCACCTGCACTCACCCCCCTCACATTCTCTTAAGCACCCGGTGGCCCTCCGAGGCCTGGCGGAATGGTGGTGCCCACGGGGTTGGGCAAGGGCTCACCAGGACCTCAACGGGCAAAGTTGTGCACACTAAAATATCAAATCAAGGTGCTTGGTTTTAAAGTAAATGTTTTTCTAAAGAAAGCTGTGCTCTTCTGTTGACCCAGACGAATAGGGCACAGCCCTGTAACTGCACGTGCCTTCTGTCATTGGGAATGAAATAAATTATTACGAGAAAGGGACTTGTCCTAACTGGTTTGAGGCCTTACAGTTTTGTATCTACATTTTTCCCCTCCTGGGGTTTGCGGGGACAGGGACAGAACTACAGGAGTCA
This sequence comes from Homo sapiens, assembly GCF_000001405.40. Classification (NCBI taxonomy): domain Eukaryota; kingdom Metazoa; phylum Chordata; class Mammalia; order Primates; family Hominidae; genus Homo; species Homo sapiens. Next base: position 110,287,299 of record NC_000002.12, read on the forward strand.
TGGGAAAGAAAATTCTGGCTTCACTACTGCTCACTGCTCACTTTCTGATCACTCTGATACTTTTTTTTTTTTTTTTTTTTTTGCAACCTGATACCTTGAAAAGCTTCTATGTGTCTCTCCTTTTGTTGCCTGGCAGCTGTCTAGGATGATCACTGATTACTATTTACTAAGTAGCCACATGCAAATAAAAGTTGTTTGGTAAAAAGGAGCAGTTGGTCGACTTCATCTTGTTAGCATCTGGAACTGGCCATCAGGTACTAGGTGTTGTCAGTAATTTCAAGAAAAGCACCCCTTGGAGCATTTCACAACCTAAGTTCTCTGAGGGTGGGATCCCAGCCCACCCGGCCTTGCTTCTAGAGCAAGAGCGAAGGGAGGTCACATTTGTCTCCAGGGCTTCGGGTTTATAATGTCATTTGTACTTCAGTAAGGACAGTTTGGGTGCAAGTTCCGGAAACCAAACTCATACAGCTTAGGCAAAAATGGGAGTGCACCAGTAGGGGCTGGGAGAGGTGAAGAGGGCTCAGTAGGAGGAGAGCTGACCCCCGCATGGCTCTCTGCTGCACACTGGCCATCGTCTCTTGCCACACTGCAAGACTTGTCCAAGTCTCAACAAACACCGGCCTCCCATCCCACGTGCAGACACTAGAGGCTCAGCCTGGACCCCCAAAGTCCATCCACCCACAGCTGTTGCAGTGCTGCTTTCTGCCTTGAGGGGCAGCCCTCCTCTCAGCGTAGGGGTCTCCCCAGGCTCTTGTCTTCTGGAGGGAACACCCCGAGGCTCTTGGCAGGCTTCTCAGAGGCCCCAGCAGGAGTGGGCTATCAGGGAACCTGCCCCGATAGTCATGTAGGTTCTTTTCTATTTTTCCTAAGTGTCGGCTGGCTTGAGAAATAAAGGGACAGAGTACAAAAGAAAAATTTTAAAGCTGGGCATCCAGGGGAGACACCACATGTCAGTAGGTTCCGTGATGCCCCACAAGCCGTAAAACCAGCAAGTTTTTATTAGGGAGTTTCAAAAGGGGAGGGAGTGTGCGAATAGGTGTGGGTCACAGAGATCACGTGCTTCACAAGGTAAATAGAATATCAGAAGGCAAATGGAGGCAGGGCGAGATCACAGGACCACAGGATGGAGGCAAAATTAAAATTGCTAATGAGGTTTCGGGCACCATTGTCATTGATAACATCTTATCAGGAGACGGGGTTTTGAGAGCAACCGGTCTGACCAAAATTTATTAGGCAGGAATTTCCTCTTCCTAATAAGCCTGGGAGCGCTGTGGGAGACTGGAGTCTATTTCACCCCTACAGCCTCGACCATAGAAGACAGCCACGCCCAGGGGGGCCTTCTATAGACCTACCCCCCAGGTGCGTATTCTCTTTCCCAGGGATGTTCCTTACTGAGAAAAAGAATTCAGCGATATTTCTCCCATTTGCTTTTGAAAGAAAAGAAATATGGCTCTGTTCTGCCTGGCTCACCAGTGGTCAGAGTTTAAGGTTATCTCTCTTGTTCCCTAAACATTGCTGTTATCCTGTTCTTTTTTCAAGGTGCCCAGATTTCATATTGTTCAAACACACATGCTCTACAATTTGTGCAGTTAACGAAATTATGACACGGTCCTGAGGCGACATACGTCCTCCTCGGTTTATGAGATGACAGGATTAAGAGATTAAAGTAAAGACAGGCATAGGAAATCACAAGGGTGTTGATTGGGGAAGTGGTAAGTGTCCATGAAATCTTCACAATTTATGTTTAGAGATTGCAGTAAAGACAGGCATAAGAAATTATAAAAGTATTAATTTGGGGAACTAATAAATGTCCATGAAATCTTCACAATCCACGTTCTGCCATGGCTTCAGCTGGTCCCTCCATTTGGGGTCCCTGACTTCCCATAACAGTGGGCTCTGGCGTGAGCTTCACAGGCTTTCTCCTTTCCAGGTTCTTCACTCGTCTTTTCCCCTGGGTTTCCCAGGATCCTGCACCCATCTTGTCTCAGGGCTGGCTGGCTATGGGGAAACTTAGACCCAGACACAACCAACTCCTGAGGCCCCAGCATGTGCTGGGCACTGGGGTGCAGTACCTTGAGACACAGGGTCCCACCAGCCACACCAGATGCCCCACACTGAGCAAGCAGCTCTGACTGGCAGCTTTGTCCCAAGACAGCCAGAGCCTCTGCTTTGGCCAATAACTGGGCCATGATCTTTAAAAGATAGAGGGAAAAGCACAATAAAATGTTAAAATTTGAAAAACAAATGATATCCTGATCTCTAGGGTTGGCCCCAGTGAAACTGGCAGCCCTACTTGCCTCCCCAGAAGGAATCTGCAGGGAAGCACATCTCAGTAATAACTAGATGCTGGACTTGAGAGTCAAAGGCCAGCTCCTGTTCAAAGGGAGGGACTGTGAGGGAGCATTGCCACTTCCTCCCCCAAATCTGCAGAGCTCAGATCCCAATTTGTGCTGCTAGATTCACTCAGTTGGATCTGGTCCTCCTTGGCACACCAGCAGGTGATAAACTCCCTTGCTCCAGAGCCTCTCTCCCTCCATCAGTCATCTCCAGTGCTGCATGTGCCTGTGTCCAAGCCTGATTCCTGACACCGTGCCTACCCATCACCCTCCATCACTTCCTGGGCTGGGAGAAGGGTGTGATGTTTCCATGGTGATACTGGACCACCCCCGTGCAGAGGCTTAATCACCATGAACTTTTACTAATTCAGTGGCCCAGGACTCTGTGTATAGGTATGAAATGGGATTGTAAACCCCTCCATCTCCTATGTATGTTTGTGTTCTCAGAGAAGGAATGTTGGAATTAGTGGCAAAATACCTGGGGTCAGTCAAGGCACCACGTAGATGCCTCTTCTGTTCTAACTTACCTGCCAGGAGGGTCCAGGAAACACACTGGTTTCTGAGTCCACATCTAGGATCTCCATCCCCTGAAGGGCCTCCCTTGCTGGGTCATGGCGACTCCTTAGAGGCATCATGTCCTCAACTGACAGATGAGGAAACAGTCCAGATTTCACATCCAGAACACATGGCAGTCAACACTTAGATTATGCCTTCTTAAATGCCAACCTCTGTATTTCTCCACCTTTTCTTCCTCATCTCAACCTTTAGCCATAAGAAGTTTTTAAAGGACAGACCCAGCTTATCGGAACATGCAAAACATCATCCCAGGAACATTAACTGTCCCGGTGCATTCTGTCTTCTCAGGTGATTTGATAAATTAAATGTGTGGTTTTAAGTGTCTGAAACTTCTGTGACAGTCAGTGCCCCGGACACCCATTCCTGCCTTCTCCTTTGCTAGCACACTCCTGAGATTATACTGTGCCTGGGCTCCCTGGCAGCCAGGGCTCAATTCTGGCCACTGAGACAGAAGCCAAGGTCTGCTCCAGGGCTGGGGTTGCTTTCCTGATACGGGGCTTAGACTGACTTTCTGGGGACAGAAAGTCTGAGACGGAGAGCCCTGTGCATGCAGGAAGTTTACTGCGGGGGCTTTTGGAAGATGCACCTGGGACAAATGAGGGGGCAGTGGGAAAAGCTGGCTGGCAATGAGGTTGCAACTGAGGCTGTGGCTGACACTGCAGGGAGTTCTGGAGCTGGTTGGCCCTGCAGCTGCCCTGCCTTGAGTAAAGTGGGCAGAGCCTTTGTCTCTCACGTCAGCCGGTAGGTAGTTCCCAGGCAGGGGTGAAGGCATCTGTAGCAGCTGCTCTCCCCAGCAGCTGTAGGGAATGCCTTGGCTTGAACAGGTGACCTGGGCAGGATACCACCACATCCACTACACTGCCACCTCCTCTTCCTGCCTTGGACAAGGACTTCATGGCCAAAGAGATGGCAAAAATAGAATCCCAGATGCTGGCAGCTGTTCGACCAACACCAGCCACCTCTTTGCTTGAACTTTGTAAGAAGTCCAAGATGACAAAATCCGTTTCCCACCGTGGTCAGCTCACGATACATGCAGCTGAATGCACTGCAGCCTGGTAGAAGTACTCTTTCCCACCTTCCGCTTCCTCCAAAGGCCCACCAGGGCCTTCCCTCCAAAGCATGGTCCTCCCTCAGGCCTGATCCAGAGACTCTACCTCCAGAATGGACCTGGAATTGGTCTTCTTCCTCCTACCTCCCAGCCTGCCCACACCTTCACCACTGGATACTGCAGAACCTACATCCCAGAGTCAGGCAGCATCTCCAAAGACTTGGGCCAGTCTCTCAGCCATGGTCAGATTCTGCCCATCTCTGGCCCCCAATTCTTCCCTGCCCTCAGGATAAAGTTCGAACCTTTTGGAAAATGACCTCCCATGCCTTAATGACAGGTATGACCTTGCCTTATGTCCAGCTGCAGCTCTTGCTACCCGCATCGCCCAGCCCTGATGGTCCAGTGTCAGCATGGCAGCTGCAGCCAGCTCAGCCCTGCTGTTGCGTCCGTGCACACGGTGGACATTCTATTCCCTCTCCCTGGGAACATGAAGCCCTCTTCTTGTCTATATGAGAAACTCTTGTTATCTTTTAATCTCAAAGTCTTCCTCAACGCCCCCAGCCCTTCTGTGCAGTTAATCAATCATTGGCTCCTTGGACACCTCTGCACCCGGGTTGCGTGCTGTGCTGTGCTGTGCTGTGCTGTGCTGCGTTACCCACTCATGCAGTGCTGGTCTCCCTCACAAGACTATGAGATTCCATGAGCAGGAATTTGGTTCTTGGATGTTTTTATCATCTTTGCCCTTCCCTATGCCCAGCACCCACCCCTGACCCCACCAACCTCAGCTCTGAGTGCTCTGCTCACACTGTTCACAGGAATGGGGACTTGCAAGAGCCACAGCCGGGCTACAGGGACGGATGACATGGCTGGCTCTTAAGCCCTCCTAGTCCTCACCCCCAACCCACGGTCTACATCTCAGGGGAAAAGGGATGTTCTCTGCTTCTTTCCTTTTCTCCTTGGCCTGCACTATGGTGAATTAGTTTCTTTCACTCTAGCTTCCCATCTGTACAAAGAGGAAGAGACTGGCCTGCCACTGCCAGGACCCGGTCCAGCTTTGGTGGCCCTACAGGGCCATGAATCATGCACAGCCAAGGATGTCTTGGCTGTAGGGAAGGCTGGCCAGCTGACGAAGGGCCCAGCTTGATTCCAGGCCACCCCTGGCTCTGGGCCCAGCACTAGTAGGTGTTGACTTAAAAGGAAGAGTTTGAGGCGTAAAATATAAAGAGTTTACTTGAGCCAAAGTAAGGACAGCTGCCTGGAAGACTCAGACCCAAGTAAGCTTGGAAATGAGCTTCATTGGGTCTTTGTTATAAGAAGTTTTTTAAAGGCAAAAGCGGGGACAACAAGTGGGCCGATATAAATCCATCAGGAATTCTCATTAGTTTATAGAAATAACCTTGAGGCTGAGTACGGTGGCTCACACCTGTAATGCCAGCACTTTGGGAGGCCGAGTCGGGCGGATCACTTGAGGTCAGGAGTTTGAGACCAGCCTGGCCAACATGCCGAAATCCTGTCTCTACTAAAACTACAAAAAATTAGCAGGGCGTGGTGGTGGTGCCTTTCCCAGCTACTCAGGAGGCTGAGGCAGGAGAATCACTTGAACCAGGGAGGCAGAGGTTGCAGTAAGCCAAGATTGCGCCACTGCACTCCAGCCTGGGTGAAAGAGTGAAACTCCACCGCAAAAAAAAAAAAAAAGAAAGAAATAACATTGATTCATGATTGGCTCTACATTGTGAGGCCATACTGCGTGGTTTAGTGCCTGGTGTGGCTTTATTAGGTTAATTTATGGCTCCTTATCCTTGGCAAGCAGTTTCAAGAGCTGAATACGTAGCTCAAGGTTGATTACTATCTCATTTTATTGTCTCTCTGGGCCTGATAATTTAAATGGACTCTCATACCTCAGGTAGAAGTTCTTTTCTTTCTTCATAGTGCTGATAAAAATGTGTTAAGTGCCCCCAGAGCCCCAAGGACCTGTGTGTGAGGACCTGTTCTGAGGGAACTGCTAGAACAATGGCTTTAAAAATGCCAGAGCTGAACTGGAGAAGCAGCAGGATTTGGGGGCCAGGAGTAGCAACTGTGGCCTTTGAGTGAGATGGAGCAGGGGTCTTCACTTTCCCCCTGGAGGAAGCTGGAGCTGGCTGGAGCAGCTCTGCTCAGGGCATCTCCTTCCTCTGCCTTTGCTTCTTATGTGAAGACTGACATTGTGACATATAATAAGAAATGGAGCTCCTAAAACCCTTGGGATCTCCAAAGTGATATATGGCTTTTTGTAACTAACGAGATGACTAGGAGGGTGGGGGCTCCTGGGTGGCCTCGGGATGGTGCTGGTTGTGAGGGAAACCAACTGTGTGATTAGACGGTTGAAATACTCAGCCCTACTGACTGCCGACTTCTGGTTTGGGAGAGGAGCTGGGGATGGAGTTAATCACCAGTGGCCAGTGATTTAATCAATCATGCCTACAAAATGAAGCCTCCATTGAAAAATGCCAACATGATGAACACCTCCAAAGTGATGGTGTTGGGAGAGCTTCCGGGTTGGTGAACATGTGGAGGTGATGGGAAGGTGGTGTGTCTGGAGAGGGCATGCAAGCTCCATGCCCCTTCCCCATACCTGGCTCCATACATCTCTTCCACTGGCTGTCCCTGAGTTTTATCCTTTTTATTATTATTATGTCAGTAGTCTAGGGGGAGCAGGCAGCATTTGGATGCGTGGACAAGTGCTATAGCGGTGAGTTCTGAGATTTTGATGCACCCGTCATTCTTATGTCTTTGCATCCCTGAGTTGTATCATTTATAACTAAACTGTTCCCATGAGTTCTCTGGGCCATTCTAGCAAACTATCCAGTATAAAGAGGGGGTTGTGGAAACCTCAAGTTTATAGTTGGTCAGAAGCACAGGTGCCAACCTGGACTAGAATTTGGCATCTGAAATGGGAGTGGTCTTGTGGGACTGAGCCTGTAATGTGTGGGATCTGATGCTAACTCCAGGTAGATAGTATCAGAACTGAGTTAAATTATAGGACACCTAATTGGTGTTCCAAGAATTGGAGAAGTGGTTGGTGTGGGGAAAATGCCCGCACTTCTGGTATCAGAAGTGAAGCATTGAGAACAGCAGTAGGAAGGAGACAGGATTTACATCTCAGAAACATGCTGTCACTTTTAGGAAGAAGGGAGCATGGGGAATGACTCTCTCAGGGTCAACTCCCACAAGCTACCTGACCCAGGCTCCAAATTTAGAGATCAGGGAAGCAGGAAGGAGAACATGAAGGAGGCCCCTTCTGCTTCTTTCTGGCTTTGCCAACTCAGGAAAGTCATGCCACTGCTGAAAGACTCAAATCTTTGTTCATAAATTGGGATGCGTAAGGATTCCTACACCGTATGTCAAGGTGTAGTTACATCAGGGTGGCTAATGCCATCCTGTCAAGGGGTTATTCCAAGGTTAGGTTAAGTCAAGGTGCAGTTAGGTTAGGTGTAATTACAACAAGGTGTAGCAACATCAAGGTGCATTCACTTCAAGGTTTAGATATGGCAAGAGGTAGTTATGTCAAGGCGCCATCATGTTAAGTTGTAGTTATGTCAAGGTGGGGGTTATGGACCGAATTGTGTCCCCGCCGCCAGCCCCCAAATTCATATGTTGAAGCCCTAACCCCCAATGCAACTGTATTTGGAGACAGAGTTTTTAGGAGACAATTAAGTTTAAGTGAGGTCATAATGATGGGACCCTCATTCAATAGGGCCAGTGTCCTTAAAAGAAAAGGAAGAGAACTCGCACTCTCTGCCATGTGAGGACACAGTGACAAGGCTGCCACCTGCAAGCCAGGGACAGAGCCCTCACCAGGAATGGAATCCCCTGGCACTTTGATCCTGGACTTCTAGCCTGCAGAACTGTGAGAAATAAAATGTTGTTGTTTAAGTCATCTGGTGTTTTGTTATGATGGCCCAAGCTGTCCAAGACGGTAAGGTTATGCCAAGGTGCAGGTGAGAGGTACATGTGCAAGTGTGCCTGAAGTAGGTTTGAAAGCCTATGAAGGATCATTACTGATTTGCATCATCACACCTGGCAGGAACCTACCCGGTGACATTCCCTCAGCCATGAGAGGAAACAATCCTGCCGCTTTTACATTAAGATCGTGGAGCTATTACTCACTGCAGAGTTAAGGCCCTTTTTTTAAATTTTATTATTATTGTACTTTAAGTTTTAGGGTACATGTGCACAATGTGCAGGTTAGTTACATATGTATACATGTGCCATGCTGGTGTGCTGCACCCATTAACTCCTCATTTAGCATTAGGTATATCTCCTAATGCAATCCCTCCCCCTTCCCCCACCCCACAACAGTCCCCAGAGTGTGATGTTCCCCTTCCTGTGTCCATGTGTTCTCATTGTTCAGTTCCCACCTATGAGTGAGAATATGCAGTGTTTGGTTTTTTGTTCTTGTGATAGTTTACTGAGAATGATGATTTCCAATTTCATCCATGTCCCTACAAAGGACATGAACTCATCATTTTTCATGGTTGCATAGTATTCCATGGTGTATACATGCCACATTTTCTTAATCCAGTCTATCATTGTTGGACATTTGGATTGGTTCCAAGTCTTTGCTATTGTGAATAGAGCTGCAATAAACATACGTGTGCATGTGTCTTTATAGCAGCATGATTTATAGTCCTTTGGGTATATACTCAGTAATGGGATGGCTGGGTCAAATGGTATTTCTAGTTCTAGATCCCTGAGGAATCACCACACTGACTTCCACAATGGTTGAACTAGTTTACAGTCCCACCAACAGTGTAAAAGTGTTCCTATTTCTCCACATCCTCTCCAGCACCTGTTGTTTCCTGACTTTTTAATGATTGCCATTCTAACTGGTGTGAGATGATATCTCATTGTGGTTTTGATTTGCATTTCTCTGATGGCCAGTGATGGTGAGCATTTTTTCATGTGTCTTTTGGCTGCATAAATGTCTTCTTTTGAGAAGTGTCTGTTCATGTCCTTTGCCCACTTTTTGATGGGGTTGTTTGTTTTTTTCTTGTAAATTTGTTTGAGTTCACTGTAGATTCTGGATATTAGCCCTTTGTCAGATGAGTAGGTTGCGAAAATTTTCTCCCATTTTGTAGGTCGCCTGTTCACTCTGATGGTAGTTTCTTTTGCTGTGCAGAAGCTCTTTAGTTTAATTAGATCCCATTTGTCAATTTTGGCTTTTGTTGCCATTGCTTTTGGTGTTTTAGACATGAAGTCCTTGCCCATGCCTATGTCCTGAATGGTAATGCCTAGGTTATCTTCTAGGGTTTTTATGGTTTTAGGTCTAACATTTAAGTCTTTAAACCATCTTGAATTAATTTTTGTATAAGGTGTAAGGAAGGGATCCAGTTTCAGCTTTCTACATATGGCTAGCCAGTTTTCCCAGCACCATTTATTAAATAGGGAATCCTTTCCCCATTGCTTGTTTTTCTCAGGTTTGTCAAAGATCAGATAGTTGTAGATATGTGGCGTTATTTCTGAGGGCTCTGTTCTATTCCATTGATCTATATCTCTGTTTTGGTACCAGTACCATGCTGTTTTGGTTACTGTAGCCTTGTAGTATAGTTTGAAGTCACGTAGCATGATGCCTCCAGCTTTGTTCTTTTGGCTTAGGATTGACTTGGCGATGCGGGCTCTTTTTTGGTTCCATATGAACTTTAAAGTAGTTTTTTCCAATTCTGTGAAGAAAGTCATTGGTAGCTTGATGGGGATGGCATTGAATCTATAAATTTTCACAATATTGATTCTTCCTACCCATGAGCATGGAATGTTCTTCCATTTGTTTGTATCCTCTTTTATTTCACTGAGCAGTGGTTTGTAGTTCTCCTTGAAGAGGTCCTTCACGTCCCTTGTAAGTTGGATTCCTAGGTATTTTATTCTCTTTGAAGCAATTGTGAATGGGAGTTTACTCATGATTTGGCTCTCTGTTTGTCTGTTATTGGTGTATAAGAATGCTTGTGATTTTTGTACATTGATTTTGTATCCTGAGACTTTGCTGAAGTTGCTTATCAGCTTAAGGAGATTTTGGACTGAGACAATGGGGTTTTCTAGATATACAATCATGTCATCTGCAAACAGGGACAACTTGACTTCCTCTTTTCCTAATTGAATACCCTTTATTTCCTTCTCCTGCCTAATTTCCCTGGCCAGAACTTCCACCCAGATTCATAAAGCAAGTCCTGAGTGGCCTACAAAGAGACTTAGCCTCCCACACAATAATAATGGGAGACTTTAACACCCCACTGTCAACATTAGACAGATCAATGAGACAGAAAGTTCACAAGGATACCCAGGAATTGAACTCAGCTCTGCACCAAGTGGACCTAATAGACATCTACAGAACTCTCCACCCCAAATCAACAGAATATACATTTTTTTCAGCACCACACCACACCTATTCCAAAATTGACCACATAGTTGGAAGTAAAGCTCTCCTCAGCAAATGTAAAAGAACAGAAATTATAACAAACTGTCTCTCAGACCACAGTGCAATCAAACTAGAACTCAGGATTAAGAATCTCACTCAAAACCGCTCAACTACATGGCAACTGAACAACCTGCTCCTGAATGACTACTGGGTAAGTAACGAAATGAAGGCAGAAATAAAGATGTTCTTTGAAACCAATGAGAACAAAGACACAACATACCAGAATCTCTGGGACACATTCAAAGCAGTGTGTAGAGGGAAATTTATAGCACTAAATGCCCACAAGAGAAAGCAGGAAAGATCCAAAATTGACACCCTAACTTCACAATTAAAAGAACTAGAAAAGCAAGAGCAAACACATTCAAAAGCTAGCAGAAGGCAAGAAATAACTAAAATCAGAGCAGAACTGAAGGAAATAGAGACACAACCCTTCAAAAAATTAATGAATCCAGGAGCTGGTTTTTTGAAAGGATCAACAAAATTGATAGACCACTAGCAAGACTAATAAAGAAGAAAAGAGAGAAGAATCAAATAGATGCAATAAAAAATGATAAAGGGGACATCACCACTGATCCCACAGAAATACAAACTACCATAAGAGAATACTACAAACACCTCTACGCAAATAAACTAGAAAATCTAGAAGAAATGGATAAATTCCTCGACACATACACCCTCCCAAGACTAAACCAGGAAGAAGTTGAATCTCTGAATAGACCAATAACAGGCTCTGAAATTGAGGCAATAATCAATAGCTTACCAACCAAAAAGAGTCCAGGACCAGACAGATTCACAGCCGAATTCTACCAGAGGTACAAAGAGGAACTGGTACCATTCCTTCTGAAACTATTCCAATCAATAGAAAAAGAGGGAATCCTCTCTAACTCATTTTATGAGGCCAGCATCATCCTGATACCAAAGGCGGGCAGAGACACAACCAAAAAAGAGAATTTTAGACCAATATCCTTGATGAACATTGATGCAAAAATCCTCAATAAAATACTGGCAAACCGAATCCAGCAGTACATCAAAAAGCTTATCCACCATGATCAAGTGGGCTTCGTCCCTGGGAAGCAAGGCTGGTTCAGTATACGCAAATCAATAAATGTAATCCAGCATACAAACAGAACCAAAGACAAAAACCATATTGAGATATGATTATCTCAATAGATGCAGAAAAGGCCTTTGACAAAATTCAACATCCCTTCATGCTAAAAACGCTCAATAAATTAGGTATTGATGGGACGTATCTCAAAATAATAAGAGCTATCTATGACAAACCCACAGCCAATATCATACTGAATGGGCAAAAACTGGAAGCATTCCCTTTGAAAACTGGCACAAGACAGGGATGCCCTCTCTCACCACTCCTATTCAACATAGAGTTAAGGCCCTTTTTAAGAGAAAATAACTGGGGAGCCCGCTGGAGGCGGGGATCTGGCTGAGAGCTGGGTTCGGTTACTCGAATGCACCACTGGGTGGCGCCCGCGCTCCGCGCGAAGGCCGGGAGGGGCAGTCCTCGAGTGACATCAGGTGGGCAGAGCCGGGAGCCCGGACCGGCCCGTGCAAGCTCTCAGGATCTTACCGGGAAGGCACCCTATGCAGGCGCAGGAGTGACACGGAGGTGCCTGGAAGAGGGGCTTCCACTTGAAGCCCCTTTTTGCTCAGTCGGGTCACTGGGCGCCCGCAGTGTCCCAGGGCACGCCTGCGCTAAAACGGGACACCGGCTCATGCTGGCGGCTCCCGGGGCAGCTGAGGGACCGTGGCTAAGGACATTGGGGTCCCAGGGCTACAGGGAAAGAATCGTGACTGTCCACACTTTGTTAAAAGCCCACCTGTTTCCTTCATCAGCCGCTGCTGTCTGGTGTGTATCCAGGTCTCTAGAAGCTTCCAGGGGCACCTTGACCTGCCCCAGCTCCTACCCTTCCTCTCCAGGGCCCTATAAGACAAATTTACACAGGTGTTTCTCTCACCCTGGACCCGATTATTTGGCCCCACCTGCTGCTGAAATTCTGCCGCTGGGTCCAAGGAGGGGCTGCCCCAGCGAGCACTGGCTCCCACCATCTGGGACACATGCCCGTCTCTCTGTGCCTCAGTTTACTTCTCCATGTACTGAGGGACACAAAGATCCGCTCCAAGGCCCTCCCAGGTCACTACCACCTCCTAGAGAGGGGCAGAGTGTGCCCCTGGGCCACTTTCGTGCAGTGAGAGGGCACATCGTGAGGCCCGAATCAAACCCAGGGCTCCTTCCTTTTATTTTTTATTTATTTATTTTTTCAGACAGGGTCTCACTCTGTTGCAGCGGCTGGTGTGCAGTGGCTAGATCATAGCTCACTGCAGCCTTGGCCTGTGAGGCTCAAGCGATCCTCCCACCTCAGCCTCCCAAGTAGTTGGGACTACAGGTGTGCACCACCCACCTTGCTAATTTTTCGTTTTTTGTGGAGACAGATTTGGCCATGTTGCCCAGGCTAGTCTCAAACTCCTGGGCTCAACCATCTGCCTGCCTTGGCCACTCAAAGTGCTGGGATTACAGGTGTCCGTGCCCTGTCCTGGGGTCCCTTCTGAACGAGGCTCCTTTGGTGTGGATTCAGGAGACACAGATGTGGGAGAAGCTGAGATCTTCCAGGAAGGACACAACCCTGGGAGCACGTGCCTGCTGAGACAGCCATGATGTTTGCTTTCAGCCAAAGCTGGAAGATTTAGTTCTGTTGCACACATGGCTGCTGAGCATCTGCTGGGTGCCTGTTCCTGGGCCAGGGCCTCCTGCTCTCCAGAACCTGGAAGGCTGGGAGCAGAATAAGACAGATCTAGAGGCCTCACGTCTTAGGGTGAGGGGTCACCGGCCCCAGCTGGAAGTGGAGGGGAGGGACTTACTAGAGGCCTCCTAGAAAGTGTGACCTCCCAAAAGTTACTAGAATGATTGCTGGTCAAGCACCTGGACCCTTCTGGTCTACGATCACCCTGGTGGAGCTCTGGAGGATGAAGGGCAGCCTGTGGGGAGAGTCCGCTGGGAACAGCATGAGGAAGGGCACCGGAACAGCAGCAGCCAGCTGGCTGGTGACTGGCGAGAGTCTGGGCCAAGGTCTGGCTCACAAGGATTGGGTGTTCCTGTGACTTCCCACAGGGAATGGGGAGCTCTGGAAGGGGGTAGGGTTTAAGCAGGGAGTGGCAGATCCTTGTGCCTGCACTGGCTACCGGGGAGGGTGACGACTGCAGGGAGGTGACCTGAGTCTCTTTGAGAGCTGTGTCCTTCTCAAGGACTTTGTGTACTTTGAATTCCCTAAGAACTAAACATTGCCATTTTGGGTCAACATCGTGATATATATTCTATCATTATACTTTTTATTAGGCTTAGTAACTATTATAATAGCAGTGTTCTCATGGAGCCTCGGAGGATCAAAGCCCTTGCACGGATGTTTTCTCCATGGCCATTGGGATGTCTACTTGTCAGCAGATTGGCAGATATTCGATGACACCCTCACAGTCCCCCAGGGAGTGATGACTTCTGGATGAGGTTGGCACTAGGGCTGCCATCTCAGAACCCAGAGTAGGCCCAGGGGTGGTATCTCCGAAGGATCCGAGGATTCTCCGTGATGACTTGCAAACTCAGCAGGCTCCAGCTCGGTGGCACTGGGGGAAGGCTCCAGACCCCAGCCTCTGTCATCCCTGCATGAAGCCCACATCTCCAAGGAGGCTGGGAGATCCTGTTTGGGGGTCAATTTAAATGTGAAGGAGCAGAATACAGAGAGTTTGGGAACCCAAGGAGGGGACAAAAGACAGAATCAGGACCCAGTCTTAAATACGCTCAGATTGCTGGGCACCTCCTCATGACAGGCTGGGCCCTGGGTACTGGATGCTAGGATGAATGAGAAATGGCCTCTGCCCTTGAGGGGCTCACAGACACCAGAAAAGACAAACCAGGAGAGTCAGAAAAAGGAAGAGCAAGGTGCTGGGGAACTGAGCCCCGAACCCCATTTCCCACTCTTACTACCCATGCCCCCTGCATGTGACATGGCCAGAATTTGTCCCTGCCTTGTGCCTTTAACTGTGGGGAATCCTGGAATTTTCTAGAAATCCAATTTCACAGAATGAAAGTTTTTCTTTTTCAGAGGTGATCCACTAAAACTTTAACTTAATTTCATTTTATGCTTCTTTAAAATTCGTTGATGTAAATAACTTACAAATCAAAAAAAGCCAAATTTGGTTTTGGAAATTACAGCCTGCACAGTTCACACATATGTGTGCACACATGCACAGGCACACACACAAAAGGTGCTGCCCACCGTGGGAGCTCAGCCTGAACTCGCACATGTGGATACATGTGCTTGGGCTCAGACCCCAAGCAAAGGCCAGAAGAACAGCTGTCGCTCTGTGAGAATTGGCTGGAAGCTGCAGGGAACACCTGTAGGAGCTGTTGGGGAGCCCTCCTGCCTCTGGCCACCTGTGTTGGGGTAGGTCAGGTAAGGAGTGATGGAGAAAGGTGGAGCGATGGTGGACAGGACGGGCGCTTCTCCAAGCATAGCCTGCTGCTTTCTTACTGCTTCCCCTGGGCTCATTTCAAAGGTGCCTGCAGTAGCACAGCCCAGTTGGTCACTGGGTCCCATTTCCCTGGGATGAAGATTTGGGCCCAGCTCAGCTGAGGGAACACGGAGGGTGAGGGAAAGGACATGAAGTGGGACTCAGGATGTGCCAGGCACGTGACATCTGGTCCTTCCACCCCCCCACGGACCTGGGCAGGGTTCCTCACCCGCCTGGGCTCAGAGAGGTCAGGCTGCCAGCCCACAGCTCACAGGGTGGGTGACTGAGGAGGTTGCATTCTGGCTTAGATCTGACATGCCGAAGTGCCATGGCCTGTGCTACCAAGAGGAAGGTTCAGAGGAGCCAGGGCTCTTCCCCTGACCTCACAGGCTACTGCGTCCTCAGACAGCTTGTGTGACAAATGGGTAATATTTCCCATGCATTTGGGAAGAGGGCAAGATCAGCAAGATTTCCCCGAATAGCATCCACCTTGGGGAACCACTCTCTGCCAAAAAAAAAAAAAAAAAAAAAAAAAAAAATTGTATTGTATTCTATGCATTTCATGACATGTAAAAGGTTGGGAAGTAAATAAAATATAAGAAGGTTCTACTATGTGCCAAGGCTGCTTCTGTTTTTATTTTTTGGCTCCACTCCTGCCCAAGTGCAGTCACAACACTCAAGGCAGGTGGACTCCTGGGCCCACGGTGTCTGTGTTCTCAGCTCTGAATTAGGCCAGAGTATTCTGCAGCCCCAGGTCGAACCACTTGCACAGCAAAAACCAGCCAGCTTCTTAGGCATCTCTTACTGGTGCAGCTTACATGAAACACTTGTCTTTCATTTCAGATGCAGAGTGGAAATAATACTGTAGGAATAAATTCATACTAAAGTGTGAATGGTATACATAGGCCATTTCTTCCTTTGGCAAGTATCTCTTGAGAGCCAGCTGGTTAGGAGTCAGAGACTTGTCCTGGGCCATTCACTCACCTTTTTGCCTTCTGTTGTGAGAATTAAATAAGGAAATGTGGACCAAGAGCCTGGCACAGTAGAACCTTCTTATATTTTACTTCCCAATCTTTTTACACATCATGGAATGCATAGAAAATAATAATTTTTTTTTTTGCACAATGGAATAAAGTACGGACTTAGTGAAAAAAATCATCACATTACCTTTCTGTATACATTTAACTATGATAAAAATAATTTTAAAGGTATTGGGAGGCATTAAAGGTGAAATTGATATGAAACATCAAAATAAAGGCTTTTTAAAAAACATAATGAGAAACTTGGGCTTGCATTTATGTAAATACTTTTTTGTGTAAGTCCATTTGCTTGAACCAGCTACAATTACTGATTAAGACTTTTAGATTATTCCTTAGGTGAGTGAAACTGCCAACAAGTTCTGCAGGCAACTGGGATAGCAACTGCCCTTCCCGGTAGGCACACACATGCCAATCTCAGAAGGATTTGCATGGGTTCAGGAAAATTTAGGTGTTAATGTCTCAGTGTTAAGAAGTCTGCACATTTGGAATTTTCTGCAGATAATACATTAGAGATTTGGGACCTAGACTCTGGTGTGTAATTGCATAGTTACTTTAGACTTGTGGTTTCAGGTTGAAATCTAAGTTAACAAACTGTTGGAACATTTAAGAGAATATAAAGTTCATCATATTTCAAATTTAACTTACTGATACAAAGGCTCATTTAAGAGACTGAAAACCAATTTATTGTCAGATCACTGACATAATTAAAAAGGAAAATGAGTATATTAAACTTATAAAGGCAGTTTAGAATGTTGGAAGATATCTCCTTAATTAAATTTGCAATTGCACCAAATGTTGGCAAGGTGTAGTGGTTCAAGCCTGTAATCCCAGAACTTTGAGAGGCCGAGGCAGGAGGATTGCTTGAGGCCAGGAGTTTGAGACCAGCTTGGGCAATATAGTGAGACCCCCATCTCTACAAAAAATTAAAAAATTAGCTGAGCATCATGGCACATGCCTATATTCCCATCTATTCTGGGAGCTGAGGTGGGAGGACTGCTTGAACCCAAGAAGTCAAGGCTGCAGTAAGCTGTGACTATACCACTGCACTCCAGCCTGGGTGGCAGTGAGACCCTGTCAGAAAAAAAAAAAAGCAAATGATTTTCATCAAAGGCCTATTAAAAGTGATTGCTGGCTAAATATTAGTAGTAAACAATCCAAAAGTACAATTAAGAAAAACAATTTCATGTACATAACATCAAAAAGAAAAACATAGGAGTAAATTCAATTAAAAACTGCAAGATTTGTACACTGAAAACTACAAAACACTGTTGAAAGAAATTTAAAAACTCCTAAATAGATAGAAAGGAATCCATGGTTATGGATTGGAAAACCTAATATTAAGAATGCTATATTTCTCAAATTTATCTACAGAGGAATGCAATCCCTAGCAAACCCCAATGGGAAATGGCAATTTTGGAGAAATTCACGACCTGACCCTAAAATTCAAGTGGACATGCAAAGGACCCAGAATGGCCCAAATGATTTAGATCTTGAAAAAGAAGGACAAAAGTAGAGAGCTCACATTTCCTACTTTCAAAACTTAGTACAAAGCTACAGTAATCAATACAGTAAAAGTGGTATTAGCAAAAGTGTAGACATCACAACAACAGAATATAATTAAGAGTCCAGAAACAACTCGCCATATTCACAGTCAATTGATTTTTGACAAGGATGCTGTATTAATCTGTTTTCACACTGCTGATAAAGACATACCCAAGACTGGGTAAATTATAAAGAAAAAGAGGTTTAATTGACTCAGAGTTTCACGTGGATCATGGCGGAAGCAGAAAGGCACATATTACATTGGTGGCAGGCAAAAGAGAGAATGACAGCCAAGCGAGAGGGCCTTTGCTTTATAAAACCATCAGCTCTTGTGACACTTATTCACTACCATGAGAACAGTATGGGGGAAACCACCCCATGATTCAGTCATCTCCCACTGGGTCCCTCCCACAACACGTGCAGATTACAGGAGCTACAATTCAAGATGCGATTTGGATGGGGACACAGCCAGACCATATCAGATGCAAGAACAATCCAATGGAGAAAGAATAGTCTTAGGCCAGGTGTGGTGGCTCATGCCTGTAATCCCAGCACTTTGGGAGGCCAAGGTGGGCAGATCACAAGGTCAGGAGATCGAGACCATCCTGGCTAACACGGTGAAACCCCATCTCGACTAAAAATACAAAAAATTAGCCAGGCATGGTGGCGGGTGCCTGTAGTCCCAGCTACTCAGGAGGCTGAGGCAGGAGAATGGCGTGAACCTGGGAGGTGGAGCTTGCAGTGAGCAGAGATCGTGCCACTGCACTCCAGCCTGGGCGACAGAGCGAGACTCCGTCTCAAAAAAAAAAAAAAAAAAGAATAGTGTTTTCAGCAAATGGTGCTGGAACAACTGGATATCCACAAGCAAAAGAATGAAGGTGGACCCCTACTTCACTCCATATACAAAAACTAACTCAAAATGTATAAAAGACATAAAACGTAAGAGTTAAAACCACTAAACTCTTAGAAGAAAACACAGGAGTAAATGTCCATGATCTTGGATTAGGCGGAGGTTTCTTAGGTGTAATGCCAAAAGTATCAGCAACAGAAGAAAAAAATAAATTGGACCTTGCCTTAAAACACAGATGGCAGAGAAGAAAAAATATACTTCATCAAAATTAAAAACTTTTTTGCTTCAATGAGATCATCAAGAAAAGTGAAATGATAACCCATAAAATGGAGAAAAGCACGTATCTGATGAGGGATTTGTATCTAGAATACAGAAAGAACTCTTACAACTCAATAATAAAAAGACAAAAATTCCATTAAAAAGTAGATGAAGGTTCTGAATGGTGAATATATATATATGTATATATACACACACACAAATAGCCAAGAGCCACATTCATAAATATTGAACTTTGTTTGCCAGCAGGGAAATGAAAATTAACACAAAGAGATATCCCACACACCTATTAGAATGACTAAAATAAAAAAAGCTGATAACTAGCAATCGTGCTCCTGGGCACTTATTTATTTCAGAGAAACAAAAACTTACATTCACACAAAAACCTGTACACAAATGTTCATAGCAGCTTTATTTGTAATAGCCCCAGTCTAGAAACAACCCAAACGTCCTTTGACAGGTGTCTGGTTAAACACACTGTGGCACATCCATCCCATAGAATAGTACTCAATAACAGAGGAATGAACTCCTGATATATACACCTTGGACAAATTTTCACAGAGTATGCAGAGTTTAAAAATCTAATCCTAGGCTGGGCACGGTGGCTCACGCCTGTAATCCCAGCACTTTAGGAGGCCGAGGCAGGTGGATCACGAGGTCAGGAGACAGAGACCATCCTGGCTAACACTGTGAAACCCCGTCTCTACTAAAGACACCAAAAAAAAAAAAAAAAAAAAAAAAAAGCCTTCCCCCTCCCCCTCCCCCTCTCCCGTCTCCCTCTTTGCACGGTCTCCCTCTGATGCCGAGCCGAGGCTGGACTGTGCTGCCGCCATCTCGGCTCACTGCAACCTCCCTGCCTGATTCTCCTGCCTCAGCCTGCCGAGTGCCTGGGATTGCAGGCGCGCGCCGCCACGCCTGACTGGTTTTTGTATTTTTTGGTGGAGACGGGGTTTCGCCGTGTTGGCCGGACTGGTCTCCAGCTCCTGACCGCGAGTGATCCGCCAGCCTCGGCCTCCCCAGGTGCCGGGATTGCAGACGGAGTCTCCCTCACTCAGTGCTCAATGGTGCCCAGGCTGGAGTGCAGTGGCGTGATCTCGGCTCCCTACAACCTCCACCTCCCAGCCGCCTGCCTTGGCCTCCCAAAGTGCCGAGATTGCAGCCTCTGCCCGGCCGCCACCCCGTCTGGGAAGTGAGGAGCGTCTCTGCCTGGCCGCCCATCGTCTGGGATGTGAGGAGCCCCTCTGCCCGGCTGCCCAGTCTGGGAAGTGAGGAGTGCCTCTTCCCGGCCGCCATCCCATCTGGGCAGTGAGGAGAGTCTCTGCCTGGCCGCCCATCATCTGGGATGTGAGGAGCCCCTCTGCCCAGCCGCCCAGTCTGGGAAGTGAGGAGTGCCTCTTCCTGGCCGCCATCCCATCTGGGAAGTGAGGAGCGTCTCTGCCCGGCCACCCGTCGTCTGAGATGTGGGGAGCGCCTCTGCCGGGCCGCCCATCGTCTGGGATGTGAGGAGAGCCTCTTCCCGGCCGCCATCCCGTCTAGGAAGCGAGGAGCGTCTCTAACCGGCCGCCCCGTCTGAGAAGTGAGGAGCCCCTCTGCCCGGCCGCCACCCCGTCTGGGAGGTGTGCCCAACAGCTCATTGAGAACGGGCCATGATGACGTTGGCGGTTTTGTCAAATAGAAAAAGGGGGAAATGGGAAAAGAAAGAGAGATCAGATTGTTACAGTGTCTGTGTAGAAAGAAGTAGACATAGGAGACTCCATTTTGTTCTGTGCTAAGAAAAATTCTTCTGCCTTGGGATGCTGTTAATCTGTAACCTTACCCCCAACCCCGTGCTCTCTGAAACATGTGCTGTGTCCACTCAGGGTTAAATGGATTAAGGGCGGTGCAAGATGTGCTTTGTTAAACAGATGCTTGAAGGCAGCAAGCTCCTTAAGAGTCATCACCACTCCCTAATCTCAAGTACCCAGGGACACAAACACTGCGGAAGGCCGCAGGGTCCTCTGCCTAGGAAAACCAGAGACCCTTGTTCACATGTTTATCTGCTGACCTTCCCTCCACTATTGTCCTGTGACCCTGCCAAATCCCCCTCTCCGAGAAACACCCAAGAATGATCAATAAATACTAAAAAAATAAAATAAAATAAGTAAATAAATAAATAAATAAAAAATTAGCCGGGCACGGTGGCATGTGCCTGTAATCCCAGCTACTTAGGAGGCTGAGGCAGGAGAATCTCTTGAACCCAGGAGGAGGTGGAGGTTGCAGCGAGCTGAGATTGCACCATTGCACTCCAGCCTGGGTGACAGAATGAGACTCCATCTCAAAAAAAAAAAAAAATCTAGTCCTAAAATGTTATATATGGTGTGATTCAATTTAAATAGTACTCTTGAAGTGACAAAATTTTAGAAATAAAAAACAGATTAGTGGGCCACGGGTTAAGGAGAGGAGGAACAGGAGAGAAGTGGGTTTGGCCAAAAAGGGCAGTGTGAGGGATCCCTGTGGGGAAGGAGATGTTCTACATCTTTTCTTTTTCTTACCTTTTTTTTTTTTTAAAGAAATGGGGATCTCACTGTGTTGCCCAGGCTGGAGTGCAGTGACTGCTCTAGCATTTAGAGTACCAGATGACAGAGGTGTTAGGTATCTGCATCCACATTGCTCCAGTCATCTAGGTGGGGCTCTTTTATACACCTTATCACCAAAGATAAAAGGACCAGAATTGTTTATAAACAAGGTCAGAGTGGAACTTGTGATTCCCAGGTTGGGGTTTGTTGCTGTGCCTTGTCTTCCGTCATAGCGGCATCTGTGCATCTTTATCCTCCACGCGTCTCTCTCAGTCCATAGGAACAGAACGGGTTGCTAAATCTGATAGAGAAGGCCTTTAGTTTTGTTTTGGCAGTTATAGGACTTAATTTTGTAACCTGGCCAAGTTAGTCCAGAATTCTAATCTATCCACATGTGATCTTTGGCATCTGCTGGCCTCATAAAGGAAGGAAGGAAGCTTCTTCTGACTTGGGAGCCCTTTGTAAGATCTGGTGATTTGGCAAATGTTTATATCATGAGAGTCAGATCAGGACTGTTTTTGACCTTTGTGAGATTTGTGACATTTGTGAATGTCAATGATGGAATCAAAGCACAGGGTTTGATTGCAATACCTCATTGGTGTGTTACCTAAGAAAAAGTCCAGCATAATTTCTGCTTTAATGTAGAAGGAAAAAATATTTTAATGACTTTATCAGAGCAGAGACAGTCCTGGAGCTCTCATAAAGATTTCTCTGTGTCTAATTGATTTACCTAAAGGACAATAGCATGACACTGTTTTCTCTTGTCATACGTCTATTTTCTGGACTTTATCTACCAGACAATTATAATGGCAGAAACACGTTCACGTTCTTTTGAATAACCTAGATGTTGCTTAACCAGTGATCAGATTGATTAATTATCATAGTGAGGGTTTGAAAGGCTAATGTAAAACGGTGCCAGGTCTGTGTCCAACCTGTTGGTAAGTGTTAATTAGAGCAAGATACAATTTGAAAAAAAGCATTTATAGTGGAGGGTTAGAGAGAGAATAGAATAGACTGAGAAAGTCCCTAGTCAGCTTTTTAACAGGCCATCAACAGACAGGAAAAAAAATTGTCAACCAAAAAAAGAAGAGGTTTTTTAAGAAAAAAAAAAAAAGTTTTTAAAGGTAGAGTAATACAGAGTCCTAAAACAGGGACAACATAGGTGGAAGTAAACTTTCTTGATCTGTGATCTTGGGAAAAGTGTCTACTTTGAAGAAATACCATCTAAAGGTCACCTGTAGGGGTGATTTTCCAATTCTCTTGAGAGTGCTTAGCAGGATCTGGCTTGGTGTGACTTGCATGAACGAGGAGTTGTTTTATTTTACTTTGATGGTAGTGTAAGTAGTCAGCAGTACTTCACATGGACCTTCCAGTGAGGTGACAGTGCTTGCCTTCTTTTAAAAACCTTTGTGTACACATCATCTCCTGGTCAAAAAGCATGGCAAGTCTTGTCAGTTGGTGGAGATCACACCCTTTTTATCTGTTGATGATAAGCTCCAAATATATTAGTGCCCGTATATAGCTAGTCATAGCATCAAATTGTTCACAGGTCCCCATAGTGCTCATTCAACCCAGGAATGGAAGATTTAGAGATGCCACCCAAACACTATTTCAAAAGGGGTAATCCATGTCTTTTATTCCGAGTATTCTAAATTTCTATAAGGGCCAGAGGTAATGCTTCTGGCCCTTTAATTCTGGTGTCTAGACAGACTTTTCTCAAATTCCATTTAATGTTTAAATTTTTATGCTCCACTTGCCCTGGGGATCGGGAATGGTATGGGTTATGAAATTTGGAGTACCCTAGAGTGGTTGCAGGCAAGTCGTTTATGCTGTAAAATGAGTTCCTGGCTGGGCGTGGTGGCTCACACCTGTAATCCCAGCACTTTGGGAGGCCAAGACAGGCAGATCACCTGAGGCCAGGAGTTCAAGACCAGCCTGGCCAACAGGGCGAAACCCCATCTCTACTAAAAATACAAAAATTAGCCAGGTGTGGTGGCAGGCACCTTTAACCCCTTCTACTTGGGAGGCTGAGGCAGGAGAATCACTTGAACCTAGGAGGCAGAGATTGCAGTGAGCCGAGATGGCACTGCTACACTCCAGCCTGGGAGACACAGCGAGGCTCCATCTCATTAAAAAAAAAAAAAAAAAAAAGATTTCCTTGATCTGACAATCCATAAAAGGAAGCCAAAGCAATGAAGAATCTGTTATGAATGTTTGCACCACACTGTGGCATCAGAACAGGAAGTGGGACAGCATTCAGTCCATTCACTAAACATAGACAATAGCCAAACTGAGAATAGCCTAAAGCTGGAGGTCAACCTATGGAATCCACTTGGACTGCTGCAAGGGAAAGTGTGGGCCTTCCTGAAGAAGGGTGCTTTCCTCCAGAGCTTTGGTGAGATTTGCAAGTAATGCATTGGGAAATAATTTGGTCAGAAATTTTGTAAATCTTAGAGAAAAAACAATTATTGTTTAGTTCCTTAACTGACGCCCCTCTGCAAACCAACAGGTTAAAAGAAATGGGCCATGGAAGGTCTATCTTTGGAGCATATGCTTATTAATAATATTAGTCAGGGATAAAGGCAACTTAATAAATTGTGTGGAAAATGAATACAGGGGTTCATTTTGGGCTGTGTACTTGGCAGCCTTGTGTTCCCTATCATTCCCTAAAGATATAGTATTAGTCTCCTTAGTGTGGGCCAGAAAATGAGCAATAGCAATTTAATAGGAAGATGAATAGCATGTTTATTACAGGCAGCAATTACACATTCATTGGCAATAGGAGTGCCAGTGGAGGTTAAGAATCTACAGGCTTCCTAGATTTTGCTGGCAGCATGACAGACTCTGAAAGTGTATCTGGAGTCAGTATAAATAATGGCAGTTTTTATTTTTTGTCAGTGTGCAAGCTCTAGTAAAAGCTTTAAATTCAGCAGATTGGCCAGATTCAAGGCAAAGGGTATGTCTCTAGGGCTGCATGCAGGGAAACTATGGCATAGCCATTTATGCTGTTCCCCTTAAAATTTCATTTATGAGAGCCATCATAAAATAGAAATCTGGGTTTGTTACAGGTAGTTAGATAAGGCAACGAGTGGGGCAGGAGAGGGCTCTCCCCCCACCCACTAGAAATGTCAGGTGATTGTTCAATGATTATCACACTTCCTCTCTAACAGTGATAATTTGGCAGCCAGGGAGAGGCCATTTCTTCATAGTCTACACCTGCTGAAATCAAAATATTAATTGAGTGTAGGCCCCAGTGAGAAGAAACTTCCTGGGCATGCACATTAAGAGACAAAAATGGCAAAGTATCTTCTGGGTACACTCCACGAGAAAAGGAAGAAAGCCTCAGATGGGCATGTGTATAACCTCCTAAACACAACGAGCTGTTCAATTCCAAAGGGTACAGAGAGCACTGAGCATGCAGGAAACTCGCCCTACGGGAAGAATCATGGGAGAGACACAAGCCTATAGAGTCCAAAGATCAATGTTAAATGCATTTTTTGCTCTCCTTTTCTCTCTTTGACTTTCAGGCGCCCACTAGGATCTCTTCCAAGGGTTCTTTCCTTTCTTTCCTGTTCTAAAGCCTGTTTAGTAAACTTCCATTCCTGCTGTGAAACTTGCCTTGGTCTCTTTTTCTGCTTTATGCCCCTCAGTCAAATTCTTTCTTCTGAGGAGGCAAGGACTGAAGTTGCTATGGACCCATACAGATATGCCACGGCTAACTCGGGATAACTCGGATCTCTGCCACTGCTAACATGTTGTCTAAAGGAGTGTCTGAGAGACCCTCTTGTGGCTTTGAAGCCATTTCTATAGCTGCTAGGCAATCCTGTGGAATGGGATGAAGATGTCCGTCATCAGGGAGGGTAGGAGCATAGCAGGATTTAAGGGATTTAAGGTGCTACGAAGATGTAAGATAATAGAGGGATTGATTAATAGGACTATTCATATGTAGTGTGTCTTCGTGTAGAGAGGTGCTGTGCCTTAGGAACTTGTAAGAGCAGAGAGAGTGTGGGGAACACAGAGGCAAATGGGGGAGCCTAATGTAAACGTGGTGGCTTTAGCAATTAGGGGGCAGCTGCTGACACTGCACGTGGGCATGGGAGCATGGCTGCTGCCACAGGATCCACTTGGCATGAGAAATATGCTACAGGGCATATCTGAGAGGCAAAAGGCTGGCCTAGAAAACTTGCAGTAATCCCATTATCTTCATGACAATATAGGTGAAAAGGTTTATCAAAATTAGGTAAGCCTGGGGTGGGGCGGGCAGGGGTGTAGACAATGCTAACTTCAAGGCTTCAAAGGAAGTTAATGCCTCTAAGGACCAGAGGATGGGCTCTTGACTGGCATGTGGGGAGAAAGCATACAGTGGTTTGGCAATAGCAGCAGAATTAGGAATTCAGTGCTAGCAACAGCTAGCTACCCCTAAAATTTGCCTAGCTGCTTTACCAAATTGGCTTTAAGGATCTGAGATAATATCAACGGGAGTCACAATATCCCTGATGCATGTATGTCCATGCTAATTGTCCCCCTCTAAATGTAAGGCAAAGAGAAAGCCAGAGGCAATTTCTGCCCATTGTGGAAGCTCAGGCCTATCACAGAAATACAGATGTCCAGGAGGGATAGGGAGAGCCAGAGATTTGAGAGAGCAAGAGAGAAGGGGGAAATGCCCCAGGACTGAGGCTAGGGAGAGAGGCAAGGAGCACTGTGGTCATGATGGCTCCCTCCAGTCTTTCTGGGTGTGCCCCAGGGGTTGAAAAGAAGCCCAACCCCTCAGCACCAGTGAGAGACAGGACTAGCTGGATTTCCTAGGCCAACTAAGAATTCCTAAGCCTAGCTGGGGAAGGTGACTACACCCACCTTTAAACATGGGGCTTGTAACTCAGTTCACACCCAACCAATCAGGTAGTAAAGAGAGCTCACTAAAATACCACTTAGGCTAAAAGCAGGAGGTAAAGAAATAATCAAATCATTTATTGCCTGAGAGCACAGCGGGAGGGACAATGATCAGGATATAAACCCAGGCATTCAGGCCGGTGGCGGCAACCCCCTTTGGGTCCTCTCCCCTTCTATGGGAGCTCTGTCTTCACTCTATTAAATCTTGCAACTGCACACTCTTCTGGTCTGTGTTTGTTCCTGCTTGAGCTGAGCTTTCGCTCACCGTCGGCCACTGCGGATCGTCCCCATTGCAGACCCACCATTGACTTCCACCCCTGTCGATCTGGCAGGGTGTTCGCTGCGCTTCTGGTCCAGTGAGGCGCCCACTGCCGCTCCCGATGCTGATCGTCGCCATTGCAGACCCACTGTTGACTTCCACCCCTGTCGATCTGGCAGGGTGTTTGCTGCGCTTCTGATCCAGTGAGGCGCCCACTGCTGCTCCCGATTGGGCTAGAGGCTCACTGTTGTTCCTGCACAGCTAAGTGCCCGGATTCGTTCTAATCAAGCTGAATACTACTCGCTGGGTTCCATGGTTCTCTGCCCTGACCCATGGCTTCTAATAGAGCTATAACACTCACCGCATGGCCCAAGGTTCCATTCCTTGGAATCCGTGAGGCCAAGAACCCCAGGTCAGAGAACAAAAGGCTTGCCGCCATCTTGGGAGCGGCCTGCCGCCATCTTGGGAGCTCTAAAATCAAAGACCAGCCTGTAACACCAGCATTCCCAGCCTGACAAAGATCCCAGGTCCAGACTGGACACCCACCCTTAGAGCCTCCAGACCAGAAGAGGCCACGTGCTTAAGATGGCTGATGTATCTGCAGAGAGAAGAAGGGCCTCCCCGGGGCTTTGGTGCAACAAAAGAACTGAGAGAAGAACTTTTATCTGAAGAATGTGAGTTTTTTAAAATTATCAGGCCAAAAGGGACATTAAAATGAGAGAGCAATCACCTCTGGCGTTCCCCTTGAGCTACGTGTTCACCCCTTGAAACTTCTTGCTGTTGCCACGATAAAGGGGACCAGCTCCTCCACGTGGACCTGTGGGTGTTTCTCATCAGGTGGAACAAGAGACTGAGAAAAGAAATAAGAGACAGAGACAAAGTATAGAGAAAGAAAAGCGGGCCCAGGGGACCGGCGCACAGCATACGGAGGACCCGCACCAGCACTGGTCTCTGAGTTCCCTCAGTATTTATTGATCATTATCTCTACCATCTTGGAGAGGGGGATGCGGCAGGACAATAGGGTAATAGTGGGGAGACGGTCAGCAGGAAAACATGTGAACAAAGGTCTCTGTGTCAGAAACAAGGTTAAGAAAGGTGCTGTGCCTTGATGTGCACATACATAAACATCTCGGTGCATTAAAGAGCAGTATTGCCACCAGCATGTCTCACCTCCAGCCGTAAGGTGGTTTTCTCCTATCTCAGTAAATGGAACTTACAATCGGGTTTTACACTGAGACATTCCATTGCCCAGGGACGAGCAGGAGACAGATGCCTTCCTCTTATCTCAACTGCAAAGAGGCCTTCCTCTTTTACTAATCCTCCTCAGCACAGACCCTTTACGGGTGTCGGGCTGGGGGACGGTCAGGTCTTTCCCTTCCCACGAGGCCATATCTCAGGCTATCACATGGGGAGAAACCTTGGACAATACCTGGCTTTCCTAGGCAGAGGTCCCTGCGGCCTTCCTCAGTGTACTGTGTCCCTGGGTACTTGAGATTAGTGAGTGGTGATGACTTTTAACAAGCATACTGCCTTCAAGCACTTGTTTAACAAAGCACATCCTGCATAGCCCTAAATCCATTAAACCTTGAGTCAACACAGCACATGCCTCTGCGAGCACAGGGTTGGCGCTAGGGTTACAGATTAACAGCATCTCAAGGCAGAAGAATTTTTCTTAGTACAGAACGAAATGGAGTCTCTTATGTCTACTTCTTTCTACACAGACACAGTAACAGTCTGATCTCTCTTTCTTTTTCCCCACACCACGAGTAGTTGTAAATTAGCCTAATAATACCATGCCAGACACTGCAACCACGTGCTATAGCTTCACAATATATAGCAAATCACTAATCCGTGTTATTTCTATAATCCAGTGAGAATTCCTAACAAACAGCTTTTATCAGCCACTTCCTGTCCCTCTTTTTTCCTTTAAAAACCCACTAGTAACTGCTGCTCATTGAAATGCATATTCGGGGCAACTTGAATCTATACTCCAGTATAGCAGTCCTCAAGCTTGGCCCAAATAAACGGTCTTCTTATGTGTGTTTTGCCTTTTAGGTTGATCCAACTATGGGGACTTGGCCATAAAAATGACTTGAAACACACAAATGTCTGAGGTTAGGTTTTTTTTTTTTTTTTTTTTTTTTAAACCAGTGCAGCAGGATGGAGTTGAATGGCAAAATTAGAGTGATTTCATAAAGCAAAATATGTCAGATTTTTTTGCTCTCCTGAGTACATGGTTCACACCCTATTGTTAGGAATAACGCTCAAAATCCTAAAGAAATTGAACACTCGAACAAAGGATTCTTAGCAAAGCAATTTTACCTCCGTGCAGAGGGGTGCCTCCTTGGCCAGTTGCCATGGCAGCACACCTGAACAAAGGGCACGAGAGCCTTTATTCCTGATGCAAGTCCTGCCCCTGTACCCTTTCCCCACTGGCCAGGGTCCGGTCATACAATCTAAACTAATCCCAGTTGGCTAAACATTTGAATTTTTTTTAGATAAGATGGGCACATAAAAGAAAGTGGAGAGGAAGGGGAAGGGGTGTCTGTAATGAACTAGAAAGTTAGTCCTCTTTCCAAATAAGGAAAGGAATGTGAGCTGGTACTGATAACGCCTGGTACTGTGGCGTGCCTGGGCATCTAACAAAGGCAAAAAGGAAAAAAGGTTGGGGGAGGGGTACTATGAATTAAAGAATAAAAGATTGATCAGATTATTTGAAGAGAAACCTCATCATGAGGCACCGTCTTGACGGCAGCACCTTACGTGTGCCAGTCCAGCATCACACTGTAGCCTGGAAAAAAACTGAGGCAGGGCTTATACAATGAATAATTCATTTGAGCCAAATTTAAATGCTATCGCCTGGGAAATACTTCCAAGTTAACTTGGGAAGTGTTCCAGAGAACAAAAGAGAGGCTGAGGCTTTGGAAACAAAAAAATATATGACAAATCAGGAGAGGGCTCAATTACAAAAGTTGTTTTTCAGCCATTCCAGTTGGTGTGATCATCTCTAGAGCAGTCTCGGAAGTCAGGGTATTGCTTGTCAGTGAAAAAGGCGGTCTGTAGTCAGGGACCTCCTAGCTCAGCAGAAGGCAGGCAGCTGGAGTTCTGGCCGTCATGCATTCTTCCCTTAAGGCATGCCTGTGGCTCAGCTGAAATGGCCTTCCTGCTCCATTTTAGGTGCCTTTACCAAACCACTGTCATTTTCCTTCCTCCACACTTTTGTTCACAGAGCACCTTGAGATAGCTCAGTTGATCCTCCATTATTGATCTCAAAGATTAAGGGGCCTGTTGAAACTCATTTGAGATTCACACAGTGATGTGCTGGTGTATGTGTAACAACCAGCTCTCCAAAAACAATTGTATATACATATATATGCATACATTCATTGTAAAACATTTTTGATATGAGGAATGTATGCCACACTACTTACAAATAATAATAAAGTAGACAATACTCTTAGTTGTAAATTCCATATTGCCATTTGATTCTCAAAGAACGCTTTTGTTAATTCTTGACAAATTATTGTTTCTGTAGCCAACCTATGGGTACAATTGACAAATAAGAATAGTTCCAATATAAATGATAGTTGATATTTTCCTTTAAAGAAAAACAATGCATACATATGTCACAACTTTACTCATCCATCCATAACATGAGCAACTTTTTTGCTGAATCGGATAATGGTTTTTAAATTTTGAAAGAATATTCAAAATAGCAGAATCTGAAAGCATCCCAGACCACAAATTTGCCCTCTTTAGAGTAATTTTCAACACTTAGAATGCAGATACAGATCACGCTTCATATAAACCACAACAGTTTATCTGGTTTGTCAGTGTGCAGATGAGAACCACAACTATTGTTTTCCAAAGAAGAGGGCTTCCAGACGTTCATGATGAGGGCTGCTAATTCACCCTAGTGTGTAACCTATGCAAGACCTCAGAAAGGGTGAGACAATACTGAATCGGTGAAATGTCACCTCTTCTGACCAGAATTGTGGCTCTGTGCAGAAATCAAGCTGGAGGGTGGGTTTATCTTCAAATCAACTCATTTCCTGGCGGCAGTTAGTGACGGTAAGGACACAGAAGAAAGATGGGTTTAATGGGTATACTAATTTCAGATTTATTTCTGCTGATTTTGCAAAGCTATGTTTTGTTTTGTTTTGTTTTTTATTTTTTGAGATAACCTCTTCTCTGTGGGAAGAGAAGTTTCGCATTCTGTTTGGCACAGCAGCAACTGCCCCAGGATACTGCAAATTCCTGAAACCAAAGCTGGAACCAGTTCAGAAGGAACAGGGACCTTGAAGGTATGGATAAGGTGATGGGGCACAGCGCTGACGTGCTTAACTAGTGGGGATTCGTGGGGTTGGATATCTGGATTTTTAAGAAGTTTCCAAGGGGATTCAAATGTATATCCAAGGATAATAATCTCGTCCGTGTGTTTAAAATCACAGGCTTTAAAGACAGACAGGCCTGAATTTGGTTACATCTTGGCCTCACAATAGAAAAGTGATTTAGGGAAATGATGCAATCTCTTCATCCATAACATGGAGTTCATAATAACAGATACTTCACAGAATGATTGATGGAGCAGAGGAAGTACTGTTCATATGATGTCTGGAAGAAAGCAAGCCCCCAAGAAATGATTGTCATTGAGACAGCCAGGTGGGAAGGGGTCCGCAGAGAAACTCCAACCTGCCTGCACACTGGGGTGGAGTTACAGAAGTTCGCACTGTTTGCAGCGGGGAGGAGCCTGGCCCCTCCTCTTCCTGGGTGGAAACTGGGATTCGATCTGCAAGGCAGGAAGCGCACCAGCAGGGACTCCAGCTTTGTGGAGGGTCTCTGTTTCCCATTTTTCCCCTTTTTGTCCAATAAGCTCCTTTTTTCTCACTCTTCAAAGTGTCTGCAAGCCTAATCTCTCATGACCTTGTGACAACAGCCTGGCTCTTAGCTGAACTAAGGAAAAAGTCCTACAACATCGTCATGACCATCACCATTATCATCATTGCTGTTATCACCTTCATCACCATCACCATCATATCAGCAACATGATCATCAACACCATCATCACCACCACCACCACCATCACCATTATCTTCATCATCACCATCATGTCATCATCACCAATCACCATCACCAATATCATCACCATCATCCAACATCATCACCACCACAATGACCGTATGACTTGAAATGGCCAGGGTCCTTCCCTGATTCTCACTGTCCCCTTCTGAAGTCAGGGCTCACACATCAAAAGCTAAAAAAACAAAAACAAAAACAAAAAACAGTTCCTGCTTCCCAAGCCCATTAGATTCAGACATCCTTAATTTGTTGGAGCAGTTGCCTTAACAAAAAGCCATCCATCCACTGGACATCTGCCATAAGCTCACCAGTTTTTGCTTTATGTGTGGAGTGGGAACCAGATTTTATCAGTGCTAACACGGAAGCCGCACCTAGGAGTGATTAAAAGGGAAGTAGGAAATGCAGCCAGACAGCCGCCTGCAGCCCTAGCTGCCCTCCCTTGGAATCTGGGAGAGGTCTGAGTATCAGGTCAGGTCTGAGTTTTATAAATGGGCCTGAAACTGCCCTTGGCTTTGAGGTTCTGACAGGTAACTTGGCCGGGTCTTCTTCTCTTGAGGCCTTGTGTTGGTGAGCCCCCTGCTCCACAGACCTGCCTTAGCCAGGCAGACTTGGCTCCCAGCCTCCCTTTCCACACTACAAATTGAGTTTTAATTGGCAATTCTTATCTATTATTAAGAACAATTACATGAATTCCCAGGAATTTTTTTACCAAGTAGATAAAAATAGATACACCTGGGTTCTTTTTGGGATGGTAAACTTACTTGATGCAGTGCAGCAGATGCGGCCATGCTGATTGGCAAGGCAGAGGCCAGGCCTTTGTGGGATGCACAGCACAGAGACGGTATTTCTCCTGCCCCTTCGTTCTTTACCAGGATGCCTTTTGGAGTGCATTCCAGCGGGGAGGCTAGGTCTGGGGCTCACTTCCGGCCTCCATCTGAGAGCCGGGAGACCGGGGCAGGTGTTGGGATGGCCAGTCCAAAGAGGGTCCTGGGCCTGACAGCTGATTAAACACCCACGTGGGTGACAGCAAGAATAGGGGACCCTGTACTCTTCTCAGCATGTCTCTCACTGCGTGACCTGGAGCACATGACCTTACCTCTCTGCCTCTATTTATCCACTGGAAAATGAGGAGCTTGTCCCAGACCAGTGGTTCCTCAAACTGTGTTCTTTGAACCCTGGGGGCTGTGAATGGGACTTGCAGGGGCTGCTTATGGAGGAAGTTCAGCACAGCAGGGGTCCCTGGGCCCCCACATGCCTTCAAGCCAAACAGAGCTGCTCCACTCAGATCTGCTTTGTTTACGAGGAGTCTATATCAACCTGAAAAATAAACTTCTGCGGCTAACAGAGTTGTTGTGCTGGGGCATCTCTCACCCCTTCCCTGAGAACTCACTAGGTTCCTACCATATGCCAGGCACCATGCTAGGCACTGGGGCCACAGAGGACAGACCAACCCGGTCCCTTCCCTCCTGGGCTTGGAGTCCAGTGGAGAAAGACGGACAATCTGTAAACAAACAAATAAGATGAATAATGGTGGGACTGAGTGCAAGTGGAGAATTAAAACAACGTGGTAGACACTTAAGCAGAACTCTGAGATGGTCCTTAGTGGGTGAGGAGCAGAGGGGCAGTGTTATGGTTGGCCATGGGATGAGGGAGAGTCCCACAGCTGAGGTCCAGCCACCAGTGTCCCTGTGTCTCAGAGCGGCCATCTCTGGGCAAATGCAGGGGCCTCTACATTCGAGTCCGGAAGGTCCCTGGGGAGCGGGCCACAGTGAGCATTGAACCATAGTCTTCACCCCACCACTGGAAGTGTGTTGAGTCAGCATGGGCTCAACTCAACCCCACACAGACCAGCTTCCACCACTGGCTCGCAGGGGCACCTCATGCAGGTCACTGTTCTCCCTGCATTCACAAAGAGGACACCGCTAGGCAGGGTTGCACGTGGGAAGAGGCCAAGAACAGGGCCTGGCCCACAGTGGGGCCACATAATTG
This sequence comes from Homo sapiens, assembly GCF_000001405.40. NCBI lineage: Eukaryota > Metazoa > Chordata > Mammalia > Primates > Hominidae > Homo > Homo sapiens. The sequence continues at coordinate 110,320,705 of NC_000002.12, forward strand.
CTCGCCTGCAGCCCTAGCTGCCCTCCCTTGGAATCTGGGAGAGGTCTGAGTATCAGGTCAGGTCTGAGTTTCAGAAACGGGCCTGAAACCGCCCCTGGCTTTGAGGTTCTGACAGGTAACTTGGCCGGGATACAGGTGTTCATCATTGCTTCCTGGGGGCTAGTCCGGGACCTTTAAGTCAAGCCCTTAGGGACATGAGTCAGACTTTGGCATCTCTGCCTCCCCCTCACAGCCCCTCTATTCTGCAGGCAAACAGCAGGTGCCCAATAAATGCCCAGGGCATTGAAAGGTGAATGAGTAATGATGCTGAGTGTGCCTGTGCAGGCGGGCCCCACTCAGAGGACTCCTCCTTTAGCCCTCCCACAGTCTAGCAGGTGGGCTGTCCCAGCACCGCTGCTTGCCAGGCAAGGAAATTGAGACAGCAAAACAGTAAGTTATTTCCCAGACCCCATAGCCGGCAAGTTCCCAGGGGACTGGAGCCTGGCAGTCTGGCTCTTCTGGAAGGACAGGGCAGGAGAGCAGAACACAGAACACGTCTCCCCTCTCTCTTCTGATGCTCTCAGGGAGGTCACATTTCCCTGGGGCCCTGGGAGAATCCTGGGTCAGATTACAGCAGCACAGGTCACCTGCTCCAGCCCAGACAGGCCCAGGATCTGGCCCATCCACTGGCCCGGCCCTTCCTGGCCACCACTGTAGCATGTCACAGCCTGGGCTCTGGGTGGGCCTGGTCCCTCTCCTGGTTGCCGCCACTGCAGGTGAGTCAACAGCGAGACAACACAGTAACACCCTGCACAGGGCCTAGAGCCTACACCTGCGTTCTGTCAGCCTCATCAGCTCTATGCAGTGAGGACGCAAGGCTGAGAGAGGTAAATTGCTTGGCTGAGGGCATGCCTCCAGTAAGGATCAGGTCCAGGTAGGAAACCAAGACATAGCCTTCACTGCTGCTGGGGAGGTGCCTGAGGATGGGGCGGGAGGGGGCACATGCTCACCAGCCTCCCCTTTCTGGGTTTCTCTGACCCACCCTCTGTTCCTCGTCTTCAGGCTTCAGCTCTCATCCCTGACCCAAGGGAGGCATTTCCCACACAGCTTTCCTCCCTTCCGGGGCTCTCAGGGATGGCGCCCTCCCTCCACCCACTCTGAACCTTTTCTGGAGCCCCTGAATCCCATGCAGCCTCAAGAGGTTCCTGATGCCCTAATGGATGTTAGCTTTTCTCTGTGAATTGTCTGTCTCCTTTCCTTGGGAGGGAGCAAGGCTGGGCTTCACATGACACAAGTACTAGGATTTTGCTTTGTCAAAGGAATGCATATGATTTATGTGTGTGTGTGTGTGTGTGTGTGTATATATATATATATAGTATTTTCCACTTATTGCCTATAATTCAGAGGTAGATATCGTGTCCCAATTTTGCAAGTGATAAATCAGTCTGAGAGAAGTTGCTAACTTGCCCAAGGTCACACTGCAAGTGGGTGGTAGAGCTGGGATTTCAGCCAGATCTGTCTGTCTGTCCCCAAAGCCTGCGGCTTCCCCACTGGAACCTGGAGCCTCTCAAGGCCTCCAGAAGGATTTGCTGAGCAGTTTCAAGATAAAGCTCAGTCAGCCCTCGCTTGGTCTTCAGTCCCGAAGGAGGCCACAAGCTGCCTTCGTGCCCAGCACAGGTTTGGTTTGCGTGAGTGGCTGAGGATGAGGCAGGAGCCCACACCAAGCTTCCTGACTTGCCAAGGCCACAGACAGGGGCTTGGATGCACTGCACCCGCACCCAGGCCAGCCCTCCCTCCAGGGCTTCAGGGTAGCTTTGTGAGGTCACTCAACTGCTTTGGGTCTCAGCCTCCCCAGCTGTAAATGAGAGTGTTTCTGTGCCAGGAGATGAAATGTCAGCTCCACTATTCTATGATGTTGATTGCAAGGCGCCCTGAGCTCCTGGAAACTCTAGGAGGTGATGATGATAACTGAGCCCCTGTGGCTTCCTCCCAGCTTAGGTTACCAGGCTCCTGGGCCTCACAGCCAGCCTGTGGCCTGTGTTACATGACCTCTCTGCTTTTCTCTCCCTGCAATTCATGCCAGCTGTGTCCTGAGCAGCCGACCTCGGCACCAGCCACCACGTCCCGTGTCCTCAGCGCAGGCTTGCTGTTACAGCTGTCACGAATTGCAGTGTTGGGCTGAAGTCACACCAATGGAGATGGCCAGCTCAGAGGGGCCATCTGCAGAGATGAACGGGAAGCAGGGCTCTCATACAGGCTCTTCACTCTTTGCAGGAACGGCTATCCCCTTCCCCCAAGGTGGAGCTGACAGCCACTGCCTGTGCCTTGTTGTCTGCCCGGCAGGCCAGCACTCCATGGCTGGGAGCAACCTGCAGTGCCCCCTGGGCTTTTAGTAAGGAGCAGACATCCCGGTGTTCCAGGAAGATAGGAGGGGAGGGAGGGAAGGGCAACACTGCCTAGGCAGGTTCGTTCCACAATGGACCTGAGTGCAAAGGGCTCCCAGGGGGATGAACACTGCCTGGAGATGCGTGCCAGGAGTCTGGTGCCCAGAGCCACCAGGGCCCACCCCAGGATATAGCCCCTGAGACTTTTGACCTTGATGGAGGGTGGGTGCTATGCCAGAAGTGAGCTGTGGCCTGGCTCTGCCTCTCACCTGTCCTGTGACCTGGGCGACTCCTCACCTGGGAAGTGGGGCTGGCGGTCAGAGGTGCCGCTTCCAAAGGACATTCTCTCCCCACTCACCATCAGCAGTTCCTGCTGCTGTGGCCTCCACCCTTGGACCAGATGAAGGAGTTCATCCCTCTGCCCATGACCCCACTGCTCCGACCCCTCCACCTGGGCCCCCATGGTGAGTCCAGATTGATCACACTGGTCTGGAGCCTGCACTGACACCCCAAGGTCTGTGTGGAAAGACCCTGTCCTCAGGCCTTTCGGCATTGACACCAGCTCTGAGTCATCCAGTTGGGGACACCCTTCTTTCTCCATCTCAGCCCATCCAGTTGGGACAGGCAAACATTCAGCCAGGCAGTGGGGCAGGCAACTGTACATGCCGGTTTATGTGACGGGCCTCCATGCCATCTTTGCTGCCCTGGCTGGGCACCTCCTCGGCACACAAGGCTTCTCCTCAGCCACTTTGTTTTCTCTGGTCTCTGCAGCTGCTGGAATGGAGTGATGGCTTTGTGGCTGGGCCCCAACAGCACCTGCAGTCGGCTCCCAGAACTCACAGACAGCGAGGACTGCCAGGTGACCCCAGTGGGAGGGCAGCTCTGTCTCAACCATTCTTTGCTGGGGAGAGAAGCAAGGAGGTTATGGGGAAGTCCCCAGAAGAGGCTAAATCTCTGGGGATCAGAACTAAGCCTCATTCTCCATGCCTCATTTATGAGGTATGCATGAGGTGTCCATGCTGTCCTTGGGGAGCAGTCAACACCTCCTGCCCATTCTGACCTTGTACCGCGGGACTTGCCTAACCTGGAAATGAGCTTAACCCACCTCCAGGGCTGCTGTGGGGATGGAATGGGAAGATGCACAGGGAAGTGTGAAGAGGCTCAGAGCGACCATGCCCACACAACACTCAGGAGAGAAGCCATGGAGATGTGGGGTGCACAGTGATATGCACACTCGTGGCAGCCGCCTCGTGACCCAGCCATTCCCACACATGCCATGTGTTGCCAGGTGCCCCGTGTGTGCAGTACAGGTGCAGAGGAGGACGAGGCAGGCCCCCTGGGAGCTGGCTATGCCCCTGCGGTGTCCTAGAACAGCTGCAACTGTTGGGACTGCAGAGCCACAGAGAGTTGGAGGAGAAGGTGAGAGCCTTTCCTTAGCCCCAAAGCTCCACAGACCACGTGGACTAATTCCTGCTCACTTCCATGTGCAGGGAATTTTCTTTTTCAGAGGAAGTTGGAGGGACAGAGAGCTTGGGGGATCCACAAAGAGTCTCGGCAGAGTGAACACCTAAGCTGAGGCCCTGACTCAGCTATGTGCAGGTTTGGGTATCAGTCACCATCCCGCTGCCTTCTCACCCCGGGCCCTGTTGTCCCTCAGCAGTGCCCACCTGAACAGGAGCCAGGCCCACAGTGCTCCAGCTGCATTTTGTGCTCTCTGCACTACTTCACAGGCAGAAGCCCCAGCTGCCAGCACTGCCCTGCCCCTCAGGTAGGTGTGACTGGGCTTCCCCAATGACATTCGGGAGGCACCAGACCCTGGAGTGAGCTGGGAGGGTCCTTGGGTCTCCTGTGTTTGGACTAGCCTGTCCATACCCCAGGAGCCCAGGTGGCCTCTGAGGGGTAGAGCCCAGCTAGCCCTGGGCCCAAACACACAAAGAACTATCAACACAGGAAGTGGCACAAATGAAATGAGATGATGCAGAAGAAAGAAGTATGCAGAGTGTTGGGGAACGGGGCATTGGAGGATGGCTGGAGTCCTGTTCTGCTCCTGGCTAGGGTGTAATCTTGGCAGACTGTTGCAGTTCTCAGTGTACAGGTCCTGTTAAATTTATCCCCAAGTAGTTCATGTTTCTGGATGATGTTGTAAGTGGAACTGTATTTTTTATTTCCATTTCCAGTTGTTCATTGCTGGTAGTGATTTGTGTGTATTGACCTTGTATCCCTCAACCTTGCTTACTTCATTTATTTGTTATGGTAGTTTTTGTGTAGATTTTTAAGGGTCTTCTCTGCCGGTAATCATGTTATCTGTGAATAAAGATGATTTAAATTCTACTTTTCCCTTTTTTTTTTTTTTTTTTTTTTTTGAGACGGAGTTTCACTCTTGTCGCCCAGGCTAGAGTGCAATGGTGCAATCCCAGCTCACCGCACCGCAACCTCTGCTTCCCAAGTTCAAGCGATTCTCCTGCCTCAGCTTCCTGAGTAGCTGGGATTACAGGCATGCGCCACCATGTTTGGCTAATTTTGTATTTTTAGTAGAGATGGGGCTTCTCCATGTAGTCAGGCTGGTCCCGAACTCCTGACCTCAGGTGATTTGCCCACCTCAGCCTCCCAAAGTCTTGGGATTACAGGCGTGAGCCACCACGCCTGACCAACTTCTACTTTTTCAATCCATTCACATTTTGTTACTTTTCCTTGCCTTATTATACTGTCTAGGGACTCCACTACTGTTTTGAATAGAAATGAACATCCTTGGCTTCTTCCTGATCTTAGGGAAAAAGCATTCAGTCTCTAATCACAACGTTGCTGTTAGCTGTAGTTTACGGGTGCCTTTAATCAGGTTGAGGACATTCTCTTCTATTTCTTGCTGAGTTTTATCAGGGATAGATATTTAATTTTGTCCTGTGTTTTCCTGAACCTATAGGGGTAAGCATATGGATTTTCTCTCCTTTGCTCTGATAAGATGGTGAGTATCATTGTTTTTTGGATGTTAAACCAATCTTGCATTCCTGGACTTCATGTGGTTATGATGTTATCATTTTTACATATCATTGAATTTGATTTGCTAACATTTTTGTAAGTTTCTTTTAATCTTATGTGTATGAGAGATATTGTTCTGTAGTTTTTTCTAGTCTCTTTGGTATCAAAGCAACACTGGCTCAACTAATTTTCCCAGGAAATTAGTTGCAAAGTAGTCCCTGCTCTTCTCTTTTTCTGGAGGAGTTCATGTCTGTCTGGTATGAGTTCTCTCTTGAGTATTGTATAGAGCTTAGTAAAGCCATAGGGCTTAGAGATTTCTTGGTGCAAAGATCTTTACGAATTAAATGTCTTTGACACGTTTAAGGCTATTCAGATTTTCTATTTCTTCTTGCAACAGTTTGGGAATTTGTGTCTTTCAAGGAATCTGTTCATTTTCTGTTAGGTATAAGGTTGATTGTCAGAGAGTGGTTCAGGCCACATGTTTACTGCCCTTTCAGTGTGTCATCTGCAGTGAGAGCTCTTTTTCATACCTGATATTGGTACATTTTTTTCTCTTTTTCTCTTTATTAGTCTAGTTAGGGCTTTATCAATGTTATTTATCTTTTCAAAGAACTAGCTTTTGGTTTTATTGATTGTCCTTATTGATTTTTCTGTTTTATTAATCCTGATTTACATTTGCTCTCCTCTTTTCAGCTTCCCAAGGTGAAAGTAGATAGCTGATTTTACATCTTCTTTGTTTTCTGATTAGACATTGAATCCTGTAAATTTGAATCTATGCACTGCTTTAGTTATATCCCACACACTTTATGATGGTGTGTTTCTATTATTACCCTTTGAGTTAAAATGCTTCTAATTTCCCTGTGATTTTTTGTCTAATGGATTGTTTTAGTGTGTGTTGTTTAATTTCTAAGTGTTTGGGGCTTTTCTGGGTGTCTTTGATTTCTAACTGAACTCTATTATGATCAGAAAACATACTCTCTAATATTTCAATCTCTTGAAATTTATCAAGACTTTCCTTATGGCAAACTGTGTGAGTTTGGAAGGTATTTAACTCTCCTCAGGCCTCCCTTTCCTTATCTCTAAAGTGGAATTGATCATAACAGTGCCTGAATGCTTCTATTAGGTGAAGTCCTACATAGAAAGCTCAAAGTCAACACTCAGTAAATGGTAGCTACTGCAGTTAGAGCCAGACTGGTTAGTAGCTACCAATTTAAATGCAGAGCTCCCAGTTGGGGCTGGACCTCTGCGTCTAAAGAAAATAACAGGCATGGAACACCTCACCTCGGAGACAAGAGCTTTGTCATTTCTCATAGGTAAGGAGCCCCTTGGCCGACCCTGCAGCCCCCAACACATGCAGCCCCTGTTCTTCCCACCTCTCCAGCTCCTGAGTGTTCCACGGCCCCACCGTTGCCTGTGTTCTTAGAAGTGGGTGCAGGTAACCCAGACAGCAGCAAGCTGGGGAGAGGCCAGGTTGGGTCAGTCTTCATTCCCAACCCACAGATGACAGGCAGGAAAGATGAGTGGTCGCCTCACCAGCCACCGTGGATGTGAAGTAAGCACCTTCTCAGGGAGGATTTTGGGCATCCCAGCCCACCCAGAGGTGCACAGACGACAGCATTGCTGTGCAGAGCTGGGTGTGCAGTGACAAGGACCATGGGGGACACTGAAGCCTGTGGGAGGCGATGTTATGGAGAAAATGCGGACACCTGAGACTGCCGGGTTCTAATAACCAGGGCTCCCCAGGCTCAGAGGGGTGGCTGGAAGAGAGGAGCCCAGGAGCTGGGCATCAGCAGTGCTGCTGAATGCCAGGAAAGTCACACTCAGGGGTGCAGCCAGGGTCTGGCAGGCCCCAGCCCTAGGAATTCCATGTTCTCTGGGCTCAGCTAGGAAAATCAGGACCCGTACAAGTTTAAAGGCAGCCTGGATTATTCAACTTAGAGTTTTAGCCAAGACAGAGGAACGATGTGGCTGGAAATCACTAGCTCTGAGGATGTGAGCCATGGAGAAAATCCTTCCAGATCCTGAGGATTAGGAAGGGTGGGGGAGGGGAAGGGCATCTCAAAACATTCGTTATTTTCATTATTGTTAACTTTAAGACTGTGTAGGATCCCCCCCAACACCCCCACAAAGGCAAAAGATTTACCTCCTCAGTTTTGTTCAGGGTGGAAATGAAATGTGTCATTCATTCCCAGTGCTCTGGCCACAGGGCAGCAGCGGCGAAGGCACGGAGGGGAGCCCAGCACAGGAGGGCAGGAGGGAAGCGGCTCAGACACCATGTGATCAAGGTTCTCTCATCAACTCACCTCCACTTCTGCAAGGCATTACCGCCCCCACCTTGAGGCCCTCGGCTTTCCCTTTGCCCACCCACTCTGGTGTGTGTTGGGGACAGGCCAGGTGCCAGGGCTGGGAGGGGGCCCCTGGAGAGGAGGGGGCATGGGCTACAGAGCTGCTCCATGGGAAAGAACAGGCCCTGGTGCTGCTTTGCCTGTCAATAAGAAGTGGGGGCCTCAGCTAAGTGTCTGGTGGTCTTGCAGGGGACCACAGGTTACACTGCAGTGACAAGGAGGGGCTGAAGGGGCAGAAGGGGAAGAGAGGCAGAGCTGACAGGGGTCCCAGCATCCTTCCGGCCCTCTGTGCACCCCCACTTCTGTCTCATGTGCCAGGCCCTGGGGCAGCGCTGAGGGTCCAGGTGCTCCCCATCCAGGGGAGAGGCAGACGCCAGAGCTTCCCTAAAGCTGCGACCTGGGAAGTATTGAATCAGGGTGGAGACAGGGCCCTTGAGGCTCAGACGAGGCACCCCTGAGAGTCTGTCTGCTCAGGGAGGAGCCCAGGAGGCTTCTTCCAGGCTGGGAGAGCTCCCCACAGAGGAAGCAGCACTGTGCAGAAGCAGAGAGTAGAGCCTGTGCTGCTCTACCCTGCTCCCTGGCAGTGATGGCACATGGGCCCGGGGTGAGACCCAGCCTCACCCTGCATGGTGCAGACCCCCCAGAAGCCACTCCAGGTGCCAGGCTTCCAGCTCACCCTCCACAGCCAGCAGACTCCCCAGGGGATGAGGACCCCAAGCCCTGGTGGGACCCACCCCATGAGGCCCCCCTCACAGGCTACTTCCACCCATATGGTGCTGCCTTTGTGCCACGCCATGCCGGAAACTTCAAGGACAGGAGAGAGGTGCCCCACCAGGACACCAGCTTCTGCTCAGCAGGTCAGTTCTGGATTCTGCCTTCTGCTTGCAAGACAGGAAGAGTGGCCTTGACTCTGACCTTGCTGATTGGTGCTTATCAAACGCTAACAGAAGCTGATGTTAAGGGACTGACAGCAGCCCGGGCAGCGAGTCCAGGTACCAGTCAACGGGTGAGCCCCAGGAAAGCCACACCCGGGGTGCAGCCAGGCCTCATCAGGCTCCAGCTCTGGGAACTCCATGTTCTCTGGGTTCAGCTGGGGAAATCAGGACCTGTATAGAAAGTTCCAAGGCAGCCTGGATTGTTCAACCCAGAGCTGCCAGTAAAGACAGAGGGTTGACGGGACTGGGAATCACCAGTGCTGAGGACAGGAGAAAAAGAAATGAGAAGTTTTAAAGTAAAAAGTGAGAGTGTCAGTAGGTACATAGGAGGCCTTTCTTGGGAGCGGACAAAAGACTGGGCCTAGAAAATGCCAGGCCAGGGATGGCCCAGATCTGCTATGCACAGGCTGTGTGATATCAGCAAGGTGCTTCACCTCTCTGAGCCTCATCTTTACACTAGAGGCAGTGATACCCCTTTCCTGGTAACCAGGGATGGTGGCAGCTCCTGCACTCCCAGGCCCATGGGAGGGTCAGGTGTGGCCAAGGCCTGTAGAGCTTTGGTTGCTTTTCTTGTCACTGCTTCCCTTGAGAGAGAAAACTGCTGTCTCCCCAGTTCTCAGCCTGTGTCTTCGGTGCCCTGCGGGACACTTCTGCCCCAACAGAGCCACCCGCCCCATCCCATGCCAGCCGGGTACATTTGGCCCCCGCTTAGGCCAGGATGAAGCCACAGACTGCACCCCTTGCCCAGCAGGCAGGGCCTGTACCCAGGCTGGGCTGACACACCCCGACGCAGCGTGCTCACCGGGGTAAGTGCCCGCCATTTCTCAATGATGAGTGTCCCGATGGGGGCCAGAGCCATCCCCCTAACACCCTTAGAGAATCAGTCCCAGGTCAAGGCCAGACTTCTCCCAGCCTCTGACCCTCTCAGGGTTCGGAGAGGGCTGCGCCTTCAGATCAAAGCTCTGTCTCAGCCAGCCCAGGGCTCCAGGACTTGCCCCCGAGCACCGAGGCCCAGCACTGTCTCAGGTCCATCCATGCTCAGGAGGCGTCTAGGGAGCTGTCTTCCTGGCTTTGTCCATGGAGAAAGTAGCTCAGAGAGGCCAGGTTACCATGCAGACTCACAGAGCAGGCCAGGGGCACGGCGGGATCTGGCCATGACTCTCCAAGATGCCGGGCTCTGCGTGGTGGGCACCAGGTGCCAACTCCCCTGCTGCTGTAGGTACGTGTGCCCTTCAGGCTCCTCCAGTCCCCACGCTCCCTCCCATGCCTGCCCTCCTGGGACCTTTAGCAACCGCAATGACCTCTCCCACCCATCGCAGTGTGAGGTCTGCCCCGAGGGACTAGCCTGTCCTGGGGGTAAGTGAGGAGGGGGACAGTGGCCTCACCACCTCAGGACCCTGCCTTTGGGTGAAAAACCAGTTCCACCCCGGGACAGGGAGGCCAGGACAATAGACCCTGACCCATAGCCCCTTTGTTCCTCACAAAGAGCATTGCCCACCCCTCCATGGGGAGCCCAAAGGATTGGGCAATTAAAAGCAGCCTGAGTCCCGACCCTGCTGCCTCGGGTACGGTGGCCTTGGAGGTTGTTAATCCAGATACCCCCTGCCCCGAGGCAAGGCCCCAGCCCGTGTCTCTGACGCCTGCCAGGGGTTGTGGCTGGAGAGGGGCAGCAGCCCTTCAGGTCTAGTTCAGTACTGTGTTTGCAGGAACCGGGGGCCCAGACTGGCCCCCCATCCCCTGCTCAGCTGGCCATTATTGCCCTCCCGGCACCAAAAAGCCAACCCAGTTCCAGTGTCCTCCCGGCATCTGGAGTAACCAGACTGGATTGACCATGAGCGAGGAGTGTATGCCCTGCCCCAGGGGCTGGTTCTGTGTCAGTGGAGCTCAGGTGCCCTCAGGGACATGCAGGGCCGGGCATTACTGCCCATGAGGTGAGTGGGGCCAGACTCTGCCCTGGCAAGGTTGCAGGCAAGTGCCAGGAGAGGGTGCCATGGGCTGGCCTGTGCACCTCCTCTGGAGCAGATGCAGCAGGAGAAGCCTGGTGTGCAACGGGAGAGGGGAAGCTTCCATTTCAGGACCACCTTCCTGAGAGGAGGGCTGGGAGGAGCAGGAAACTCGGGGAGGCTGTGGGGACAGAAGCCACCAGCAGGCTGGGGGCTGGAAGGGATTGATAAGCCTCAGAGCCTCCTAAATGGGGGTTCCCAGGTGTCTCAGCCCAAAGCACAGCTTCCTAAAGACTGTGTCCTGGAGAGTGACACCCCCTCCCCCTGCCCCATCCCCAGTGGCCTCCCCTGGGAACTGTCTCCAGGCAGCAGGTGAGGAGCTGGTGTGCCAGTGATGACACAGGTCCGACCCCTCTTTCTTCCTCTGAACCCCTCTTCTCTCTGAAACAGGGGCGAAGTGGAGGACACAGTTCCCCTGCCCAGCAGGCACCTGCAGCTCCCAGGCAGGCAACGGCCAGCTCGAGGACTGTCTGCCCTACCCCCCGGGGCCTTCTGCCCCAGTGGGGTCCCTGAGCCGGAGCTCTGCCAACGGTAAGGAGGCCGCATGTGTGGTTGTTATTGAGGCCAAATCGCCACGTTCATTGTGTGCCTGCTGGAGCCCAGCACTGGACACTGGTACCAAGGGAGAGGAGGGCCCAGCCTGCCCTCAGGACCTGGCCACCTTGTTGAAACAGGACACACAGGAACAGGATGAGCTGGACCCAGGGCTATAGGTGCCCCAGGTCAGGGGCACCCCTACAGCCAGGAAGTTGAACAAGAGAGAATCACTCTGGGTTACAGTCAGTGGAGAAGCCATCAGCTTGTGGTGACTCGATTCAGCCTCAAAAGATGGGCAGAGTGCCGGGCATGATGGCTTGTATCTGTACTGACTGGAGTAACTGGCCTGGATTGACCATGAGCGAGGAGTGTGTGCTGAGGCAGGAAGATTACTTGGGGCCAGGAGTTTGAGACCAGCCTGGGCAACATGGTGAAACCCCGTCTCTAAAAAAATATAAGAATTAGCCAGGCATGGTAGCCTGTAGTCCCAGCTACTCAGGAAGCTGAGACGGGAAGATCACTTGAGCCCAAAAGTTCCAGGATGCAGTGAGCTATGATCATGCCATGGTACCCCAGCCTGGGCTACAGAGCAAGACCTCATCTCTAAAATTATAAAAAATTTATTTAAAAGATGAGCAGAGTCCAAGGAGGGATGTGAAGGTATCCCTGCTGAAGCAGCCGCGTACCAGCCCACCATCCTGAAAAAAGAAGCTGTTTCAGAGCTGCCCACTCTAAAGGCCAAACCCCTCCTAAAGCTAATTGCTGCAGAGATCTCAGCAGAGATCATTTGGCCCAAGCTGTGGGATTATCTGTGGATTTTACTGTTTTATTAAAATGTGCCTTTTATTCCTCTGGTCAAAAAGAAAACTTAGGGTTTGTCTTACTAAAAACAAGCAATACACATTCTTCAGGTAAAAAGTGGAAATGACATTGATCAAAACAAATTTCAGATCAAATGCAGATTTTAATTTTAAAAAGCCAAAATCACAAAATCACAAAGCATAAATAGATATTTATAAAACTTGAGAGAATGTGGAAAATCTAAGCCTGGGCAACAAAAGTGAAACTCCGTCTCAAAAAAAAAAAAAAAAAAAAAATGAGCCAACCTCCCTGGCAGCTTACAAGCAAGGGTTTATAGAGGCAGGGGTAAATTTCAGGAGAGAAATTTACCCTTATACAGGCAAAATTGTAAATCAAGACATGAAGTTTACACATTGGCCTAAAAGGGCAGTCTGTCTTGAAGCAGGCACTTCCGCGTCATAGGTGGAGTCAAAGATTCCCCGTTTGGTTAAGGAATTGAAGCTGTGTCTAAACTCTTAGGGTCAGCAGAAAGGGATGTTAAGGTCTGGCCTGCGGGCGTGCCAGGAGCCCCCAGGCAGAAATTTAGAACAAAGCACTGAGGCAGTCAGAGTTCAGTCCTCACTCCCCCCTTATCTGAGGTCTGCCTGCCAGCGGGTCCATTTGCTGGGGGTCCTGGTTTCTGAAAAGCAATCAGGGACATATGCTAAGATGGCATCTTTAGCTTCCAGAGAAAACCAAGCCTCTCGTGGCTCTGACTTCCTTGGCCACTGTTCAAAGCTGCAGTTACCTTCTTGCTTATCGGGCTGCTCATTTACTCCTCAGGGCTAGTGAGGTGCTGGACTTTCCCTTGAAGGAACTCAAGATTTGTCTTTATTTCCATGCTGGGAGGGTCAGGGGTAGCAGGATCCTAAGAGGGGCCCCGGTGCATCTCACAGACAACTTTAGAAAGAAGCACAATTAGCCTGGTTTTTAAATCTCCTGCCCTGCCTTCTCCAGCTGAGGCCACACCCTCAGCCTCCCCTACGGGGCCTCCTAAGGCTCAGGCGGGCTGGGAGTTCTGCCCTTACACTCTGAGGGGAAGCTGGGGGACAGTGGAGGGATCTGGCCTTGGAGAAATGGCGACTTCATGGGTGGGGACTCTTCCCCAGGAAGGCCATGGGCATCCACCTTTAGCTCTCTCCACCCCCTCTAGAGGAACGTACTGCCAAGGTCCAGCAGCCAAGCTGGCTGTGGCCTGTGTGCCTCGCCCTGCCAGTCACCACTGCCCTGAGAGAGGCACCACCACGCCACGACCATGCAGCACTGGCAGCTTCTCTGTAAGTGTTCCCAGAACAGACTCCATCCTCAGAGGGCTCTGAAGAGTGGGGGATCCTAAAATTGGGAGGTGCCTGCCCCAGCCTGCCCCGATGGTGACTCCCCAGAGCTCCGCTCAGGCAAGGGAAACACGCAACTACAGGGAGAATCCTTTGCTCCAATGTGGGCTTGGGAGCTGGGCAGGCCTCCAGGTGCTTCTTCTAGGGCAGAGGGGGCAGGCCTGGGCCCTTGCTCCATGGGCCAGCCTGGCGCCTATTGGGGAAGGGGAAGGGGAAGAAGCAGAGGGAGGGAGATGGGGGAACAGAGTCATTGCCCTGAGCCCACTGGGGTAGGTGTCTGCATTTAGTTCCCTCTACAGGGAGCTATGGGTGATGAAGGCAGCACACTTCCATTTTACCTCCTCTTCCCCCACCACCCAGGTAAGCAATGAGCAGGAGCCTGGGACATTGCATGACATTGGCCTTCCAGACCCAGAGGAGCTATCGGCACCCTCCTCCCCACTGCCTGCCATGTGCACTCAAGTGTCAGGAAGGGGGTGCCATTGCACGAGTCCCTCACTGCTCTGCTAATGCCATCTTTGCAGGCTTCTTCAGTGAAGCTTGGTGATTATTCCAAGAAATGATGTCAAGCTTAGGGAAGCCACAGGTGGCCCTGGGGAGTTGTGCAGTCAAAGAATGTGCAGTTTATTCAGTATCTCGCAGCTTTCCACACAGGGCAACTGTGGCCAGTCACTGCAGCCCAAAGAGCCCAAATTGTGTTTCGGACACAAAATCTTCCCCTCCTTCTCAGGAAGCACCGTCATCGCCCCTTACAGTTACCTGGAGCTCTACCATCTACAGCAAATTGTGTTTCAGACACAATCTTTCCCTCCTTCTCAGGAAGCACCATCATCCCCCCTTTCAGTTACCTGGAGCTCTACCATCTACACAGCACTCACTGTGTCAGCTCAGGGATACCCACACCCCCAGCATAGCTTTCCCCTTCAAGATGAGGAGGGGTCTGCAGATGGCACAGCTGGGAGGCAAACCCAGCAGGGCTCCAGCACCAATACTCACCTGGCATGGCAGCCCCCAACCTTCTGCCCTGAGTCTTCCCAGTGAGCCCAGGCCTCTATGTGGACACCTCGAGAGCGCTGGCAGGCATGGGGAGGTGGCAGGGTGGGTGACCCAGAACCCACAGTATGGCCCACTGTGCAGCCATCGTGACGGCCCTGCCCAGACCACTCATGAGTGCAGCCCTGCAGGGCCACATTGGCCTCTCCTGACTCATGCAGAGGCCTCCCGGAGGATCAGTAGCCCTGAGAAGACAGAAGGAGCCTCCAGCCTGGGCCCTCCTCCTCCGGGCATTGCCAATCCTGCAGCCATGTGCTTGGAGAGCTCCCTGGTTCTGTGGCATCCGCCTTCCTCATAGGGGAGGTACGCACTGAGCCAGGCCTGGCCAGCAGCAGCCCCACATACCTTTCCTCAGTACCTGTCGTGCACCAGGCCCACCTATGCATTCCAGGTGTGGATGGAACCTCGACCTTATTGTCCACACCCCTTTCCAGGGTCCAGGTCATCTCTGGTGCCAGGAGTGCTCAGGAGGAAAACTCTGCAACCAGACAAAGCTGCTTGGCCCTGGGCCATGACGTGTCGCCCTGGGCACTACTGCCCAGCCCAGGGCCTGCTATCCATCCCCTGCCCCATGGTGAGCCTCTCCCCTGGGATCCCCAGCTGGTGTTTCTGGTTCGGCATGGGAAGGCTCTGGAGCCATTGGCCCCATACTGGTGGTTGAGAGGGACAACGTCCCTTCAGCATGACATGGCCATACCCAGCCCCTGCCTCCCCCACCACTCAGATAAGGGCTGGGCTGCTCACATTCCCACGGCTAGTTTCCCTACGGTGCCAGACCAGAAGGTCACGAGGGATGGAGTAACCCAGGCCCAGGGAGCAGGAGGTGGGGAGGAGGAGGGAGGGGGGAGGGAGCTGGGGAGTTAGGTGCAGGTGGTACTCCCCGTGGGGGCAGCCTCCCCTCTGTTTTGCAGCCAGACTTCAATCTATGGAAACCTCAATCCCACACACTAGTGGATGGGTCCTGAGGGCTCTGTCCTTGGTGAGGACAGATTGTCTTCTCCCTGGTTCTGTGTGCCCAAGGAGAGAGGGTGGAGGGCCCTGCTCTGCTTCCTCCCTGGCCCCACTGTGGCTTCCAGAACCTTGACCCTGGTGACATCCCTCTATCTGCCCAGGGCACTTTCCGAAAGGCCCCTGGGGCTGCCCGTGTGGAATACTGCCAGCCATGCCACCTGGGGGCATTCTGTGGCAAAGCTGGCCTGGCTGAGCCCCAGGGCCTGTGCCACCCTGGGCATCACTGCGGGCCTGGCTCCAACACCTCGTCCCTGGTGAGTGCAGGCCCTATCAGGCCTTCCCAGGGCAGGGGTCAGGGACACCACAGGGCAAAGGCCCAGCACCTGCCTGCCCCGTGAGGGGCAGAGTAGCCCTGAGAAGATAGAATGAAATCACTGCAGAGCGGGTAGAACTGCAGCCATTATACATGGCCCGTGAAAACATGTAACCAGTGAGGAAGGGCCCAAGAGGCTAGCATCCAGTACCCACTGCAAAAGGCACCAAATACAAATATGTCTTCAGCCAGGAAAAGGCTCAGTGGGCTGACATTAAGGGCACATGAAGCAATGCCACTTCAGTACCCGACGCATCTACTAACTACTGATAGTAAAGCAAGTGCTGAAGGCCTCATAAGACGTCCGTGTGGGAGAGTCCATGCTCTCATGCTCTCCGCTGCAGCCTGGGCCCAGGGGCTGCTGCAGTCTTGCAATACCTAACGAGAGCCTAGGGCAGCTTGGAATTATTGGAATTGATCCAGTAATTCCAATGTGGGAAAGAATCTGAAATGGGAAAAAAGTCATTTGTGAAAAAACGTTCAAAGCAACAACAAAACACCATAAAGGCCCAATAATAAAAAAAAATCTAGACAGAGATATAGCTTATCAACCTAGAGGGATACTAGGTAAGCATTAATAATTGTTGTAAGTACATCGTTTGATGCATAGATGATTGATAGATGATAGATAATTGATTGATTATTTGAGAAATGATAAATATAGATTGATTAATTGATAGATGATAGTTGCACCTCATCACAATTAAAGCTGTGTGTTGGTGATATTAGCAGAGAGTTGGAATTGGTTAGGTTATTTAACAACTTAACAATCAAAATTTACTTTCTTTTTCTGAAGTTAAATTCCTGAGTGTTTCCCAGAGGGTTCCTGGCGGTGCAGAACAGGTGTGGCTGGGCTGAGCTGGGCAGGCTTCCCTAGAGAGGGGCTCAGGGAGGAAGAGGAGGGAAGCCAGTGGAGAGAACCCACTTGCTCTCAGCTTGTAAACCTCAACAGACCCCTCTTCCTCTAGAAGGGACTCCCCTTTGGTGACCTCTGTCCCCCGGGTCATTTCTGCCCTGCTGGCACCAAGGACCCCAGGCAGTGGCTCTGCCCGGCTGGCACCTGGAATGCAGAGAGAGGGGCACAGGACATAAGCTGGTGCCTGCCTCGCCCACCTGGGCTCTTCTGTGCCACCACAGGCCAGGCTGCCCCTGGGGGCCCGTATGCACCAGGTAAGGACTCCTACATCCCTCTGAGCATGAAGCAGAGCACGGCTGGGACCTGCCACCCTGGGAGCCTCAGTGCCTGGGGGAGAGGCACGCTGGAGAGAGCCCAGGGCAGGTGTGCCTGGGCGGTGTGGCCAGGCTTGTGTGAATGAGGAGGAGGCAGGCTGGAGACTGGGCAGAGGCGGATACTGAACATGGTGGGGCGGGGTCTCAGACGGCAGCATCCAGCTGCTCCCAAGCTGCTCACATCCTCCCAGCTTGAGGCCCGGGTGTTGCGGGAGGCGAAGGGGATGGGGGAAGTGTCCTGGAGGGTGAGGGGAGGGTTCTTTCTGCTTGGCCCAGGGAGGCCTGCCACCTCTCCAGAGAGCACTGCCCATCTGTCCCTGGGACAACACTTGGACCAGCCTCTGAGAAATGGGCTGAAGGTTCCTCAAGAGCCTCTGCGCTTGGGGTCCCCATGCACAGCAGGCTATCCATGGGTTTAGTGAGGGGCGAAGTTTGGGTCCAGACAGACGAGAGGCGGGCACCGTCCTCCACTATGCTGCTGCCCACACTGCCACCTTCACTCGGCCATGTGGGAGACACAGATTTGAAGATGTGGATTTGAGAGGGTCCTACGTTATGAGCTTACTGGGGCACCTCCAGAGCCCGATCCCACCACAGCAGTCACGGGTACAGCCGGAGCCTCGTGCATGGGAAGGCGGGAGCCAGGCCTCTCCAGAGAGCAGGCCGGCCTGGTGCTTCCCTCCTCCAGGTTTCCACTGCCCAGGAGGGGCGCAGACCCCGACACCCCTTGGTGGGCTGTGGGGACACTTCGAGGGCTCCCTGGCGGCCACACCTCGGCAAGACGGGGAGCACAGCTACGGCACAGGTACTCGGCCTGCTCAGAAAGCACAGTAGGACACCTACACACTGGACGGGCGAGGCCTTGGGATGACTGAGGTCACCTTTTTCCAGGCTGAGAGACCCACCAGGGGAGGACCTGCTCCCCAGGTCATTACTGCCCCCAGGGCACTAGCCACCTCCCTAGGCCCTGTCCTCCAGGCGTGTCCAGTCCCTGGGAGGACCGAAGCCAGGCCCACAGCTGCCCGCCATGTCCTGCAGGTGAGGAGGGGGGGCAAGGCTGTGCGGTGGGGCCCAAGGGACTCAGCTCCTGGAAAACCTCTTTTGCTGTCCCAGGGCCCAGAGGTCTGTGATGCGAGGTAGAGGGCAGGGCCTTTGGGCGGAGTCAGAACCCACTTCCTGACTGTGGGAAATCCCTTAACTCGGGAATCCTGAGTTCTCCCCTCAGATGAGAGCTGAGATGAGCATTAAATAAGACTGAGCTCAGGAAGGGCAGTAAAGAAACACCTGTCCTGGAGGAGGCTGCAGAGCAGAATAAGCCTGAGGAGAGGCAGGGCTGGACGTGGACCCCACCGCCACGATGGCCCCTCCCGCAGGGCAGGCGAGCGGCAGGGACGGAGGGCATAACAGAGAAAGGTAGGATCCAGTCTCTGCAGGGTCTCTGACATGCAGGAAATGTCCCATCTCTGCTGGTGCCTGGCCAAGGCTTCCACGCTGCCCAAAAGATGAGAGCAGCATCAGGACAGCTTTCCTGGAGAAGTTAAGGGCTGAGCTAAAGAAGGAGGATCATAAAAAGGTCAATTGGAGGGTGCTGGGCTGGAGGAGCTTTAGGAGCAGGACTTCCCACATGTCCTTGCAGCCACAAGAGGCAGCCTGGACCTGTGTTCCCCGAGGCCCTTGAGTGGCAGGCCCAGCCTTCAACCCTGGCATAGTCCCAGCATGACCTTGGTGGCCCCCAGCCCACAGGCAGGGCTCTGAGGACTATGTTGTGGGATTAACATCCACCCAGCAAGCCAAGTGGCACTTTGGCTTCACAGGCAGTGGCTCCAGGACAGGGTCCAGGGACACCTCAGGGTGGAGAGGCTAATAAAACCACCCCTGGCCTGAACCCCAGCCCCACCCTCCCTCTCCCTGAGACAGCTCATGAGGTGAGGTGACCTCTCCCCCTACCGAGTCACCTGAGGGCTGGTGGTTGTGGAGATAACTTTCATGCATGCTGTGAGGCCACCAGTGCTTTCACCTGAGCTCCTCCACCTTCTTTTTGCACCTTTGGCCACCTGTGTGGGGAGGGTGAGGTGTCGTCTTCCACGGGTGTCCCCACCCTCCCATATAAGACATGTCTTCACACAAAGCCGTTGGCTTTAGGGACAGTCACACATTACTGTTTCTTTTCTCTTCCCATAGAAATATAAGGGCCCCTTCTCCTTAGAGTACTTGTCAGTGTAATTTTTATTAAATTAGGTCCATCTCATTCAGAAAGGGTTTGAGCAAACCATAAGTGATGACATAATGAATATGTAAATGAAAACAAGCTTAGCTGGAGTGGAAGCAGGTTTCTAGAACACTCATCTGGAGGCTCCCTGAGTGGGGTCTGGAGCCCCAACTCTTCAGTGCCTTGCAGTGCCCTCCACACCAAGAGTGGGGCTGAAGGCACCACACCCACCTTTCCACAGGATGGGCAAGTCCTGGAACCCCCATGCTTTCTCCCCAGCTTTGGGCTCCTAAGCAGGGTCTGGCACAGATAGCCAAGAATTAATTCAGAAGGGGCCGCATCTCAGGGCCCACTGCCGTCCCTGGGCTTGAGAGCCACCCTGGCAGTGGAGGGCACTGTCACTCCAGCTCGCGAGCTCTGCTCCCTTATTCTGGGAAATGTCCCACTGCAGGGGTGTGTGAGCTGGGGGTGGTCGAGAGCCTGAGTGGGGGCCAGGGAGGGCTGCTCTGCAATCTCAGCCACTTCTGATTCTCTGGGCAAGAGCTGAGGTCACTCATCCCAATAAAGGCATCCATGTGACTGCGGGAGGGCCCTGCCCTCTAGGTCACTTCTGTCCAGTGGGCACAGGGGTGGCCCTGCCCTGCCCTATGGGCACCTTCTCAGGTTAGTGAGTATGAGTGCCACTGCCCTGGTCCCAGGGGCTGAGCCCAGACCTCCTCTCGGTCCTCCTTTCCACTTAACAGCTGACCAACAACATCCCCCAGCCATGGGAGAGTGTGAGGCTTGGAGAGCCGGACTTCCACCTGGGCTGCGAGGGCAGAAAGCCTTGGGGAGTGTCGGTTGGAGGGGCCAGATCGAGGGCAGGCCATGCGGGCTTTGAGGGGCTTGAGAACACGTCATACTCAAGAAAGCAAAGCCATTAAGAATTTGTGTCTGCCGATATCTCTTTTGAGACCAGACCCATCTCCTCATCTTTAGGACCCTCCCAGCTCCCAAGAGAAGACAGCCCAAAGCAAGGGCCAGTCGTGGAGCTGATGGCTCAGGGGAGGGCGGGGGGTAGTGTGGGGCACTGTTAGATGTTCTGATTGTAGCTGCCAGATCACAGAGGTCTGTGGCCCTGGACGGCCTGAGCTTGAATTGGGATTAAGACAGAGAAGAATTATAACCAGGTGCATATCTCAGAGGGGAAAGAGAGACAGAGAGAAGAGCCCTGCCACACTTTCCCTCAGGCACCTGCCGGAAATGCTACCTGGAGCCAGTGTAGGCAGGAGTCACAGGGAGCCTGAGAGAGGAGAGATGAAAAGGAAATCGCGGAAAGGTGGTCTCTGCCAGGGTGCGCCTGGGTCCACCCTTTCAGAGAGGCCTGGTCCCACAGCCCCTTCCTCCCGCCTGCTCCCCTCCCTGGCTCATCTCCTGGGTTTCTTTCTGTCTCCCCAGAATGTTTCTCTCCATGGTCTCTGAGGGCCTGTCCTGTCCCCCTGGCCATTTCTGTGGTGCCTCTGGCCTGGCTGCGCCCTCTGGCCCCTGCTCCCCCGGCTACTTCTGTCTGGCAGGAGCCTCCTCCCCAACCCCGACAGGTGTGGAGCCCCCTGGGAGCGGGTGAGCCCTGTACCACCCAACGCCCTGAGGTGGGGGCTCTCATGGTTTGGCACCGATGGGCTGTGGGTGGTTTGAGGATGGAGGGGACGTATGTAAGAGGGGCTGGAGTCAGATGGCTGAGGCGTGCTGTGGTCTGGCTGCCCTGCCCATTTACGGTCACACCTGCGGCCTCCCAGCCCACCTCTGTCTCACTCAGACCTGCTGAATCCACCACAGGTTTGCCGGGAGGTGGACAGAGAGGACGGGTGTTGGGGGGAGGGGGTTGCAGTCAGTGGACACCGAATGGTGCCCCATGGGCCACCCAGAAGCTGAGCTGATCGTGGGCATTGGCTTTCTTGGGTAGGTGGGGGCCACAGCCAAGACTCCCAGAGCAGACCCTCTACACATCCCCCTCGAGGTGCAGGTCAGGAGAGGGGGCAGAGCATTAGGCCCTGGAGGTCAGCGTCCAGGATGTCTGCTTCCTCTAGAGGCTGCTGACCATCTTCCAGAGGACGCCCCCTTTGCAGCCATCTCCAGTGGTCAGGGGGCAGCCTGGAGTCTCTGGGTCCTCAGGAACATGTGAAGGCAGATAGGGCAGCTGATCCTTGGCCAGGATCCTTGAATCCCTCTGCTCTGACACTTCCATTATTCAGAGAACATTGGAGGAGCGAGTTCAGCTCTCAGATGGAAGGTTGAGTTCTGGGGCATCATGGATGAGGACTGGAGAGCCAGAGCCAAGCCCCCGTTCAGGCTGCTGAACCTGGACAAAAGACCAAAACAGAAGCAGCTGGCCTGGCTTAGTACAACTCAGTGGGAAAGCCCTGGTCTGTCAGCCTGTTTTACTGAAAAGTGCACAATCATGGTGTGTCCTAGAAAGAGCACTGGGAGGGATGTCTGGAAAACCAGCTCTGAGCCAAGGCAGAGTCCAGGGAGATCCTGGCTCGCCCGCTAACGTCTTAGGACTTCATCCTCAGTAAAAACCAATCATTGCTCTTGTCCACCTACCAAACAGGGATTTTTCTGAGGCCCGAATAATGTGACGTTTGTGTAAAACACATGCTTTTTGATCTGTAAGGTGTGGTACAAATGCCAGTCACAAGCACGGCTCCTCTCAAAAACAAACCTCTGACCTAAACTGGAGTCCACATTTGGTTCTGGTGCCGGGGCACAAGCCTCCCCCAGCTCTGGCACTCTCTGCTGGGACTGGGGTGTGCACTCCTCACTTAGCTTCCTTCCTCCCCTCAGGCCACTCAGGGCAGGGGGGCCCCTGTCCCCGAGGCCACTTCTGCCCCAGGGGAACCAGCCTCCCACAGCCCTGCCCTGCTGGCTCCTACAGCTACCTGACTGGCCAGGCCTCCTGCTTCCCTTGCCCCACTGGCTACTACTGCCCCGAGAACGTCACCAACTACAGCAGGCACCCCTGTCCCGCTGGCTTCTACTGCCCCGAGGTGAGCGCCTAGGCCACAACTTCCCGGGGCGAGGCTGGGCAGAGTTGTACAGCTGCTCTAGGCTCAGCTGGGGACTTGGGGGCTCACAGCAATGCAAACTCTGTGGCAACAGACACATGCATAGGTGTGTCCTCTGCTTCCGGGCTTTCCCACCACCCGTCCTGAAGGCCAGGGATATGAGGGCACTCCAAGGATGAGCTCTAAGCAGCTGGTGACAAGTATGAGTTCCATCCAAGTCTCCAGCTGTGTTTTAAAATGCCCGAAGGTTTTACATTGTATTCCATAGCATATCCGTGTTGGCTAAAAAACAAATATGTGAAATTACTTTAGCAAAATGTAGAAAGTTTGGGTCCCGTGCCTTTCAGTGAAGTTGAGCACCAGGAAGGGGAGTAGTGCACATGCTGTGGCTTTGTGGAGCCTGGGTCTAGGGCCACCCAGCCCAGGGGCTGAACTCTCCGGCCTGGAAGGCCAGGAGTGAGTGAGTTGTGGGGTTGAGGGTGGGGAGTCTGCCAAGGACCAGCCCTGCAGGAGGAGGGGTACAGGGAGCAGCTGGCCACATTGAGCCTCCCCTGCCCCAGGCCCTGGAGCAGAGGGCGCCTTCAGGAACCAGCAAGCTGGGCTCCCCTCCTCTGAACTTTGCTTCTCAGGCACGAAGTACGCCACCCAGTTCCCCTGCCCTCGGAGCTACTACGACCCAGACCCACTGACCCAGAGCCTGGACAGCTGCCTGCCCTGTCCCCCAGGCCACTGCTGCGGGTAGGAGAACCTGACCCGGGCCTCTGGGCCTTGTGCGGCAGGTGAGTCTCCTGCCTTGCCCTAAGAAGCCCCCTGTCCATCTCTGCACTTCCCATTTCTGCCCCTGGACCTGGGGTCATCCAGACTATCTCCTGGAGCAGCTACTGGGAGGGATGGGTGGGCCTGCAGCCTGGTAAGCCTGGCCTTGGACTCCTTGGCCCACCACCCACCCCTCCCCACTGGTTTCTACCCCAGGATGGTTCTGTGTGTCTGTGGCATGGACCGCCCGCCCCTTCAACCTGGACAACTACACCAGCACCAATTGCCTGTGCCCAGCCACAGCCACAGGGGAAAAGTGCCCTGCTGGCTCCTACTGTCCAGAGGGCAGCCCAGAGCCCATGCCCTGCCCACCAGGCTCTTTCTGTGGCACCTCTGGTAAGGACCTATCGTGCTGTGGCCTAGGCTGTGGCTGGTGGGAGAACCAATGTGAGGGTGAACATGTAACCGCCATCTTTCCCTGTCCAATGAGAAGCACTGCCTGCCTACCTCAGGGGGCTGTGCCTGGCATGCTTCCTGGCAGGACTGTGCTTCATAAACTGTCACTGTTGCTGTCACTCTGGGTGAACGCAGGCCAGCCACCACAGAACAGCAAGGTAGGGAGGAGTGGCCAGGCCAGCAGGTCTCTATGCCCAGGGAGGGGCTCAGTGGCACCTCCCTGATCCCTCTCTGTACTCCCCATGTCTGATTGCCTGCACTTCCCAAGCACCTGCTGTGGACAACCCTGCTGGGCACCGAGCACCCAGGCATGCACCAGGCTCCTTCTGCCTTGGGAGGCTCTCAGCTCTACAGCCCCTGAGGTCAAGACCTTAGGCTGCGTTGGCTAAACTTGTACTCTAATGTCAGCTCTGCACCTTACTGATGATGACCTGAGGCTCTTTGTGAATGAGAGTAGTACCCATGTCACAGGGTTGGGCAGGAGCAGATGGCACACTTAGCTCAGGCTCAGCACAGGCTCAGCCCAGGATCAGTACAGGCTCCACAAAGGTGCAGCACAGACTCAGCCCAAACTCAGTCTCAGGTCTCAGCACAGGGCTTAGCACAGACTCAGCTCAGCCTCAGCCTCAGGGCTCAGCACAACTCAGCCTACGCTCAGCACAACTCAGCCTCAGGGCTCAGCACAACTCAGCCTCAGGGCTCAGCACAACTCAGCCTACGCTCAGCACAACTCAGCCTACGCTCAGCACAGCCTCAGCCTCAGGGCTCAGCACAACTCAGCCTCAGGGCTCAGCACAGCCTCAGCCTCAGGGCTCAGCACAACTCAGCCTCAGGGCTCAGCACAACTCAGCCTACGCTCAGCACAGGCCCAGCACAGGGCTTAGCACAGACTCAGCAGAGGCTCAGCCCAGGCTCAGGACACAACCAGCACAGGATCAGCACACGCTCAATGCAAGCTCAGGACAAGGACTCAGGCCAGGCTCAGCATATACTCAGCACAGACTCGGCACAGGCTCAGCACAGGGCTCAGCAAAGACTCAGCACAGACTCAGCAGAGGCTCAACACAGGCTCAATGCAGGCCCAGCAAAGGCATGACCACTAGTATAACTCTCAGTTCTAGCTGAGTACTCTAGTCACACCCCGAGTCCTCCGAGGACTGATGCCCACAGGGATCCCAGTTGGCTCCAAAGGCCAACGTCTTTTATAGTGAGTCTACTCAGCATTTAACCCAGTTCCCCTCCACCTCCAGGCCTCTCCACCCCCAGCGGGCCCTGCCAGCCTGGCTACTTCTGTGCAGAAGGTGCATCATCCCCTTCTCCAAAGGACAGGGTGACAGGGGCTCCCTGCCCCCTGGGATCCTTCTGCCGTGACTGTATCCTTGGGCTCCGCTCTCAGCCCAACTCGCCCTCCTGTCCCAGGACTGCAGACAGATCTGATTCCTCCGGCTTGCACCTGTGCCCCTGAGCAGGTGGGAGGAAGCCAGAGGAGAGGTGCCCCGCTAGAGTCAGGCCTGAGGCAAGAAGGCTTGCAGAGGGTTGTGGTTGTGGTTAAAGTACATTTTGGGCATTTGCTGTGGCTTGAGTTGTTTGGTGGGGATGGCTGAGGGATCACCTTGGCTGAGGGATCACCCCAGCCAAGGACCTGTGAGATTGGAACCTTCCAGCCCCACATCTGGGGAGAAAAGTGAGGGCAGCCCTTGCTCTGCAGGCACCCCGGCCACCCAGGCCTGCCCCTCTGGCCACTACTGCCCTGGAGGAAGTGAGACCCACTCGGGAGCTCCCCAGGCCTGCCCTGAGCATACCTACCTGGCAACAGATGGAGGCCATAGTCAGGCGGAGTGCCTCCCCTGCCCTGCTGGGTACCACTGCCCATGGCCAGGTAAGAGCCTGTCTGCAGGCTGGATGTGGGGGCCTTGGGGAGGAGAGGGAAGAGGCTGTCAGGAGCCCCTCAGGCAACCCTTCTTAGCCTGATGCTTTTGCCCCCAGGTCTCTCTTCCTTTGAAGACCACCCATGTCCTCCGGGCCACTGGTGTCTAGGTGACCAGGGTGCCTTTTTCTGCCCACCTGGCACCTTTAGGTCAGAGCCAGGGGCATCAGCACAGGAAGACTGTGAGCTCTGCCCTCCTGGCTACCACTGCCCAGACCCTGAGCTTCAGGGTCATGCAAATGTGTTTGCCATCCCCTGCCCAGCTGGATCTGAGTGCCCAGCAGGTGAGGCTGCAGGATGACCCCAGCCCCTTCCCATCCCTTCCCTCATCCCTGAGGCTCATGCCTGAGCTCTGCAGAAAGCCCTGATTGAGCTCAGGCCACAGATGTGGCACAGCCACACCTGACCAGCCCCCACAAGGCACACCCAGTCTCTGGTGGCATCCACACCACCTGGATGTCCCCAGACCAAGGTGCCTTCAAGTCACCTCTTCCTCCCCATCTGGGTCAAGGAGGAGGCCGGCCAGAGGTTTAACTAGAAATAGCATGCCCCCTACAAAGTGTCCAGTACCTGCCACACCTCAAGGCACAACCAAAAGCACCCTCCTGTTGGCTGCCCTCAGGTGAGCTGTGGCCTCAGTGCCACTGCCCTGTGCGTCCTCATCAGAGCTCCCACCTCCACCTCATGAAATGCATCCTCCTTCCCCACCGCGGCGGCTGGCTGCACAAAGACACGGGAACTTCCTGCCATTGATCTCGGTTCATGACACCACCACCCGCACGAGTCACCCTCCCTGACCACACGAGATCTCCCTTCACCTGCAAGCTCCGCACTCCTTCCTGGTTTCCACACTGTTCCCCACCACCTCAGAGGCCTCACCCTACTGCTGTCCTCCCTGCCCAGGCCTCACCTGGGGAGCCTGGGGACCCTCCTGAGTTCTCCTCCGGCTCTGGACCTCTCCTGGCTTCCAAGTGCCATTGATGGGTGAAGAAGGGACTTGGGGTGTCCTCCAAACCATGCCCACATTGTGGCCTGTTCTCCCGCATCCCTGGCCCTGTCTCTTCAGGTGCTGTGGCTGAGGTCCCCTGTAGGCCCGGCTCCTACTGTGGGCCTCAGACGGGGCTGCCCCCACTCTGCCCCGGGGGGCTATGCCTGCCCTGTCAGCTCCTCCACCTACAGTGGCCTGGGGCAGCGGTGAGTTCCTTCCCCCTACCCCCCCAAGGGTCTGAGCCCCAACCCCAGCCCTGGAACTGCTGTCAGCACCCTATGTGAGGCCCCACCATGACAAGCATGTGTGCCTCAGAAATCCAGCCAAAGGGCAGGGCCCAAAAGCAAGCCCTGGTGACCCTCTGCCTGGGCTTCCCAGCTAGGGCCAGCCCCTGCCTCTGCCCCAGGGAAGGTGGGGTGAGGAAGCACATTGCCCTGGGATGCCCCATCAGAGTGCAGGCTCATCCTGGTGGGGCAGCCAGATGGAGCTCACAAAAATACAGCACGCCTAGTTACATTTGAATTGCCGGTAAAGGACAATGCATTTTTACTGTAAGTATGGCCCATGCAATATTGGGGGTGCACTTCTACTAAAATCATTCTCATTGTTTATTTGAAATTTGAATAGGACTGGGCATGGAGTATTTCATCTGGTAAGCCCCATCCCGTGTCTGGGACTAACACCCTGACATCAGATCCACTCCACAACACCCCTCTGCCCAGGGTGGAATGGGCAGGCAGTGCCGGCCTGGTTAACTGGGCATGGCTCATCCACCACCAGAAAGGCAGCTTGGTGCCGTGGCCCCACCAGACACAAGGCAACCCCAGGACCCCTGACTGGGACAGTAGCAGAGTCCCCGTCCGCTAGCAGCTGAGGCCCCAGGCCAGGGAAAGTCGGCCCCCGCTAGCGAGAGAACCCACCGCACACACAGGTTCCGGCAGCATGAACCAGCCGGGCTCTGTCTCTGCAGCTGTGTCTTTCCCCATTACTGCCCCCCGGGCAGTGCCCAACCTCGTGCCTGCCCTGGGGGCTCCGAAGCCCTGAATGGGACCAGCCTCAGGGTCTCTGAGGAGATATGCTGCCTGCCGCCTCTGTGAAGCGGGCACCTACCGCAGCCGGGCCCTGGATGCTCTACCCTTACAGCCCTGCCCGCCTGGATTCAGCTGCCCCCAGGGTGAGTCCCTGGGAGGCCTGGGCAGGAGCAGGGGGACCGGGACTGGAGGTGACCCAGAGTGGAGATCAGTGAGGCGGGTGGAGGCGCAGGCAGGGAGGGCCCCTCAGAGCCTGGGGACAGCCCAAGAGGCCTGGAGCAGCCCAAGACACAGACCCAAGAACATGTGGAGGATGGGGACACAGAGCAGGTGAGTGTCAGCTGCCTCCGTGTCAGGTTTAAAAGTCCTCTAGACACAGGGCAGAGCAGCATGCACACAGATGTGTCGGAGCCAGTGGCCCAGGCACTCTGGAGAGAAGGAAAGCCACTGCCCAGCGCCCCGCACCTGACTGAGAGGGAGACCAAGGGGCTGGCGGGGAGGGTGAGGGGTTACAGGGCACAGAGCCCTCTACTGCCCCCACAATCTAGATTCTTCCCCCATTTACTGCATTGTTTCCCCCCTCCCTCAGCAGGCATATCCCTACCCTGGACACCCCCAGTCCACTCTCAGTCCCTGCCTCGGCTGGGGCAGAATTTCCCCTCTGTGTTCCTCCAGGGTCAGAGAGCTACCAGGGCCATTCCTGCCCGGTGGGCCACTACTGCCCTGCAGGGACTCGCAGCCCAAGGCCCTGCCCAGCAGGGACCTTCAGAAGCAGCAGCAGGGCCAGGGCAGCTGAAGACTGCCGGCTCTGCCCTGCGGACACCTTCAGTGCCCTGCCTGGACAGATGGGCTGCCTCACCTGCCAGAGCGCCGCTTTCTCTCCACCAGGCGAGTGTCAGGTCTGCCTGCTCCAAATGCCCTGTCTGGGGCCTGCAGCTTTGAGGGCCCAAGATGTAAGGTTTCAGGAAACAGCCACCTATGGCTGAGTGGAGCTGTTCTAGGAAAGCTGCAGGTGAGGGCAGGAGTCTCTCGGTGACTCCCACGCACTGGGTCGGGTGTGTGGATGGAGCAAGTGTGTATGCAAGGACTCCAGCAGGCAAAGGAGTGGGTGTGAGGGAACCAGCTCAGACCAGCCTCAGCCACTTGCTCAAGGTGGCTCGATGGATGGGGCCAGCACCGCTCTGAGGCCGTCTAACAGGCTGCAATGCTGCATCGCCCTCCGGGGAACACCCTCGTTCTGCTCACCCAAGTCAGTCCCTGGTCATAGGGTCAAGGGCAGAGCTGCAAGTGCAGCTCCCGGCTTTGAGCCAACAGTGCTGCTGATGTCTCCACTTCTCCCCATTTTGAGGTGTGGTCTTCTCATGGTCTTTGTTGTGGCACCCATTTGCAGGCAGTCCACTGTACAAACGGAAGTAACCAGATAATCTTGCGATAGATAATCCAAAAGTTACATGCGTCATACATAGTTAGCCTCAGTGGGGGCTCCAACTGAGGGCTGACCCCAGATCTCTGCTGATGGTGTTGGCAAGCTTCCTCTCTTAAAGCAATGGGAGTGCTTACCACATGCCAGGCATGTTCTAATGCTATCTAATGTCAGCTTATGTGATCCTCATGACAACTCTATGAACCAGACACAGTTATTATTATCCCTGTGTTATGAGTATGTAAACTGAGGCACAGAGACTTTAAATAACTTGCCCACATCAGACGGTTAGTGATGGCAGAACCAGGATTTGAACCCAGTCTGGCTGACTCCCAGGTTCCTGCTGTCAACCGCCACACCATGACACCTTCAGATGGTGTGATTTGAGGTGCCCAGGGATCTGCCATCGTTTCTTATCTTCCAGCTGAGGTATTCTGCCTCTGAGGTGACCAACCCCTGAATCTTGTGACCCCCCACCCATATACCTGGAGACCAGGGGCTGAGTAAAGTGGGTCCCAGAGGTGGTTGTGTCCAAATTACATTTCACTGGTGGGTTCGTAACAATCACGTACAGGCATTTGTGTGCTTTTCCGTTATTGAGGGGTATATTTTTAACTGGGTTGGACATGTGATCGTAATATTGGTAGTGAAATGACCCTTAGATAACACTAAAACCTTTTCCAGGCTAATATTATTGCAGCCATTCTCTGTGACATGGAACTCTCCAGTCTGTGTTTGTCTGCTCTGTCTGCCATAGCTTAATCCCACAGATGGCGGGGCTTGAACAACAGAAACTTACCTCCTCAGAGTTCTAGAGGCTACAAGTCCAAGATCGAGGTGTCAGCAGGGTTGGTTTCTCCCAAGGCCTCTCTCCTTGGCTTGCAGCTGGTCACCTTCTCCCTGTGTTCCCACATGTTCTTTTCTCTGTGCCTCCATCTGGTGTCTCTGTGTGTGTCCAAATGTCCTCTTCTAATAAGGGCAACAGTCACATTGGAGTAGAGCCCCCTCCCACATCTTCATTTTGACCCAGTTATCTCTCAAGAGGCCCCACCTCCAGAGACTGTCACATTCTGAGGTACTGGGGGATAGGGCTTCTGTGTGTGAATCTAAGGAAACACAATTCAGCCCAAAACGGGGACCCTAATCGCCTCTGGGCTCAGCACCGGAACAAACAATGTTCTCCTCAGGCTGTGTCCCAATTATGCTTCTTTGCGTCTACGGTAAGTCCCGCTCCAGTTGATATACTCTCCTTTTTTATTTCCTGCAAATTTTGTTGATTTGTTATATATACAGGTTATGAGTTAAGGTTCAAAATAAATTTTTCCCAAATAGATATCCAATTGGCATGGAACCTAACATGAATTATTACCCAGGTTTGTCATTAATCAAACATTTCATAAACATGCAGGTCTGTTTGGGAATCTCATGTCTGTTCCACAGGTGTTGTACTCTATTCTTGTATAGATATCACCCTGTCCTAATCACTGTAGCTACATAAGTCTTAAATGAGTAGTCTGTCTTGCAACTTTGTTCTTTTCAACAACAATGGCTATTTGTGGTCCTTGCATTTCCATATAATCAGATTATTAGCATCTACAAAGGAACCTGCTAGGATTTCTATTGGGATTTCATAGAAACAATTGATCCATTGGCAGAGAAATGACATTATTACTATGTTGAGTCTTCTAGTTCTTGAACATGGCTTATCCTCCCATTTATTTATGTCTTCTTTTATTTTTCTAAACAGATTTTTGTGGGTTTTTTGGGGGGGTAGAGATGGTGTGTATCTCGTTAGATTTATTATTGGACGTTTTATGTTGTAAATGCTATTAGGTTTTTAAATCTTTATCTAGTAATGTTTTGTTTGTCTGAAAGGTGTGTTTTTTCAGCTTTATTCTTTTTTTTATTATTATTATACTTTAAGTTTTAGGGTACATGTGCACAATGTGCAGGTTAGTTACATATGTATACATGTGCCATGCTGGTGTGCTGCACCCATTAACTCCTCATTTAGCATTAGGTATATCTCCTAATGCTATCCCTCCCCCCTCCCCCCACCCCACAACAGTCCCCAGAGTTTGATGTTCCCCTTCCTGTGTCCATGTGTTCTCATTGTTCAATTCCCACCTATGAGTGAGAATATGCGGTGTTTGGTTTTTTGTCCTTGCGATAGTTTACTGAGAATGATGATTTGCAGTTTCATCTATGTCCCTACAAAGGACATGAACTCATCATTTTTTTATGGCTGCATAGTATTCCGTGGTGTATATGTGCCACATTTTCTTAATCCAGTCTATCATTGTTGGACATTTGGGTTGGTTCCAAGTCTTTGCTATTGTGAATAGTGCCGCAATAAACATACGTGTGCATGTGTCTTTATAGCAGCATATTTATAGTCCTTTGGGTATATACCCAGTAATGGGATGACTGGGTCAAATGGTATTTCTAGTTCTAGATCCCTGAGGAATCACCACACTGACTTCCACAATGGTTGAACTAGTTTACAGTCCCACCAACAGTGTAAAAGTGTTCCTATTTCTCCACATCCTCTCCAGCACCTGTTGTTTCCTGACTTTTTAATGATTGCCATTCTAACTGGTGTGAGATGGTATCTCATTGTGGTTTTCATTTGCATTTCTCTGATGGCCAGCGATGATGAGCATTTTTTCATGTGTCTTTTGGCTGCATAAATGTCTTCTTTTGAGAAGTGTCTGTTCATGTCCTTTGCCCACTTTTTGATGGGGTTGTTTGTTTTTTTCTTGTAAATTTGTTTGAGTTCTTTGTAGATTCTGGATATTAGCCCTTTGTCAGATGAGTAGGTTGCAAAAATTTTCTCCCATTTTGTAGGTTGCCTGTTCACTCTCATGGTAGTTTCTTTTGCTGTGCAAAAGCTCTTTAGTTTAATTAGATCCCATTTGTCAATTTTGGCTTTTGTTGCCATTGCTTTTGGTGTTTTAGACATGAAGTCCTTGCCCATGCCTATGTCCTGAATGGTAATGCCTAGGTTTTCTTCTAGGGTTTTTATGGTTTTAGGTCTAACATTTAAGTCTTTAATCCATCTTGAATTAATTTTTGTATAATGTGTAAGGAAGGGATCCAGTTTCAGCTTTCTACATATGGCTAGCCAGTTTTCCCAGCACCATTTATTAAATAGGGAATCCTTTCCCCATTGCTTGTTTTTCTCAGGTTTGTCAAAGATCAGATAGTTGTAGATATGCGGCGTTATTTCTGAGGGCTCTGTTCTGTTCCATTGATCTATGTCTCTGTTTTGGTACCAGTACCATACTGATTTGGTTACTGTAGCCTTGTAGTATAGTTTGAAGTCAGGTAGCGTGATGCCTCCAGCTTTGTTCTTTTGGCTTAGGATTGACTTGGTGATGCGGGCTCTTTTTTGGTTCCATATGAACTTTAAAGCAGTTTTTTCCAATTCTGTGAAGAAAGTCATTGGTAGCTTGATGGGGGTGGCATTGAATCTATAAATTACCTTGGGCAGTATGGCCATTTTCACAATATTGGTTCTTCCTACCCATGAACATGGAATGTTCTTCCATTTCTTTGTATCCTCTTTTATTTCACTGAGCAGTGGTTTGTAGTTCTCCTTGAAGAGGTCCTTCACGTCCCTTGTAAGTTGGATTCCTAGGTATTTTATTCTCTTTGAAGCAATTGTGAATGGGAGTTCACTGATGATTTGGCTCTCTGTTTGTCTGTTATTGGTGTATAAGAATGCTTGTCATTTTTGTACATTGATTTTGTATCCTGAGACTTTGCTGAAGTTGCTTATCAGCTTAAGGAGATTTTGGGCTGAGACAATGGGGTTTTCTAGATATATAATCATGTCATCTGCAAACAGGGACAACTTGACTTCCTCTTTTCCTAATTGAATACCCTTTATTTCCTTCTCCTGCCTAATTGCCCTGGCCAGAACTTCCAACACTATGTTGAATAGGAGTGGTGAGAGAGGGCATCCCTGTCTTGTGCCAGTTTTCAAAGGGAATGCTTCCAGTTTTTGCCCATTCAGTATGATATTGGCTGTGGGTTTGTCATAGATAGCTCTTATTATTTTGAGATACGTCCCATCAGTACCTAATTTCTTGAGAGTTTTTAGCATGAAGCGTTGTTGAATTTTGTCAAAGGCCTTTTCTGCATCTATTGAGATAATCATGTGGTTTTTGTCTTTGGTTCTGTTTATATGCTGGATTACATTTATTGATTTGCATATATTGAACCAGCCTTGCATCCCAGGGATGAAGCCCACTTGATCATGGTGGATAAGCTTTTTGATGTACTGCTGGATTCGGTTTGCCAGTATTTTATTGAGGATTTTTGCATCAATATTCATCAAGGATATTGGTCTAAAATGAAAAAGAGAGTTTATTAAAGGAAGTTTGTGTGTGATTAAGTTTGCTGTAACACAAATATTTATCTCTCTAAATATGGAGCTTTGATATTAAAAATACACTAATACAAAACTAAAAATTGGTCCCCTGTGTTAGAATAAGATTTTCTGAAAGTATTTATTTGTTCTTAATAAAATTACAAGAGGTTTTATCTGTTTCTTTTTGAAATTTCTCAAATTTATGTCTCAGAAGTTCAAATTCTGCTCTCTCTCACTAAATGTGATTTGCAGTTTATATATCATTGCCTTCTGTTCTTTATTCCCTTAAAAGGTAAATCTGTTTGCTTACCTGGGATAAGTCTCTTCTTCAATATTTTTATTAACTCCCATAATTATTTTCTTCTACTCTACCTCTGATGTTGTGGCTGGACACTAAAATGTTTATCTTGAAGGTCTAGAATAGCAGTGTTTTCCTCTAGAATAATTTGATTCTGTAGTCTTGGCTTTTCTTCAGTAGAGGGGAATTCTCATGCTGTTGCTGAGAGCCATGTATTTCTGTGCTCAAGGTATGAGTTTTCTTGTTTACATTCCTTTATACTATCGTGTACACATATAACCCTGAACACGCTGTTCTTACATCTGATTAAGCTCAACTACCCTTTTTATCAGGCTTGACTTCCGGGATATCTAAATGGGCTTCCCATAAGGAGAATTAGTCATATTTGTGTTAGTCCATTTTGCAGTGCTATAAAGAAATACCTGAGACTGGGTAAATGATAAAGACATTTATTTTGGCTCACAGTTCTGCAGACTGTACAAGAAGAACAGTGCCAGCGTCTGATTCTGGTGAGGGCCTCAGGAAGATTACAATTACATTTATGGTGGAAGGTGAATGAGGAGCAGGCATGTCACATGGCAAGAGAGGGAGCAAGAGAGAGGAGGAGGTGTCAAGCTCCTTTAAACAACCAGCTCTCGCATGAACTACCAGAGCAAGAACTCACACATTGCCATGGGGATGGCAATGAGTCATTCATAAAGTATCTGCCTCTATGGCCCAAACACCTCCTACTAGGCCATCTCCAACACTAGAGGTAACATTTCAACATGAGATTTGGAGGGGACACACATCCAAACTAAATCAACACTATAGGAGGTTTTGTGGGGATTTTTGTTTATTTGTTTGTTTACCTTTACAGTAGCTGGTCTAAAAAGAAGAGATTTTATGTTTTATTAAAACAATTTCTGCACTATTCTTATTAGGTTTCATATTACTTAGGAAAACTGAAATTTAAAAGGGGTAAGGATTTTACATTCATAAAAATTTCTGTATTTCTTTTGAAGTATTTTGATTACCACTCTACTTGTGTGAATAACTTTTATTTTCCAGTGACCTATGGTTTTATTTTGATCTAGTTTTTTGAAACTTTTGACATCTTTGTCATGTTCCCTCAGGATGAAAATCCTAAATTAAGTCTTTTTGTATTAAATAATTAGACTTATTTGGCAGATTCTTTGTAAAGTATTATCAAATGATAATTGATACTAGATCTTTCTGTTACAATTATGGGTACATTATTGACATAAATGTTCCAAAACTTATATAAATTTACAAAAAGCTAATTTGTTATCAGTCATAACTTTGATTACTATATTAAATCTTAAGTTATATTTGTAGGGGTATGTTATTAATGTGAATATTCTAAAGATGATATAAAATTTATGAAAGCCTGATGTCTCTAACATGACACTGTCATAATGATTCTGGTTGTTATCTTAAAATGCTGCAAATAATAGAAATAACAAAATTTCCTTGTCTATTGGGAACTTTCATCAAATCTTAACCATAGCTACACCAAATTTTGGTCATCCAGTGTTACCATTCTCAATTCTTCTCTACAAACATTTGCAATCAGCTCTAGTCAAAAATTGCTGCGGTGTGTGGTGGCTAACACCTATAATCCCAGCACTTTGGGGGGCCAAGGTGGGATGATCACTTGAACCCAGGAGTTTAAGACCAGCCTGGGCAATATACCAAGACCCTGACTCTACAAAAATAAAATAAAATTAGTTGGGTCTAGTGGCACAAACTTGTGGTTCCAGATACTTGGGAGGCTGAGGTGGGAGGATTTGCTTCAGCCTAGGAATTCAAGGCTGCAATGAGCCATAATCACACTACTGCACACCAGCCTGGGTTGCAGAACAAGATCCTGTCTCAAAAAAATAAAGAAAGAAAACTTCTTTTTTATGAAAAAGATTCTAATAAGTACGGGCACAAAAAGAGGAAAAAACTAATACAATTAATGAAAGAATATACAAATGTATGTTCTAGTTTTGTTGAATATTTATCATGATTTTTCTCCAACGTGTCACTACTTTGATGATATTTTGTGTAAAATTTGTAGTATTCTTGTAATAGTCTTCTTGAAGTGTTGTGATAGGTGCAGAAAACTGCAATGTCAGAAAAAAAACTGAATCATACTAATTAGAAAAATAGATGAGTGAGGCAGAAAACTAACAAGGAAATTCTGACTTAAATTCAACACTTCACCAATTGGACCTAATAAAAATTGACAAAATGTTCCACCCAACAACCACAGAAGATACATTCTTTTCATTTGCACGTGGCATATACTCTAAGATCAATCACATATTTGGCCATAAAGCAAGTCTCAATAACTTTTTTTAATGAAGAAACAACACCAAGCATATTTTTGGACCACGGAGAATAAAAATAGAAGGCAATATCAAGAAGATACTTCAAAATCACACAATAAAATGGAAACTAAAGAACTTGTTTCTTAATAACTTTTGAGTTAACAAAATTAAAGCAGAAATCAAATAATTATTTAAAATAAATGAAAACAGAGACACAATTTACCAAAATCTCTGGAATGTAGAAAAAGCAGTATTAAGAAGAAAGTTTATAGTGCTTAAGTGGTTTGCCTACCTCAAAAAGCTAGAATGATACCAAATTATCAATCTAACATCACACCTAAAGGACCTAAAAAAACAAGAACAAACTAATCCAAAGCTACCAGAATAAAATAAATAACAAAAATCACAGCAGAAATAAAATTGAGACCCAAAAAGCCATATAAAAGATCAATGAAATTAAAATTTGGTTCTTTCAAAGAATACGTGAGATTGATAGAATGCTAGGTAGACTAACAAAGAAAGAAGATTCAAATAAATACAATCAGAACTGATACCCACGGAAATACAAAAAAGCCTCAGAGACTATTATGAACACCTCTGTGCACACAAACTAGAAATCTAGAGGAAATGAATAAATTCCTAGAAACACAAAACCTCCCAAGGGAGAATTAGGAAGAAATTGAGATCCTGAACAGATCAACAGCAAGTTCGAAAAATATAAACCAGTAATAAAAAACCTACTAACCAAGAAATGTCCTAGACCAATTAGTTCACAGCCAAATTCTGCCAGACATGCAAAGAAGAGCTGGTGCCAATCCCACTGAAACATTCCCCAAAAATTGAGGAGAAGGAACTCCTCCCTAACTCATTCTATAAAACCAGCATCATCCTGATACCAAAATCTGACACAGGCACAACAAAAAAAGGAAACTACAGGCCAATATTCCTGATGAACAGACACAAAAATCCTCAACAAAATACTAGCAAACTGAATCCAGCGACACATCAAAAAGTTAATTCACCATGATTGAATAGGCTTTATTCATGGGAGGCAAGGTTGGTTCAACATATGCAAATAAATAAATGTGATTCACCAAATAAAATTTACAAAAAACATGAACACAAGTAAAAACTTCATGATCATCAACAGATGCAGAAAAAGTTTTAAATGAAACCCAACATCTCTTCATGATAAAAACCCTCAACAAATTAGACATCAAAGGAGTATACCTCAAAATAATGAGTTACCTATGACAAACCCGCAGCCAAGCTCATGCTGAACTGGCAAAAGCTGGATTCATTCCCCTTAAGCATCAGAACAAGACAATGTTGCCCATTCTCACTATTCTGACTCAACATAGTACTGGTAGTCGTAGCAGAGCAGTTATGCAAGAGAAAGAAAAACAGGAAATTCAAACAGGAAAAGAATAAGTCAAATTATCTCTCTTCATAGATGATATTACTCAATACCTATAAAACCTTAAAAGACTACCAAAAATTCAAACAACTGATAAATAACTTCAGTAAAATTTCAGAATATATAATCAATGTACAAAAGTCAGCAGCAGTTGTATACACCAATAACATCCAAGCTGAGAGCCAAATCAAGAATGCTATCCCATTTATTATGGCCACACAAAAAAATACCTAGGAATATATCTAACCAAGGAGGTGAAAGAACTCCACAAGAATAACAAAAATTTCTGCTGAATAAAATCACAGATGACACAAACAAATGGAAAAACATTCCATGTTCATGGATGGGAAGAATGAGTGTCATTAAAACGGCCGTACTGCCCAAAGCAATCTCTAGATTTAACACTATTCCTAT
Organism: Homo sapiens; assembly: GCF_000001405.40. NCBI lineage: Eukaryota > Metazoa > Chordata > Mammalia > Primates > Hominidae > Homo > Homo sapiens. Next base: position 110,358,301 of record NC_000002.12, read on the forward strand.
TAAATTACCAATGTTGTTTTTCACAGAATTAGGAAAAACACTACTCTAAAATCCATATGGAATGAAAAAAAGAGCAGGAATCACCAAAGCAATCCTAAGCCAAAAAAAAAAAAAAAAAGAAGAAAAAAGAAAAAAGCCAGAGACATCACACTATCCAACTTTAAACTATATTAGAAGGCTACATAACCAAAACACTACAGTACTGGTACAAAAACAGATACATAGACCAGTGGGACAGAATAGAGAACCTAGAAATAAAGTCACACACCTACAACCAAGTGAACATCCGTGAAGCTGACAAAAATAAGCAATAGGGAAAGGACTCCGTATTCAATAAATAGTGCTGGGATAACTGCCTATCCATAGGCAGAATGAAACTGGCTCCTGTTCACTGCTCTGTGTCTTCTGTTCCTAGAAGCCCAGTCTCTATGGACCAGCAGGTATTGGGAGATCCATAGCTAAGACACCAGAACCTGCTGCAAGCCTAGAAATGGAACTGTTGACATTCAGGGATGTAGCCATAGAATTCTCTCCAGAGGGGTGGCAATGCCTGGGCACTGCACAGCAGAATTTGTATTAGCATCCGATGTTAGAGAACTACAGAAACCTGGTCTCTCTGGCTTTGTGTTCTCATTTCACCCAAGATTATTGACCAGAGCAGGGCATAAAAGATTCATTCCAAAAAGTAGTACTAAGTAGATATGGAAAATACAGACATAAGAATTTACAATTAATGAAAGGCTGTAAGGGTGTGGATGAGGGTAAGATGCAGAAAGGAGGTTATAATGAACTTAGCCAATGATTTTCAACTACATAGAACAAAATATTTTTTTCAAATGTCCCACGTTTATTTACATATGAAATGTGTTTCATACAGTTATGATGGATGGAGTGTATAACACCTGACAGCAGCAAGACCTTTCGAGGAACCGAACATTGACTACAGTATATCATGCAAGTGTCTATATATACACAAAATAATTCCTTTTCTTAAAAAAAAAAGTACAAAACATGTTCAGGGATAAATACAAGATATAAAATTCAAAAGAAAACACAAAACAAAACCAAAAAATATAACTCTCTCAGAGAACTATAAACGGAAGGGACAGAAGAGTACCTCTACTGCATTTTAGTAAAGCAGAACTGCCGACGTTAAATGTACCTCTTGAAATGGCTGAACTAATCCCGTGTGGCTCAGTGCTTAAGGTAACGGCCAATTGTGACACACAGCCGGCTGCATTGATAAGTCGGTGGTTGACGTCGTGCATCCCACCTCTAAGCACCAGAACGTTTGGCAGTAGCACCCAGAACAGGAAACGCCAACTCTTTTGACAGTAAAGGATTAAGTCAGCTGATTTTTTTTTCTATCAAGAGCCAGAGAAATACTTGATATTCTTAGTTGTGTTTCTGTAATAGTTAATAAATTACATGACAAAAACCTGACTATATAGATCTATTGGTCTAACTACGTATTTGTAACTTTTACAGTAGTCCAGCCCTTTTGTTACTTTTCCTCCTTGTGCTCTTAAAGCCAGACTTGCAGATCTACCCAGAAAACCTGTCCCATTTTTTTTCTTCTTTAGAATAGCCTTCCCCATTCCTCAAAATGGAATTGAGGAAATCAGCATTCCTTATTAGATTCCTGGCTTCAGTTTTTATCCACGGCTGGGAAAGGAGCGACCTGCAAGGCTGCTTTAGACACCCTTCGGCGTGGCCTGAAGACAAAGACATGCCCACACTGGAGTGCAGTTGTCTCAAACGTGTACTCGCTCCCTCAGGGCAGGCACATGGAGGAGGTGCTAAGACATTTAAAAGTTCCTAGTGTTTTTGAGACCCACGATTACTTCCAATTTATGTAGTGAATTCTAACAATTAAAAACACTAAAAAAGGCATTATTTTAGCCTGTAATTAGTTAACCCATTCAAATTCGAAACATACAAAATGATTTATTTGAATTCAGGAACTGCCCCTGTTACTAAGAACTCTGTTTTAAAGAAACAGCACAAAAAGAAAAATTCTAACCCAAAACAACTCAAAACGTTTTCCACTGAATACTGATACAAACATGTAACAAAGAGTATAAAAAGTTATTCATTTAAATATATACAAACTCTTTTAAACTCAAAATCTGTTTTAATACTTAATGAGGATATATATGACAAGATGAAGAAGGAAGGCACGTTGAAAGAGAATATATTGCAACAGCCTAGACAGTATTGTTAACTCTATTATACTGCAAACTTTGTGTAACAAAAGTGTCTTATGCCAATGTGGACAGGGATTTTCCTCATGGAGCGTCTGTGGCTATTTCTCGTCTGAGCTCATCCTTTTGGATTTGATGAAGGCCATACCATGTGTCTGCATGTGAGTTTTTAAGGCAGCTTCAGTTTCAAAAGTTTTTGCGCACACTTTGCACTTTCTGTCTGACATGGCGCCATTGGGAGATTCATCCTCGTGACTGGGTTTGTTCTCCTGTTGGTTATCTTCCCCAGCCCCGTTTTGCTTGGACACTGGCTGAGGTTCCTTTAACTTGTGTACAACAAAGAGGTGCCTGGACAGAGAGACGTGACATGTAGCAGAGGCCACACTCCCGGCACTGGTAGAAAGAACCATCCGATTTGTGCTGAGGGATGTGTTCGTGGAACTGCAGCAGGTTTTCGGTGGTGAAGCCACACACGGCACACTTGTGAACCTTAAAAACATTGATTTCCAGCTTTGGTTGAGTGATTGCTCCTCTGGGAGGCCTGAACTCCAGAACCGGTTCTTTCAACTTCCACTTGGGACTGGGGACCTTGGGGTCTTCTTTTATTTCTGTTTCCTCCTCATTGATGGCGTCTATCATTTCTTTCAGGTCAGGGTCCTTGATGCCATGCGTCAGCTGGACATGCTTCTCCAACATCAACTGTTTGGTAAAGGTACCTCTAGAGTCTGAGCAGTGTGAACAGGTGTACACTTTCCTGATGACTTTGTGCTTGATCCGGTTGTGCCAGCACAGGCTGTGGGACGAGCTGAAAGGCTTGTCACGCTGGCAGCAGGGTTGTTTCTTCATTTGTTTCCCATGCTCCTTCCTGACGTGGGATATGTACACATCTCTCTGCATGAACAGGCGGTCACACTCCCAACATGTCCACCCAGGACTGGCCACTTTCTTGGTTTCCACTGATTTTTTTCAAAGGAGATGGAGATTTCTTTTCCAATTTCTCTTTCCCATTCATGGATTTGCTGTCCTCTTTGTTCTGATATGCTGAATTATAAGTTGCAGGCTTAATGCTCAAAGGCAAGTTTACACCCAAGTTGGCCCTTCAATGCTTTGCAATGTCCCATGCATAGACTTGATATGGTCCACCATAAGTTGCTTCTGTGCATATAAAAGAGAACAGTCTGGACACCTGAGAACAGACACCTTCTGGTTTTCAATGTGTTGGTCAAAGTGGCGATACAGCAAGGTTTGCAGGGTGAACACAGTGTTGCACATGGAACACTTATATATTATTTTTGATTCTCCTATCTTGATGCTAGGATGCTGTGTGTAGGTGTGGGAATGTGTGCTTGGGGCAGACTTAAACGTCATTGGACAAATAGGACACTTGTAGAAGACTTCACAGTGAGAACCTTGAAGGCGAGACTTCAGAGCAGCCACATCAGAGTACACAACATTGCAACGTACACATCAAAAACCAACTCTCCTTGTGTAGTGCAGACAGTTCTTGGTGACGTGGGTCTGGAAGTGCACCAACCTGCAGATGGCCCTGCACTCAGGGCAGGTTTAAGGAGATTTGTGCTGATGGATTCTCTGCACTGGTTAGGAAGCAGCATCTGGCAGATAGTACAAGTCTTTTGTCCACTCATATCTGCAGCCTGCTGGAAATGTGTAGCCAGCGATGTCTTGTCCTGGAAGATTTCATTACACTCCAAACATTTTAGATTATGTCTACACAGCTTGGAGGGGTCTTCATCTAGGGGCATGGCTGTAGTGCTGGGAGTTCTTGAAGGAGCCGATATGACTGTCCCAGTTATGCCAGACTGAATTTTTGTGACAGTGTGTATGCCAGCTCCCACAGGGCTCTGAAGAGTGGATTTTTCCTCTGATGAAGAAGAAGTATTGGTTGATGGAGAAACTATCGTTTGACCTGCTGGGACTGGCTTTAAAATTGAGTAGGAACATTGCATTACCACCCCTTTCTCCTTATGCCCACGGGCATGGGAAAGGAGGCTGCATTTGTTGTAAAAAAACGAGGTTCTTTGTACAAAGGTTGCATGTTACTTCGATGCACACGCTCCATCTGTCATAGTGCTGGGTCAGACTCTTTTCAAGTTCAAAGGAGTCCCTACACTCCAAGCACTTGTACCAAGGCATCAGTAATGTGATCCCTGCATTGGCAGGAGGACTGAGGTTTGGGATGTAAATGGACTGGATTGACACTGCTCAGCACCTTGTTGAAAGTTTCCACCACAGAACTCTGCAAGGACGACACCACCCGGACTCGAGACACCTTTCTGGGGGCTTGTGAGGCTGCTGCATTAATTATTGCCTTCTTTATCTGTTGCTGAGTTTTGATTGACACTTGGCAGAGTTCAGAGGTGGCCTGGGCAACCTGAGGCAGAAGGTTAAGGTTGGCAAGATGCAGTCTTTGGCACAAGTTTGGCATTGGCCAGGCTGGATGCTGGCATCATGACAGTTTGCTGCTGGATGGCATTGGCAGCTTTAATGATGGTGCTGCTGGCACTCTGGACAGAGGCAGCAGGTACGACCGTGGCTTTCACCGTGGTGTTGTTAGCGAGCTTCAAATTAATGACTTGGGATCCTGCTGTCTTCACAGCAGACACTGGGAGGAAAGCAGTAGCCACAGGCTTGATTGTGACCTGTTTAGGGGTGGGCTCTGCAGAGGAAACTGCATTGGTCACCACTGCAGACTGGAGAGGCACCCTGGCGGGAGAGGAAAGGGTGGCAGCTGATGCGGGAGACGACAGAAGGGATGTCACAGAGGCCATCACAGACACCGTCTGCTCGGAAGGTTTCTTCCCAGAGTCAAGATCCACTTCTGGCAATACCCTGGTCACTGTTCTCTTGATTTCCCCAGAAGACGTCTTAGTGGTTTTTATGCGGACTTTGGGGATTGGTGGTGTGGACCCTGCGGGAGAAGCCGGGGTTCCTTTGATGCTGTTCTCACTTGAGATGTTTCTGGGACTATCCAGTTGCTTTAGGGATGTTTTTTTGGTCCCGTCGATGAGATTCTGGGATTCAGGAGACTTGTCGGCGGCTCTCGGACTGTCGTTTACTTCTTTTGATAACGAGGAGGATTCCCTCGAATTGGCCACTTGTTCTTTGGAGGAGTCTGATGCCACCTTTTTAGTGCTGAGAGCTGCGATGGCAGTGATGCAGGACAAGAAGTTGGAGAACGACTTTGTTTTTGATGGCGCAATGCCGGGGAGCCCAAAAATTTCATATACAGTCAAACAAACTTCATAAGCAAAGGAGAAGATACTTTTCAGACAAGCAAATGTTAAGGGAATTTATCACCACCAGACCTGCCTTAAAAGAGGTCTCTAAGGGAGTGTTAAATATAGAAACAAGCCAGGCGCAGTGGCTCACGCCTGTAATCCTAGCACTTCAGGAGGCTGAGGCAGGCGGATCACTTGAGCCCAGGAGTTCAAAACCAGACTGGGCAACATGGTGAAACCCTGTCTCTACAAAAAAATATAAAAATCAGCTAGGAATGGTGGTATGCGCCTGTGGTCCCAACCACTCAGGAGACTAAGGCAGGAGGATGGCTTGAGCCCAGGAAGCAGAGGTTGCAGTGAGCCCAGATCATACCATTGCACTCTGCCTGGGCAGCAGAGTGAGATCCTGTCTCAAAATAAAATAAAATAAATATGAAAACAAAAGACCATTACCAGTCATCACAAAAACACACTTAAATACATAGACCATTAATGCTACAAAGCAACTACAAAATCAAGTCTAGTCTGCATAATAACCAGCTAAAAATATATATATATAAGGACAGGATCAATTCCATACATAGAATTATTAACTTTGAATGTAAGTGGGCTAAATGCCCCAATTGAAATGCACAGAGTGGCAAGTTGAATAAAGAAGCGAGACCCACTTGGGTGCAATGGCTCATGTCTGTAATCCCAGCACTTTGGGAGACCAAGGTGGGCAGATCGCTTAAGCCCAGGTGTTCGAGACCAGCCTGGGCAACATGGGAAAAACTCATCTCTATAAAAAATATAAAATTAGTTAGGCACGGTGGCCTGCACTTGTAGTCCCAGCTACTCCAGAAGTTGAAGTGTAAAGATCACCTGAACTCAGGAGATTGAGGCTTCAGTAAGCCATAATTGTGCCACTGCATTCCAGCATGGGTGAAAGAGACAGAACGGTCTCAAAAAATTAAAAACAAACAAACAAACAAACAAGACCCAACTGTATGCCATCTTCAAGAGACCCATCTCACACATGCAATGACACAGATAGGCTCAAAGTAACGGGATGGAGGAAAATCTACCAAGTAAACAGAAAACAAAAACAAAACAAACAAACAAAAAATTAGCAGGGGCTGCTATTCTAATTTCAGACAAAACAGACTTTAAGTCAACAACAATCAAAAAATACAAAGAAGGGCATTACATAATGGTAAAGTGTTCAATTCAACAAGAAGACTTAACTCTTCTAAATATATATGCATCCAACACAAGAATTATGTGTGCACCCAGGGAGCACCCAGATTCATAAAAACAAGTTCTTAGAGACCTGTGAGGAGACTTAAATTTCCACACAATCATAGTGGGAGACTTCAACCCTCCACTGACAGTATTAGACAGATCATCAAGGCAGAAAACTAAAAAATATATGACCTGAACTCAACACTTGACCAAATGGAACTAACAGACATCTACAGAATTCCCCACCCCAAAACAACAGAATATATATTATTCTCATCACCACGTGGTGCATACTCTAAAACTGACCACACAATCAGACAAAAAACAATTCTCAAAAAATTTTTAAAAATTGAAATCATACCAATTACACTCTCAAACCACAGCACAATAAAAATAGAAGCAAATACTAAGAAGATTGCTCAAAACCATAAAATTACATGGAAATTGAACAACCTGCTCTTGAATGACTGCTAGGTAAATTATGAAATTAAGGCAGAAATAAAGCTTCAAAACCAAAGAAAAAAAAGATAAGACATACCAGAATCTGTGTGACACAGCTAAAGCACTGTTAAGAGGAAAGTTTATAGCATTAAATGCTCATGTCAAAAAGTTAGAAAGATCTCCAATTAACAACATAGCATCACACCTAGAAGAACTAGAAAAACAAGATCAAACCAACCCTAAAACTAGAAGAAGACAAGAAATAACTGAAATCAGAGCCGAACTGAAATAAAGTGATGCATGAAAAAACATACAAAAGATCAATAAAACCAGAAGTTTTTTTTAAAGACTAAATAAGATAGCTAGAACGCTAACTAGACTAACAGCAGAAGAAAGAGAAAATCCAAATAAACACAATCAAAATTGACAAAGGAGACATTATCAATGACCCTACAGAAATACAAAAACTCTGAGACCATTATGAACACCTCTAGGCACACAAACTAGAAAACCTACAAAATGTGGAAAAATTCCTGAAAACACAACTCCCCAAAATTGAACCAGGAAGAAACTGAAACCCTGAACAGACTAATAATGAGTTTTGAAATTGAATCAGTAATAAAATAATTTCCATCTAATTTTATGATTTTGAGCAAGAAAAAGCCCAGGATCAGATGAATTCACAGCCAAATTCTACCAGACGTATAAAGAAGAGCTGCTACCATCCCTGCTTGAAACTATTCCAAACAATTGAGGACCAGAGACTCCTCACTAACTCATTCTATGAGGCAAGCATCATTCTGATACCAAAGCCTGGCAGAGACACAGCAAAGAAAAAACTACAGGCCAATATCCTTGATGAACACAGATGCAAAAATCCTCAACAAAATACTAGCAAACTGAATCTACCAGCACATCAAAAAGCTAATCCACCATAATCAAGCAGGGTTTATGCCTGGGATGCAAGGTTGGTTCAACATATGCAAATCAATAAATGTGACTTATCACATAAACAGAACTGAAAACAAAAACCACATAATCATCTCAATAGATGCAAAAAAGACTTTTGATAAAATTCAACATCCCTTTATGTTAAAAACCCTTAATAAACTAGGTATTGAGGGAACATACCTCAAAATAATGAGAGCCATTTATGACAAACCCACGGCCAACATCACACTGAACAGGCAGAAGCTGGGATCATTCCCCTTGAGAAGTGGAACAAGACAAGGATACCCACTCCCATCACTCCTATTTAACACAGTACTAGAAATCCTAGCCAGGACAATCAGGCAAGAGAAAGAAGTAAAGGCATCCAAATAGGAAGACAGGAAGTCAAACTATCTCTGTTTGCAGATAACATGATTTTATACCTAGAAAACCCCATAGTCTCTGCCTAAAAGCTCCTAGATCTAATAAACAACTTCAGCAAAGTTTCAGGATACAAAATCAAGGTACACAAATCAGCAGTATTTCTATACACCAACAATATCCAAGCTGAGTGCCAAATCAAGAATGCCATTTAATTCACAATAGACACACACACACACACACACACACACACACACACACACAAATACCAAGGAATAAAGGGAACCAGGGAGGTGAAAGATCTCTACAACAAGAAAACAAGAATTACAAAGCACTGCTGAAAGAAATCAGAGCTGACCCAAACAAATCGAAAAACACTCCATGCTCAAGGATAGAAAGAATCAATATTGTTAAAATTGCCACATACTATCAAAAGCAATCTCTAGATTCAATGTTATTCCTATCAAACTACCAATGTCATTTTTCACAGAATTAGAAAAAAAACCTATTCTAAAATTTATAAGGAACTAAAAAGGAGCACAAATCACCAAAGCAATCCTAAGCAAAAAGAACAAAGCGGGAGGCATCACACTACCTCACTTCAAACTATACTACAAGGCTACAGTAACCAAAACAGCATGGTATTGGTACAAAAACAGACACATAGACCATTAGAAAAGGATAAAGAACCCAGAAATGAAGCCACACGTCTACAACTAACTGATCTTTGGCAAAGGTGACAAAAATAAGCAATAGGAAAAGGGCTTCCTATTCAATAAATGATTCCAGGATAACTGGCTATCTAGATGCCAGAATGAAACTAGACCCCTACTTATCACCATATACAAAAATTAACTCAAGAGGGATTAAAGACTTAAATGTAAGACTTCGAACTATAAAAACTCCCAGCACTTTGGGAGGCCAAGGCAGGTGGATCACCTGAGCTAAGGAGTTCAAGACCAGCCTGGGCAACATGGTGAAACCCCACGTTTACCAAAAAAAATACGAAGAATTAGCTGGGCGTGGTGGCACACGTGCCTGTGGTCCCAGCTATTCAGAAGGCTGAGGTGGGAAGATTGTTTGAGCCTGGGAGGTGGAGATTGCAGTGAGTCAAAATCTCATCACCACACTCCAGCATAAGGGACAGAATGAGACCCCTCTCAAAAAAGAAAAAAAATTCTGGAACTAGAGAGTGTTAAGAATGTCCTAAATGTCACCAAATGATACACTTTAAAGTGCTTAATCTTATGTAAATTTTTCCTCAATTTAGAAACTTTTTCAAATTCTTGAAAAAAAGAACTACGTAACATATATAAATATATACATAAACATAATATATATAGTATAAACATTTATAGCATACATATGTAATCTCTCTGCCATTTTGGGCTACCTTAACAAATAAGGCAGAAGCAACACATAAAAATTAAATATAAATATATGTACATATACACACACATAAATATGCATATTTATAAATTTAGAAATATAGAACATAGGTGACTATTCAAGGAAACATATATTTATGAGCATATAAATATATAGGTAACATACATAAATATATTTAATATAGAAATTTACACATATATATGTAGCACTCTGCCACTCTGGCATACTTTGCTCATACAAGGTAGAAGCAAACATATATACTCACATACATGTGTATGCACACACATAGGTATGTTTTTATATATGTACATACAACTACTTATATTTATTAATATATATAGAAATACATAAAAAGCGTAAAATATACATAAGGGTATTGTTAAATTGAATTATCTTTGTCCTAAAGCTGCCTCCATACTTATTTTAAGTTTGGCCTAATGAGTTCTCTATACATAGCTAGTTGAAACCTAACTTAATGTGTAAAAATAACTAACTTAACCCAAGACTGTAGTCTTATAACATGTAACTATGTCTCAGCCAATGAAAACAGCTGAGCCTTCAGCCAATCAGAGGCTGAAAGCTGCCAAAACATGACTATATAAGGTAAATGCCAACAGCAGCCAATCAGGCTGTTTCCGTGCACTTCTTTTTCTCTAGCTGTAAATATAACCTGCACATACGGTGGCATGGAGTGTTCTGAGCCATTTTTGGTGCAAACTGATGCCTGATTCCTAAATTGTTTCTTTGCTCAAATAAACTCTGCTAAATTTAATGTATGTAAAGGTTTTTTTTTTTTTTTTTAACAGATTCGTGTAGGAAATGCAATCTGAAGTAGAACTTCCATCAAACCCCAGAAGCATGGAGTGGCCAAGCACAGCGACCCACCAGGCCCATTGTGCACACAGATCTCTCACAGCAGCAGGGGTCCTGGGCAAGTTCTCTCTCAAATTTTGAAGCTCCAAGAATTTGTGTTTTGAGCTATGCATTTGTTTAAGCCAATTTTTTTATCCAGACTGGGTTTCAAAGTTGATTCTGAAATAATAAATAAAAGCTAAATAAGATCTTTAAACTAAATTTGTTGTAATTTTGTCTTTTGAGAGTTCTGGCAAGCTGAATGGGATCCACCTCCCAAGACCCCTTGAGGAAAGCAGGAAAGACACTGCTGGCCCCTTTGCCCTCCTTCTGAGGTTGTACATTCCTCTTAGGCCAGACTCTGTTCTTTTTGCATTGAACCTTGATCCTTTTGGGTTTCAAATCCAGGGTTTTGTGCTGTGAGAGGGCAAATTATCTTGGGATGGGTGCCAATGGCCAGTTTCTGCTGTGAGATAATATACGGCCTTTTGAGGTTTGGGTAGCTGACGAGTCATTGGCAAAAACTTGACTGAGTCCAGCATCAAATTGGATTTGATTGTGAACTGCATTGGATCGAGGTAGGAGGCCACTCAGTCTGATGATCAGATGGAAACTGGACTGGGTTCAGTAGATAGATAAGTTTGGCCTCCCTCAAGATAACCTAGAGTTACAGTGGTGACAGTGGGGAAACCCTTACAAAGGTAAATAGGTGCGTGTCTTCCCAGTTACAACAACTGCAGGGATTGAGAGTACTTGTACTTGTGCATGCAAACTAAACACCCCTGTGCCCTAAGATGTCTGCCTTTTTTGCAAATAGCCAGGCCACTGGAAAAAGAATTGTCCACTTTTACAGCAGCCATCTCACGGGTCATCCCTTTGGCCTGGACTGTTTCCCCACTAAGGGAAGCCCTCAAAGGCATCACTCTTGGGACAACTATCGACTAATCTAATCAGCCCTCCCTGTTTTCTCTCTCTCTCTCTTTGATCCTGCTTCTCCCATGGGAACCTCTCAGTTGACTGAAACCACTCTTTTCCAACCCTTGCTGCCACTTCTTTCTTATTGTCATGAACTTTGCCATGTTCCCGAAGTCTTACTTAGTGAAAATAAGCCTTTCTGACTTAATTTCCTTGTTGAGAAGGGTGGCCAGCAGCCAGGCTAGTGATAAAATTAATTAAATATGCCACCGAATTAATTCCTACAGTGTTAAAAGAGAAGCACCAACAATGTCAGTGACCATGTAACATGGATTTAAGCTACAAGTCATAGAACTGTGATAAGAAGCCTCAGCGCTGTAAAACAGAGGGTGGAGGAAAGCATTTCCTCTCTCAAATGAGCTTTGCCGGGTATACTTCTTGAAGAGTAGGAAGTTGAAGTGTTCAGGACTTTTATATCTATTCTACTTTGGCTTAGTTTAAATGATTCTTAGTTTATTAGCCTAGAAATGGCCAAGAAAACTTAAGTCTCAATAATTAGTTATAAATGTGAAATATCCCCAATTTTTAAGATAAAAACAACTTATAAATGTATTTGTAAAAATTGCGTATATTTTTAGAGAGCGTGTATTTCTTTAAAACGGAGGGGAGTCTCTCATTTATATTAGTTTTCTTCATACCCTTTTGAACTTTGCAATTCCTATGTGTAGGAACCTATTTCTTACAGTTTTTCTACGCTAAACTCTGTCCTGGTCAGTTCTAGCGTGTACGAAGAACCAAATGATGTAATTGTATGCGACCTGGCTGTAGTGGAACAAATTTGACTCTTAAGTATGCAGGCTCTAATTTTCCTGTCTGATTTTTGTAAGTATTCCTTAGATAGGTTTTTTCTTTGAAAATCTAGGATTGAGAGGTTGATGAATGAAAATTAATCCTTTCACTTTGTTGTATATAGGTTTGCAATAACTAGGTCAGAGTAGAGTTTTTAGGTCATGAAGGGGGTTGATGACTTACAAATAATGGGCTCTGATTGGGCAACTACTCATCTGAGTTCCTTCCATTTGACCTAATTAAGCTTGTGAAATTTACACTAAGCCACGAGCTCATCTTTAAAAAGCTTTTACTAAAAGATTTTCAGCTGTTCCAAATGGGACTTATTAGTGGAATGTGTTTTAAAGAATCATATCAGATGAATGAAAGGTATTTGATCCTTTATTTCCTAAATAATTAAATGATGGCTAGAGTCTAACCACAGTGCTATTATTAGGCTTTCTTGTTAAACATAGGTCTGAGCCTAAGTACGTCAATACAACAAATACTTACTGTTTCGTTTCTATTAATGAGAAAAAAAAAAAAAAAAAACAAGTCTTTCTGGCATAATGATGATTTTCATCTGGTTATTTTGAAACATTTTTGTAAAATAAATTTACATCTATAAAGAAAATTTTTATTTGTAAGGAGGGGTATGTCTCTGTGCACTGGAAGAGAGGAAGGACTAAATTACTGGGAAGTCTTATGATAAAGAAGCCATTGGCTTAAATCAGCAAAGCAAGCCGTCCCTTGGTTTAAGGTGTTTTTCCTGGCCATCCTGTCTTGACTAGAACTTTACCTACACGCTCCTTTTTGGTTTAGGCAAATGATAGTATCTAAACCTGAAGTCTCAACACTGTGCCTTTGAGATATAAACATTCTACCATGTCTTCTCTGGAACCTGATAACTATCTGTCTCTTTAAAATGCAAGTCTAGGGAGATGACTCATCAGAAAAAGAAGAAAAAAGAGGTATTTGGAAATTGTGCAAATTAAAGCAGCCCCTGATGCCAAAGTCTACACATTCCTGAGTGAGTCAGTTCTGGCCAGTTCTAGCTGGATCAAGAGAGCCCTGCTGGGCAGGCCTGAAGAGCACCTGAATGGCAGACACCTGAGGAGCCAGGTGCCTGAAACTTCCTCCACCTGCCTGAGGAGCACCAAAGCCCAGGCTGGCTAGACAACCCCTTCTGGCTGCCTAAGCAGGTGGCAGAGGAAGGAAACAAGGTCAGAGGCAGAGTGTTGAACCCTGCCTCCCAGGTGGGTGGAAGATGCCTGTCGCCAAACTAGGGCCCAGCTTGCCAGGTGAGGTGGGTGAACTGGTGATCCCCCGAGAGAGTGGACGTCAGAACTATATGGTCCCAGACTTCACCTCAGCCAGCAAAGGAGAGAGAGGGTTAATGTTAACTGCACGAGGCCCACTCTAGCCTTAAATTCTGTAATGCAAACCCTTCCCTTGGAGACAAAACAAACATGACAAGGAATTCTGAGGTCAGGGGACAAGAACCACAAGTTCCCTAGTGGGAGACTGAGGAGGCAGTGTCCTTCCTGCCATTGGTCTACTGGCTAAGAACCTTCCTCAGCCTGACCTTTCCACATTGCACTTTCAGCTCTGTTTGCAATTTTCCTCCTTTAGTGCTGAGGGAATCCCAGTGTTTGATCCTGAAATCTATAGGTTCCTAATGGGTGGTTAAAAAAAACCTCAGCGAGAGAAGCAGAAAATGTTTCCTCTTCCTGAAAAACTGTAGAAAGGCAGGCACCATTCTGGGTGAGGACATGGTCCTTGCAAATGTCTTTTTTATGTTTTTTATTTTTTTTATTTTGAGATGAAGTTTTGCTCTTGTTGCCCAGACTGGAGTGCAGTAGTGCGATCTCTGCTCACTGCAACCTCCGCCTCCTGGGTTCAAGCAATTCTCCTACCTCAGCCTCCCAAGTAGCTGGAATTACAGGCACCTGCCACCACACCTGGCTGATTTTTGTATTTTTAGTAGAGATGGGGTTTTGCCATGTTGGCCATGTTGGTCTCAAACTCCTGACCTCAAGTGAGCCACCTGCTTCTGCCTCTCAAAGTGCTGGGATTACAGGAGTGAGCCACCGCGTCCAGCCTGCAGATGTCTTTAAAGACAGCGTTTCAGAGGCTGTGACAGTGCCCTGTGAATGTGCCAAATCTCGCAGTCCCGGGAGCTCTGAGGGGCAGGCCCAGCTCCTTGCCAGGCTGATGGTACTGAAACCCTGCTCTCCAAGACATAACTGATGGCCCTGCAAGATTTCTTAATCGACTGTGGACCGTGAGAACCTGCATCTCATTTTAATTAAGACAGGAAAAGAAAGAACAAAAGAGCAACTCCCAGGTTATAGAGAAACTGGATTTTAGTATAATATTCAAGTGTAGCACTGCTAATAATAACAAACCTTTCCCCTCCCAAACGGTAAACACTTGCACTGCCTATTATACAAAAATTCAACCACCCCTCTGTTCCCCCCATATCTCCTCCCCAGTGACACCCCCCCCCTCATGTGGCCTCATGAGCCTGGCCAGTGGTGAATGGCACTTTCAGGGGCATGAGACTTCACGTGAGTGGGACTCAGCTGGGACCCCTCTCCAGGTGGGAGCCGGAGAAGCTGCCCTAGTACCAGCTCAAAGTGTCCGTGATGTCCCTGCTGCTGAGGTAGGGGCCGCCTCTGAGCTGGTCTCGGGGTGTGAGCTGCTGCTGGTAGTGGGCTCTGCCCTGAGGGCCTGGTGGCTGGTCGGAAGGGCAGGCACACATGGGTGCCTCCCCAGGGACCCAGGCCACCTCCCCACCACAGCCCTGCACTGTGTGCTCCAGGCATGTGCTGAGTGCCTGGTCAATCACCAGTGCCCCATTGATCCCAGTCTCCAGAGAGAGCATTTAGTGTCACTCCACAGAGGGGGAAACTGAGGCCCAGAGAAGTAAGGTGACTCTCCCCAGTCACAGGGCTGGTCAGCAGTAGGATGGGAGGCTAGTCCCTTGCTCTCTGACTCCCTGAGCCCACCCATAGCCCAAGGCAGCCAATCTCTGCCCGCCCTGGTTCAGGCCCCGACTGGCCCCTGTGGTGGGTGATGTCTACCTTCCTGGCCTTTGTGCTCCCAGCCAACTGGGATGGAGCCTCCAGCTGGCATGACAGGTTGTAGCTATGGACAGAAGAGTGGCTGTGAGGCTGCCAGGAATCTCACCAGGGCCCCCTCCCAGGGCCTGTGCAGAGTGAGGTCTGGGTACCCCAGGCATTGCCAGACCACAGGATCTGATGTTGGCCAAGAGGCCATGGCCACAGGCTTTCTGAGGCTGGCCCCCAGGGAGAGTTCAATCCTAGTGTCCCAATTCCTGCCCTGGCCTTACCTCTCAGTCTCACCGAGCTGCTTCATCGTCCCAAACCAGGACCCAAAGTGCTGCTTGGGCTCAAGGTTGTAATTATTTGCAGCCAACTGGAGCAGCGGACCTCCTTGCTTACTTTGAATTCCTGGGTCCAGAGGGAAAAAGTGGGTGGTGACAGGGACTGGACAGGGATGCCACAGGGGCCCTGTGGGGGTGTTAGATGGGGTGGTGGCCAGTCTTTGCTCATAGGGCACCCCCTCCTCCTCTCCAGTCCTGTCCCCACCTGTTCTCAGAGCTGGCTCAAACAGCAACTCCTCCAGGAAGGTGTCCTTGGTTTCAACCTGGTACTCCCACCTGCACGTCTTCCTGGAGTGTCTCCTCTTTCTCTCTGTATCCCCATAAATCTAAGATGAGGGGGATGGATTTGCCCACCGCTACTCACCTTATGACTCTTGTGAGGTTGATCAGTCTCCCCTGGAAGGCCAACAGCTGAAGTCCATCAGAAAGGGTCCTCTGGCCCAGAGCCAGCCCCTGCCCACCCCTGTCATGCTGCACCCAGGGTGCAAGACCCAGATCAGGTCTGGGTGACAGGAGGGGGATAGAGGGGCTGAGGCTCAGGGGCCTTCTAGCCTAACTTGTCTGGAGACAGCTGGGGAAACTGAGACCCCAAGCAGGGAGGTATGGCTCCAAGAGATTATTCTCATTAACCTGAAACATTTTTGCAAGCTGTTAGGTATAGGAAGTCTGTCACAGGTAAGAGAAACGCTTTTTGAGAGCATGAGAGACAGCAGGGTTGTGATAATATTGAAGCACCACTGTGCAGATTCACCGATTGCCACCACCGGGAGCCCCCCTGAGAGCCATTGCAGATGCACAGCCCTCCCCTGCAACCCCTGGACCTCCCCATGGTCTGGCACCTAAAGGGTTACGTCTCATGGCAGGAATCAGGGCCCTCAGGATGCCCTGCCCACTCCAAAGTCTGCCTCTGCTCTGATTGGTCGCTGACATTCAGATTGTCACCCAAATATAAGGACGTTAGCAGAAAGACCCATGCAATACAAGTGGACTCAGACATAGATAGGAATTGGGTTGCAAAAAGCCCCTTTTGTTTATTTTATTTTGGAAAAAAATTTTATTGTGAAAATTCACATATATATATAAAAAATTCAATCAATACAAAAGGATAGACAATGAACAAATGAATTCCCCTTCCACTCCAGATCCCCACCCCAGATCCAGACCTCCTGAGCCCACTTTCCCCATCTCATCACAGATCCAGACCTCCTGAGCCCACTTTCCCCATCTCATCACAGATCCAGACCTCCTGAGCCCACTTCCCCCATCTCACCACAGATCCAGACCTCTTGAGCCCACTTTCCCGATCTCATCACAGATCCAGACCTCCTGAGCCCACTTTCCCCATCTCATCACAGATCCAGACCTCCTGAGCCCACTTCCCCCATCTCATCACAGATCCAGACCTCCTGAGCCCACTTTCCCCATCTCATCACAGATCCAGACCTCCTGAGCCCACTTCCCCCATCTCATCACAGATCCAGACCTCCTGAGCCCACTTCCCCCATCTCATCACAGATCCAGACCTCCTGAGCCCACTTCCCCCATCTCATCACAGATCCAGACCTCCTGAGCCCACTTTCCCCATCTCATCACAGATCCAGACCTCCTGAGCCCACTTTCCCCATCTCATCACAGATCCAGACCTCCTGAGCCCACTTCCCCCATCTCACCACAGATCCAGACCTCTTGAGCCCACTTTCCCCATCTCATCACAGATCCAGACCTCCTGAGCCCACTTTCCCGATCTCATCACCAGTGATTTCTTGGGCCCTGCATTAGTTTTCTATTGCTGCTGCAACAAACAGCTACAGACTCAGTGGCTTCCATTTCTGTCTTATAGTTCTGATTGCCAAAAGTCCTAAGAGGATCTCACCAGGCTAAAGTCAAGGTGCTGGCGGGGCTGTGTCCCTTCTGGAGGCTCAAGGAAAGAATCGGGTCCCTGCCTTTTCTAGCTTCTAGGGGCTCCAGCTTCTAGGTTTGTGGCCTCCTTCCTCCATCCTCAAAGCCAGCAACAGCAGGTGAAGTCCTTGCCCATCGTGCATCACTCTCCCTTCTGCCTCCTTCAACTTTTTTTTATATTTAGGGGGAACGAGTACAGGATTCTTACATAGTCAAAAAGCTCCTTATAGAGAAGCTCGGAACTTTCAATACAGCTTTGCATTTTTTACCATTTTAATTTTCCATTTAATTTAAATGTATTCTCTCATTTGACCTTCATACTCTGTGGAGAAATATTTCTATTTTGGCTTGTATTGACAAGCTGTTTTCACACAGCCCCCACATCACCCAACCACCCAGCAGAGATCCTCATTCCCATGAAACAGATAAAGAAATTGAGACCCAGGGAGGCTAAGAGTCCTGGCAGGATCATTCACCTTCCAAGGTAAGGAGCCAGTTCCAGACCTGGGTTTGTGCAGCTCCAAGCTCCCCCGTCTTTCTACAATGCTAGATTTAGACTATAGCAATCTAGCAAGTGTGGCCACACAATGGTCAAGTTGGATTTAGATGATGTTCTCTATAAATCCATTCTCCTCTCCCGTGTAAGCAAGGCAAAGTACTCCAGGCCATGGGGAGTCCCTGAAGACTCGATGAACTGCAATGGCCATATCAGGAGGTTGCAGGTTGACCAGAACTCACCGACACAGCAGGAGAGCAGCTTGGAACCTTCAACCCAGCCAAGACCCAGTGCCTTGGACTGGGGGAGAAAACATGCAGCCATTCCTCTCTCTCTCTGCTGGCTAGAGGGGATTCTGGCTTTTCCTGCCAGAGCCACCCCTTTCCCTCCTCCTAAAGTTGATGGTGGTTCTTTAAGGAAAGGGAGAAGTGCACGGTGTGATAGGGCAGGAAGAGAAGAAAACGGAGGAGAAGAGGGGACTTTCCCATAAGCAGGCAGAAGAAACGGCAGCTGTGTTGTGTGATGGACATGGATGCAGCGGTGTCCAATGTGGGGTCAGCCCTAGAGGAGAGACAGAGAGAGAGACAGACAGTGAGAGAGTCCTGGCCCTTATGATTAACATGGGATCTGCCTGCAAATGCTGTTTAGGGCCATCGCCTCTTCCTGTACTGCTATTTTTGAGAGTGATGCTCCTGAGTCCCATGACCCAGTCAAATTTCATGTCCCCTTGAGCCAGATTCAGTGCTGGGAGTCCAGTGTGATCTGCCTGGATCTTGCTGCACTGAGAATAGGGCAGATCTTGATCCCAATACAGGGGCTGGATATGAACAGGCAACAGCTGGGTTTCTGAATCAGAAAGACTTGGTTAATTGCTAATTGCTTAGGTGAGTAATTTAATTTTGTTGAGTCAGATTCCTCAGCTATAAAATGCAGATGACAATACTTATTCCTCCAGGTTGTGGGGAAAATGGAGACTCTAAGCACGATGTCCATTTCACAGAAAGATACCAATTTGGTGGCTTATTTTTCTTTCTACCTTCAGAAGTGGCTATCCCTGCCACCCAAACAGACCCTTGACTCTCAAGTGGATGTCCCATTTGCACAGGGGGAGACCTGACAGCCTACGTTGAGTCTATACTTACCACTTAGTGAGCATTGTATCCACTCAGGGGCCTCTGTGGGCATCCGTCTCCTCTGCAGCATCTTTCCTCCCCACAGCTGGGTCTGCACATGACCCCCTCCTTGGGTTAGGCCTCTGATCAGTGATGACCTTGGTATGGTGGTGATGGTCAGTCTTGGCATCAAATGAGCCAGTTTATATCATCAGCTATTCAATAAAACACTAATCTAGGTGTCACCGTGAAAGTATTTTGTGACATTGTTATGTACATGTTGTTACAAATGTGCATGATGCATTTACTACAGTATAGAATTTTGCCTGGGTGCCAGCCTGAAGTCTGTCTGACAGATCATAGCCATGTTAGTCCAATAGTCACAGGGGCCAATTGATTAAATTATTTTATCTCCCTTGAGAACTAAAAATGAAACCCTAAGCCCCCCACCCGACTTAACAGACCCCCTGTTGGCCAACGGAACCTCAAATAAATCTTAAAATTCAGTTCTTGGCCATGACAGGACAGGAGGTCAGACATAACTCCCTGTACCTCTCTCCCTCTTATGGTTTAGACCCAACAACTGAACAGCATTAACGTTAAAATAGAGATCATGAGACTGACAGAACAGACTCTTTGTGGCAATAAGACCCCAAATTATAAACAGGACCTAGGGCCATGCCAGGCAAGGGTTAAGTCTTGTACCCTACTCTTAAAGAATAAACTAGATTCTAACTACCACATAGTTTTTATTTTTCTCTAGCAGCCAAGCAAGCACTGGCTATGAGAGAAGCAAGATTAAAACAATTACAACTCACCCAGTTCACAGACACTGAGTAACTGATCTCCTGCCCCACCGACCTTAACGACAGCTTTCACTGGACAAGGGACTGATTTCAGTAACTTTCTCCTGATAAGAGACCATCCTCCATGGACTGGTTCTGGCCAGTTTTAGAGGCTGTGCCTTTACAGAGGCTGAGTACCTTCATTCCCTGCTTCACTTTTTGATGTGTAGGGCCTAATTATAACACATTTAAATGTCAAGTCTCCACCCCAGAATGAACATGCATGTTTATTCAATATGCATGTGTTAGGACCTCTTTTATGAGTATTCTCATAAAATGATATAGCTCCTCTGATATCCTATTGAGTATGTATATGTAGTCAACTCATTCAGCTCAAATTCCTGTCCTCTCCTTCCCTCCCTGGAAGGGCCTGCCTCTAGCCTTGGCTGTAGGCCACACTTCCCAGCCTGTCATAATGGCCACCTTGCAGGCTGCAAACCTTTATAAGAAATAAAGCTCTCTTTTCTAAATTTATAAAATTGTGTGATTTTTCAGTTGATGCTCTCTTTCTACACACACACACACACACACACACACAATTTATACAGAAAGAAATCTGGAGAATATATGTGGGAATGGATATTAAGTGTGTGGCACCATGGTGGAAGTAACACAAAGTTGGAGTAGGCTAAATTTATTAATGTTGGCCCACTAAACAGAGATTCTGGATTCAGGGTTGTAGGTCAAAGTTTTAGAAAGGGCTCCAAGGGTTGGTTTGATCGGTTACTTGGTTGGTTGGTTGGTTGCTTGCTTGCTTGCTTGCTTGTTTGGTTGGTTTGTTGCTTGCTTGCTTGTTGGTTGATTGGTTGGCTGTTTGCTTATTTGTTTTGTTACTTGGCTGGTTGGCTGAAACAGAATCAGAGTTTACCTAAAGTACATAAAGTTGAGATGTCACAACTTCCTTGGTTTATGTGTATAGGAAGGTATGCAAAAACTCAGGGAGACTGGATTTATTATGTCAGACCTGCTCACTCACACTGGAGGGTCTACAGAACATACTTCTCACAACGATCATGAGAAAGAATATTGTGAGAGGAGCCCAGTATCCTGGAAGAGCTTTGAGCTCGTGCTCTCAGTAGGCAAAATGTTACAGCAGAAACTGCAGCCACTGGACTGGGATCTTTAAATAAAATGAGGATAATTGAATCCTGGGGTGGCAGGGAACATGGGCTGTCCTTAATCACCAAAGATGAGGTGGGTGTGGTCACTACAGTGGAAAGCAGTGTCAAAGCAGCAGTCAGAATGGTTTGACTCACAGAAACCCATGGCATTGTGTAGTCCATGGTATCCACAGGGAGAGCTAATGGGCTGTACCAAAGTCTTAGTTGTTTTTTAAAAAATGAAGAATTCTAGGTCAACTGAATAAAAGACTAACTCAAATTAATGAAACACAGATCTAAACCCTCAATCAATTCCCAGACTTGAGCCAGTTCACAGGCCCACAACCCCTAAGTGAAGGGGAGGCTGGGTGATCTTGGGGAAGTACGCTGCTACATTGCCAAAAACTTACATAGTTAATCTTTTTCCCAGTCTTCCCCAAAGGGACCTACAGCCTTCTACCAGGATGACTGTGACTTAGAGAAAAGAAAATTCTCAGATATTTGGGGAATTCTGGACACTGGCTCTGATTTGACAGGAATTCCCAGAGACCAAAAACATCACTGTGGTCCACCAGAGTAGGGACTTATGGAGGTTAGCTGGTGGATGGAGTGTGAGCTCATGTCTGTTTCACAGTGGATCCAATGTGTCCCTGAACCCACCCTGTGGTTGGAATAGACACATACTCAGCAACTTTCAGCATCCCTACATTTGTTGTTTCACCTACGGACTGAGGACAAGTATGATAGGAAAACCCAGTTATGAGCCACTAGGACTGGTTTCACCTAGTAAAAGAGTAAACCAAAAGCAAGAGTGCATTGAGTGCTATGTAAATGCTCTCCAAAGGGTGGCCTTGGCAGAGAAGGATTTCAATAATCAAGCAGATAGGATGACCTGTTCTGTGGACACCACTCAGCCTCTTTCCCCAGCCACCCCTGTCATTGCTCAATGGGCTCATGAATACAGTGGCCATGGTGGCAGGGGTGGAGGTGATGCCTGGGCTCTGCAACATGGACTTCCACTCCCAAGGTAACCTGGCTGTGACTCTGAACCACCTCCATCATAGAAGAGGCAGTGTCTTGTTCTCACTGAAACAGACACTATGTATGAGAATTTCCCCTCCTACCCTCAATGTTCCTATCACCACTGATAAATTGTACTTCATAAAAATCACACTACTGTCTGGACTTACAGAGTGCCTTATCCACCTCATGGTCTCCCACACCAATTGGTTCTCATCATCACTATTACCCCTAGTGACACACCAGCAAAATTTTCATTTCCTGTCCCTCAATCTTATGCTCTGCTGGTCTAGAAGTCTTGGTCCCAAAAGGAGGAATGCATCCCCCACGATACAAAGAAATGATTCTACTGAACTGGAAGTTAAGATAGTCCCTGTCCACTCTGAGCTCCTCATGCCTCTGAATAGACAGGCAAAGAAGGGAGTTACCGTGCTGGCAGAGGTGGTTGATCCTGACTACCAAGGGTTAATTGCTTCTACTCCACAGAACTAAGAAATAATACTTCTGGAATACATGGGATCTCCTAGGGTGTCTTCAGTGCTACCTACTACCATGCCCTGTGATTAATTTAATGGAAAACTACAACAACCCAATTCGGGCACAGCTGCCAATGGCCCAATTCCTTCAGGAAGGAAAGTTTGGGTCATTGCCCCATATAAAGAATCAAGACCAACTGAGTTGCTTGCTGAAAGCTAAGGGAATACAGAATGCGTAGTAGAAGAGGGTAGTTATAGTTACTAACTAGGAACATGTGACCAGATACAAAAATGAGGACAGTAATTGTTGTGACTTTGACAAGGGAGACAAGGCAATTCAATGGGGAGTGAATAGTCTTTTCAAAAATGTCCTGGGACAGATTGATGTTCACATGTACAGACTGAAGTTAGTCCCCTCCCTCACACCATTTATAAAAGTTAACCCTAAATGGATCAAAGACCTAAATATAAAAGCCAAAAGTTTAGTACACGTAGGAGAAAATATGGGACTGAGGCTTTGTGACCTTGGGTTAGGCAATGATTTTATGGATATCATACCAAAACCACAAGTATAATAGAAAATATAGATAAGCTGTACTTTATAAAATTCACAAATATTCCTGTATCAAAGTAGACTTTCAAGAAAATGAAAAAATAATTACAATGTGAGATAAAATGTTTGCAAACCCTATATCTAAGAAGAGAATTGTATAAGAATATGTTTGGGCCGGGCGCGGTGGCTCACACCTTGTAATCCCAGCACTTTGGGAGAACAACGTGGGTGGATTACGAGGTCAGGAGATTGAGACCATCCTGGCCAACATGGTGAAACCCCGTCTCTACTAAAAATACAAAAATTAGCCGGGTGTGGTGGTGCATGCCTGTAGTCCCAGCTACTCAGGAGGCTGAGGCAGGAGAATCACTTAAACCCGTGACGCAGAGATTGCAGTGAGCCAAGATCGTGCCACTGCACTCCAGCCTGGCAACAGAGTAAGACTCCGTCTCAAAAAAAAAAAAAAAAAAAAAAAAAAAAAAAAAATATATATATATATATATATATATATATATATATATATATATATATATATATACATGTTTGAACATTCACAAGTCAATAGTAAAAAAGAAAATAACACGATTTTAAAATGGGGAGACAATCTGAATAGACATTTCTCCAAAGAAGATATACAAGCAGCCAATAAACATGAAAACATGCTCAATCTTATAACTCATTTAAACAATGCAAATCAAAACCAATGAGAAAGCACTCCACATCCATCAGGAAGGCAATAACTAGAGAGACAGATAACAATAAGTGTTTGTGAGAATGTGTGGAAACTGGACCCCTCGACATTGCTGGCAGGAATATAAAATGATGCTGTCCTTTGAAAAGCAGTCTGGCACTTTGTCAAAAAGTGAAACACGGGGTTGCCATATAATATAGCAATTGCACTCCTAGATCTGGAGAAATGAAATCATGTGAAAAGCTTGTATGTGAACGCTCAGAGCAGCATTATTTAGAACAGCCAAAACGTGGAAACGACCTAAATCCCATAAACTGCAGAAGAGATAGATAAAATACGGTGTAGGTAAGTAACAGAATAGAAGTCAAACATAAAAAGTAACAAGCTACTGATACATACCATGAACATAAATGAACCTTGCAAACTTTGATAGAAGCCAGTCACATAAGACCCAGTGTTGTGTGACTTCATTTATATGAATGGTCTAGAATAGGCAAATCCATAGACTGAAAGTGATTACGGATTTCCTAGGGCGGGGCAGATCAGGGAAATGGGCAGTGGCTGCTGATGGGTAGTAGTTTCTTCTGGAGTGATGAATGTTCTAAAACGATGGTGATGGATACACAACTCTGTGAATATATACAAACCCCTTGCATGGTACACTTGAAATAGATGGGCTGGATAGCATGTAAATTATATCTCAATAAAACTGTATAAAAATAAAGAGAAGCGCCCGGAAGTGCTGCCTTGGAGTCGGTGAGAAGGCGGCCACGGCCAGGCCTGGTGCCTGAAGAGGAGTCGGAGTCGGCGGCTGTAGAGGCTGTGCGCCACATACATCTGCAGAACTTCTCACGCTCTCTGCTTGAGACCCTCAATGGGCAGAAGCTGGGTGGGCACTTCTGCGACGTGACTGTGTGCATTCATGAAGCTTCGCTGCGTGCGCACCGCTGCGGGCTGGCAATCGGCTCGCCCTCCTTCCAAGACAAGCTGCTGCTCGGCCCCTCTGAGATCCGTGTGCCTTCGGTGGTGCCTGTGCAGACGGTGCGACAGCTAGTCGAGCTCCTGTACAGCGGTTCGCTCGTTGTGGCACAGAGTGAAGCCCCGCAGGTACTCATGGCTGCGTCGGTGCTTCGCATAGACAGTTATCGACGAATGCACGCAGATTATCGCACGCGCTCCTCTGCACCCGCGAGCACCTCTGCACCCGCGCCCCTGCCCACCCCTGTGCCCCCGCCACTCGCACCTGAGCAGCTGCGTCACCGCCTGCGCCACCTGCTGGCTGCGCACCCCCGGGGCACCCCGGTGCCGCGCACAGCGGTAAGCAGCGCCGGCCCGCGAGTTTGCAGCTGCCTGCGCCCCCGACACCTGCCAAAGCCGAGGGGCTTGGTGCCTACCCCTCACTGTCCGCGGCCCCTGACGACCGAGGTGACAACGATGACGAGGAAACTGACGATGAGACCGATGGCGAGGACGGCGAAGGTGGCGGCCCGGGAGAGAGCCAAGCACCTCCTTCCTTCCCAGACTGTGCTGCCGGCTTCCTCACTGCTGCTGCTGACAGCGCGTGCGAGGAGTTCCATGCACCCACTGGCCTCTCTGACTACAGTGGTGTGGGAGAGATTTTCTTCCGGGATCTGGGGCAGCTGAGGACGTATTTCCAGACAGCTATGTAACCGCTTGGCACGACAAGGATGGCGCTGTCCCCGAAGGCTGTCCCACCGAGACCCCTGTCCAGCCCGACTGCATACTGGCTGGACCCCGCCCGCCTGGCGTGAAGACCCCAGGGCCGCCTGTCGCACTCTTCCCCTTTCACTTGGGTGCTCCCGAACCACCCGCACCACCCCCTTCAGCACCATCCGTGCCAGCCCCTGCGCCCCCACCCGCCTTCTACCCCACACTCCAGCCCGAGGCAGCCCCCGGCACTCAGCTGCGGGAGGCCCCGGCTCCCTCTGCTGCTCCCACCACGGCCCCCTCAGGCACCACTGCTCGCACTCCTGGTGCCGAGCCACTTGCCTATGCGTGCGGCCACTGTTGCAAGACGTTCAGCTCAAGGAAAAACGACACCAAGCACATGTTCATCCACTCGGGGGAGAAGCCGCACCAGTGCGCCGTGTGATGGCGATCCTTCTCGCTGCGCTACTGCCGTTTCAAGCACATGGTCACGCACACCTGCGCGCACGCCTTCCAGTGCGCGGTCTACGCCAAGCCCTTCCCGCAGAAGAGTTCGCTCAATATGCACATGCGCACTCAGCGGCCAGAGCGCGCGCCCTTCCCCCGTCTACCGCAAGGTCTCCTCTCACTGGGCGCTGCTGGAGCACCACCTGGCTGCGCACCCCGCGCCCTGATGGGGCTGGGGCCTGGTCTCGCCCACTGTGGATCCGCAACCTCCCGCACAGGCGGCCACGCCTGCTTTCCCACCAGTAGGCCACGCTCCCTCCTGAGCGCAAGTCCTCTTTCTCCCTTCACCCCTTTCTCCATACGCCCAAGTCCGCCTTACTCCTCTCCTCCATGTACTTGAACCTTCCAGGTGGTGCTGGGCTGGGGCTGGGCCTGGGACTGGTTAGGGATCGGACCACCTCTGAGAACTAGACCATTTCCGGCCTAAACCAGGCGCTCAGGCCCTTGGACCCGGCCCAAGATTTGACTCCGGTTCTCGCCCCGCCCTCTTCTGGGGTTGGGGTGGGGACTGAGGCCGCTCTCCTGCTCCAGTGTCGGGCTGGGCAAGGTCCCTGGCTCCCTACCCAAGCCATCACTCCCTCATGGGGCTCCTAAGGAGGCTCAAGTGGACCCATCATATATGGGGGCTGGTCCTCGGGACCCTCACTCTAATAAAGGAGTGTAGGCCATGGTGCCTAAACAATAAATAAATAAATAGAAGCTCCAGTTCACAGCCCCCATGGGGCCTAAACAAACAAACAAACAAACAAATAAATAAAAGCTCTAGTTCATAGTCCCCTTATGTTAGGTGTAGTCCTATGACCAGCTTTTGCCAAAGGGAGGCAATGGACTAAGGTGAGCCACTTCCAGAGCTGGCCCACAAAAGCCTCCAATGCCTTTCTCACACTCTCCCCTTCTACCGATAGATGCAGGTGGGAGGAGGTCCCAGAGATGACGGAGGCACCTGATGGAAAGATTCTGGGTTCCTGCATGCCCACGCAGAGGAAAGCAGCCTCTACCCTGAACGCCCAGCCAGCAACTTCTGGTGGGCCCAAAATATAATGTGAAGTCAGTGAAATCTGGGGGAGTCATCTGATATTTCAGCACATGTAACTAATGTATCTGCTTAAAAACTTGGCCGGGGCCGGGCGCGGTGTCTCACGCCTGTAATCGCAGCAATTTGAGAGGCCAAAGCAGGCGGATCACTTGAGGTCAGGAGTTCAAGACAAGCTTGGCCAACATGGTGAAACCCCATCTCTACTAAAAATACAAAAAATTAGCCAGGTGGGGTGGTGGGTGCCCGTATTCCAAGCTACTCAGGAGGCTGAGGCAGGAGAATTGCTTAAGCCCAGGAGGCGGAGGTTGCAGTGACCCTCGATCGTGCCACTGCACTCCAGCCTGGGCAACAGAGTGAGACTCCATCTCAAAAGAAAAAAAGAAAAACACTTGACCGGGGGCAGTGGCCCACGCCTGTAATTCCAGCACTTCGGGAGGCTGAGAATGGTGGATCACCTGAGGTCAGGAGTTCGAGGCCAGCCTGGTCAACATGGCGAACCCCATCTCTACTGAAAATACAAAAATTAGCTGGGTGTGGTGGTGTACGCCTCTAATCCCAGCTACTCAGGAGGCTGAGACAGGAAAATCACTTGAACCTTGGAGGTGGAGGTTGCGGTGAGCTGAGATCGCACCACTGCACTCCAGCCTGGGCAACAAGAATGAAACTCCATCTCAAAAATAAATAAAATAAGTAAAAATTTAACCACACTGTTAGCTAAGTATTTTTTAGACATTTAAACCCATTTAAACCCAGCCATTTTGTCTCAGAAAATTTTGTTCCTATGCAATGTTTGATTTTGTGCTAAATAAAACATTTAAATCAGAATTATACCAATCTTTAAATCTTTTTGCTAACACAGTATTTTCCAGGGCATTTTTTTTTTCTATTTTTTTTTAAAGCAGCTGAAACAGGCACTTGTTTATTTCCCCAGAAGGAGGCAGAATGGGGTCCTTGGGGAGTCTCTGTCCCAGCCTGGTGCCCCGGACAGGCAGATCTCACTTCCAGAAGAGCACATTCCAGAAAAGTAGTCAGCAAGGGCAGAGGCCCAGGGACAGCAGTGGGAAGAGCAGGGCGCCTTAGGTGTGGTGCTCCAGCGCACCCTGGGCCAGTGCTGCCAGGAAGAGCTGCCAGCCCTTGGCCAGTGACAGTGGTGCCTCCTGCAGCTCCCGCCACAGGAATGGGCTGCCAAGGAGCGTGGCTGCTGGGCTTGTCAACACCAGCAGGGCAGCACAGAGGGTCCAGGGCCCAAAGGCTCGGCGAGCACAGCGGCAGCACCATAGTGGCGGCCAGCAGGAAGTCCAGTCAGAAGTTGGTGAGGGCGATGCAGCCCAGCTGCAGTATTAGGTAGATCAGGGCTACCAGCTTCAGAGCCATCCAGCCCCTGTCTGGGACCTGTGTGCTTACCATCCTGTGCTGGGGGAGCGGGGACACTAGGGTCAGGGACCCCCCTGAGCTCCTCAAGGCCCACTCCGGCCTCATGCAGCTGCATCCACAGTTGCAGAGCCTTGAAACCAAGGACCAGGAGCAAGAAGCTGGTGGCGGGCATGTAGAGGCCGATGGAGACGAAGCGGGACAGAGTGGGGAGCAGGTAGAGGAAGAACAGCTGGTGCGGGTGTTCCAGGAGGTGGTTGAGCTTGCAGAACATGCCCTCCAAAGCCTTGCCCGCTGCCACCAGGTCATACTTGTACTGGCGGAAGCTACTGATGCGACGCAGGGTTAGGGCCTCCACATGGTAGTGCAGGAAGAGGCCACGGGAAGCCTGCCACAAAATCATGAGCAGCAGTGTTTGCAGGCCCTGCAGCAGTTCGTCCAACAATGTCCAGTCCTGGGGCTGCAGCTTACCCTGAAGCGTGCACAGCAGGCCCACTTTCTGGCAGAAGGTCTGGAAGAGATTGAGCAGGTCAAGGTTGGGCAGCTGTCCATGGCAAATTTTATTCAGACATGTTAAAACCTTGATCCATTTTATAAAAATAAAGGATAGAAACCCAATTCTAACTCATCCACTTTATTTTTTATTTTTTTATACAGAGTCTTGCTCTGTCACCCAGGCTGGAGTGCAGTGGCATCATCTCGGCTCTCTGCAACCTCCACCTCCTGGGTTCAAGCCATTCTCCTGCCTCAGCCTCCTGAGTAGCTGGTATTACAGGCATGCCTCACCCATGCCTGGCTACTTTTTGTATGTTGGCCAGGTGGGTCTTGAACTCCTGGCCTCAAGTGATCCACCTGCCTCGGCCTGCCAAAGTGCTGGAATTACAGATGTGAGCCACCATGCCCAGCCTCTAGCTCATCGACTCTTATTTTTAATTCACCAAAACTATTTTATCAGGATTTTTTTTTATTTAAATGACTCTGTTTTGGGCCACATCAAAATTAACTGACTACAGATTCTGCTATCGTAAGTTTTCTTTAGGGATCAGTATTTCTTTAAGTCAACTTTTCAGGATCAAATTAAACACAACAAAATATTTTCCAAAATATTTTTCTTCCAACAATTTTTGGTCATCGTAAGTTGTATCACATATAGTTTTAACCGTTATCCATTTTGCGTGGATTATTTGTATTATTAATCTTCACTATGAGAATTGAAATATCTCTAGTCAAAATGGTGGGGTCAAACCATTCTACTTTTTTAGTTTAGAGATTTAAATTAGTCTTAGCTTTTAGGAACATGCTGCTTGCCTAGAAGTCTCCATAAACCCCTGTGCTGGCCTTGCCCCATTGATGAAACAGAAGAGGATTTTCTCAGAGCTCCTTACAAATTACAGTCAGGTGGAAGCCAACACATCACTTCCTATCATCCTGCTTAGGCACTGAAAGCAGCCTTCCTACTCACATATCCTGGCTGAGAGCCATGACTTTTTCTCTCTCTTCAATGAATACATACCAAGAAAAGAGAGTCTGTTTTAGACAAATAAATTCCCAATTTATCTAAGGGTAACTCAGTTCCTCCCCTTCATCTTGCAGTTCAGTGCAGGGAGACAACGCTGGTCTTCACCCGGGATTTTCATACTTCCCTGTTTCTTAAGAACAGAGGGCTCGGTTTTATCCTCGGCAACAACTTGCCAAGCGAAAAGGCTACCGCTCCTGACTAACCTACCTTGTAGCTAAGGTGACCAGAACAAGTCCAAGCTAACTGGGCATGAGCAGAGGCACTGTGAGGGGCTCGCAGAGGCTGTCTGCCTGGAACTCACACAGCTGAGCAGGTCTTGGTCCTTCCTTCTCTCCTCTTCCTATCTCTGAAGCACAGCCCTCTGGGGTCCAGAGACAGCATTGAGGACAGAAGTCAGCTACTGAGACTCTGGGACAGCAGGACAGGTGCTGGCTGATGGCTATGGGGACAGCCCGGGTCAGCATGGACAGCCACCTCCAGAGTTCTTTAACAGGAGAAAGAAAGCGCTCTCTCTTGTCTGTGCCACAACTGTTCTGAACTTTCTGCTGTGTGTAGACAAATCTAACCCCAGCTGAGGCACTCACTTTTCCCTGAATCTCTGTGAGCTGGGACCAGTCCTGCCCTTCCCTGGGACACACGCTCCTGCAAGAGGCAGGGGTGTAGGTGACCGGCATGACTGTAAAGATCTGGGGCTCTCGCCGGTCCCACATCCATGGCCACTTCTAATAGTCACAGAGGCTCAGTTTCCCCCTGGGGAACTACTCCCTTCCTCCAAGTCCATGTGGTTAAGTAAGGTTGGCTTACTTCCTGGTTGCAGGAGACAGGAACCGTGGGACACGCGCTGGAGGAACCACTGGTGCCATGCAATGTGCTGTGCAGTGTGGCTCTGGTGCACCTGCCGCCTGGGGCCCATGCAGACCGTGTGTGCATGTGTGGCCATGGGCATGAGGCCCAGGCATCTCCTTCAAGGTTCACGCATGCCCACTCATGTGGAGGCCCAAGGTTACCCCAGAGCACATCCCACTCACCCACCAGGTATGGAGGGAGCCAGACAGGTCCACACTGAGACTTCCATATGCAGTTCCAGTCCAACCCCTCATTAGACACTTGGGAAACCCAGGCCCAGAGAGAGGAGGGGCTGGCCCAGGACACAGGACATGGGCAGAGTCCAGTTACCATCTCCTAGGCCAGGGCTGAACCATATCCCATGGGGTTGCTTTGGGAATCGGAGCCCCTAAAATCCTGCAGACCCTGACTCACTTTTCCCAGGAGAGGCTGTTTCCTCTCAGCATCCCCAAAGGTGCATACCCACAGACACGCACAAGCTGACATCACAGGGGGTGACTAAGGGTAGGATGGGAGGAGAAGCAGATCCTGGGTAGGTAACAAAGGGAAAGAAGAAAGAGGCTGAGGCAGCTCTGCTACAGACAGCAGCATCCAGTCACCAGAACCATGACCAGGGCCCATAGCATGGGAAGGGGAGAGATGCAAAGAGGCCAGGCTGGGGGATCCCTAAGGTCCCCTGGGTCAGCCTGGTCTGGTACCACCTCCACGGCAGTCAGGGGAAAGCAGGGCCTGGGGTCCTGTGTCCACTGCTGTGGGCACCTTCAACCAGGATGAGCCCCCTAGACTGAAGGGGCTACAGGAAAGAAGACCTCAGTTTCCTTCCCTACATACTGAGGTGCTTGGCGTGGGTCACCCCAAGAGTCCCACAGGCTCAGAAAGCCTCCGTTGCCCCAGCTCTCCATAGGTGACCCACTGTGCTCCAAGGTTCTTAGAAAATGCTTTCTACCCCTGGAGTTCCTTCTGAGCAGAGAGAGGCAGGGTGGTTGATGCACTGAGACTTGGAGCAGCAGAGCATGGACCACGCATCCTGGACAAGGGCAAAGACCCCAGTGTGGGAGCCTCAGGTCCTCCTACTGTGGAAGTGGAGCCGGGGCCACCTCCCTGGATGTGGTGAGGAGGCCTTGGAAGTGTCTGGACCCCAGGCCAGTGCTGGCAGTAGGAATAAGAGGGTTTTCTGATATTTCTCTCAATCCTCTTGGATTTTTGCCCCCTGGGATGTGGGAGCGTGGATTTGCCTTGCAAGTTCTGTGTTGTGGTTTTCCTTCTTTGGATGCAGTGCAAGCTCTGGCCACCAGGGGGAGACATGTGCCCACTGTGTTCTGCGGGAGCACCTGAGCCAGGGAAGAGCCAGGGGTCATTCAGGCCATTCCCCTGCCTCCAACCTGACCTGCATTTCCTATTGTCAGCATCCATCTCCACAGTCCGAGCTGGTCCGTGGTAGGATGTGGGAGTGAGGGGCTCCAGATCCTCTCATTTACTCATTCAGTCTTGATACCCAAAGCACTTACCTTGTTCCAGGGCCTGAGTTCAGCTTGGGTGCTGCAGTGAAAAAGACAGATATGGTATGGTCCCTGCCCTCCAGGAGCGCACCATCTGGAGGGGGAGCGGGACCAAGCCACAAAACATATAAGTGGGGAAAGGAGCAAGTGCTGTGTCGAAGTAAAGCAACTGCTGCAGGGGAGGCTGGGGGCCACTTCATGGTGGGGGGATCTGAAAAGGCCTCCCTGAGGTGACAGTCATGCCATGAGCAGAATGACAAGGGGGAGCCAGCCCTGCAGGCATTTCCAGCACAGTGTGGGGAGGTGGAACTGTGCAGGGGCTCTAGGACAGACATTAGTTTGTCCAGAGAGGAGCTTAGAAAGGGGGACAGCGTGGCTGGAGGGAGCTGGGGGGAGAGCAGGGGAGGGAGGGAAGGGTGGAGCAGATCCTGGGCCAGGTCCACTGTATGATGGCCCCACTGCTGTGTGGAAACACTGCCCCACCCGTAACCGCCCGTAACAATGGGCGCTCACCCAGGCCCAGCCCAGCTCAACAGGGTGCTTCTACCACATGGTCTCTCAGGGGGCTGGACTGAGGTCTCCTCTGAGACTCAACTGGGGCAGGATCTACTTTCAAGTTCATTCATGGGGCTATTGGAAGGATTCCATGTGGACTGAAGGGCCAAGTTCCCCTCTGTTGTCCTCTCTGGGTCCTAAGCCACAGGAGCCTCCCCTTAGGGCAGCTCCTAACAGAGCAGCTGCTCCCCAGAGCCAGGGTTCAGAGAGAGGAAAGGAGAAAGAGAGGAGGGAGAGAGGGGAGAAGAGAGAGCTGAGAAGATCTGAGAAAATGTCAGCCATGGTTACTAACAACTAAAGCTTGGAGGAGATATCCCATCACTTTTGCCATATTCTGTGATTAGAACAGGGTCTAGTCCACACTCAAAGGGAGGGCGTTGCACAAGGATGTGTATCCCAGGGGTGTGGATCACGGGGAGCCATTAGTGAGGCTGCCTACTACATAGGCAAGAAAGGTACTTGGGTTTTAATGTGGATATAAAGAGAAGCCACTGGAAGGATTAACGGAGGAAGACAATATATGAAATCATTTAACTTCAACCCAGCATGGCCAGAAGGAGAATTGACATTTCCAAGTTCACATGGCAGCAATCCAGGCCTTCCACAGGAGCTGTGGGGAGGTGTTGTTGCACGGATGGAGATGTCATGGAGTAGGAGGCTGAGCAGTCAGCACGCCTGAGAAGCATTTGGGGTCCTCTTATCAGATAAATTTGGGATAAATCTGTTTTCTGACCTGAGTCTTACTTGCACAGCACATTGACTTTGCGAAAATTCATCACCTTGCATGTTTCATCTGTGCATTCTATTTTCTTTTCAATTTAATACCAGAAAATTAGAAAAAGACTTCTGGGAAATCTTTAAACCTCCAAACATGTGGTTTTACCCTCTATCTCTAAGGATGGGAGGGAAACTGTGCCAGTGTCTGGGTTGTAGGTGGAGTAAAGAAACTTGCAGTACCCCGTCTCTACTAAAAATACAAAAAAATTAGCCAGGCGCGGTGGCAGGCGCCTGTGGTCCCAGCTACTCGGGAGGCTGAGGCAGGAGAATGGCGTGAACCTGGGAGGCAGAGCTTGCAGTGAGCCAAGATCACGCCATTGCACTCCAGCCTGGGCGACAGAGTGAGTCCGTCTCAAAAAAAAAAAAAGAAAGAAAGAAAGAAACTTGCAGTAAAGTAAGTTTGATGAAAAACAGGTAGTCCCAGACCAGGATGGAAGGATCTAGGTGCTAGGAGGAGTAGGTCTGCCCCGATGGACCCAGAGCAGTTTCCTCCCCCAGCGCTGTGATGCGGGCCTGGAATTTAACACTCGTTTTGAGTGTTCTCTGGGCCCGTTGCTGAGGCAGCAGCACACTTTAGATGATGAGAAGGTGGCTTCTCCTGCATTTGGTGAGCCTGGGGCTTTGGAACCCTCTTCCATTATTTGTGTGAGGTGGACATCTTTTTCCTGTAATGCAACTGCATTCAGTGCATCCAGTCATCAATATGCAAGAAAGACAGAGACATCCATCTGATGAAGGAACCCTAAGCCCAGCCCACTAAAAGACTCTGACTCTTGGTTTCATTTGCTTTCTTTTCACTTTTCTAATCAATTATTGGCTTACAGAGACCCCCCCTAGGGTAGAAAGTCATAGGAGAGAGGAGAACATCAGTCTAGAGGAACTGGTTGGGCGGGGCAGGAGGTGGAGGGCAGACTGGGGCTTCTCCCCAGTCTCTCCTGGATTCCAGGCTAAAACCCTACACACTATGCTTTTGGGGCCATAGACTGGCTCCTGGCAGCCCAGGAGAGTATCCCGCAGCCCCTGTTCATCAGCTGCCTTCCCTTCCCAGGTGAATCTGCACCAGGCCTGTCATCTCCTCTATGGCCAGCCTAGTCCGAACTGCTTTTATGCACAACTCAATTCTAACACTTACTAAACAGAGTTAGTGCAGACCCCACAGGTTAAGGGCTCAGCTCCATAAGGCTGCCCTCACTTCAGACACCAATCACAAGCCCCAGGCCTCTCGTACTTCTGACTGGCCAGCTTTCAATGGAGGGTTTGCATAACCCCATCCCCAGGCTCCATGATTAGCTGGAATGATGCACAGAACTCAGGAAAGCACTCAGCTTCCTATCACTGGTTATTATAAGGGACACTACTCCAGAACAGCCAAGAGGAAGAGATGCACAGGGCACCGTGGCAGGGGGTGCACAGAGCTCCTATACCCTCTGGGCACAACACCCTCCCAGCACCTCCCTGTGGTCACCAACGTGGGAGCTCTCAGAACCCAGTTGCCTGGGGGCTTTATGGGGGTTCCATCATGTGGCATGATTTATTAAATCACTGGCCACTGGTGACTCACTCTATCTCCAGCCCTCTTCTCTCCCTGGGGGTGCAGAGGTCACACAGACTGTTTCAACCCTCTCATCATGTGTGTGGTCTTTCTGACCAGGGCCACCCTGAAGCTTCCTAGGAGCCTACCAAGAGTCACCTCAGAAAAAAAGAAGCTCCTGTCACCCCTACAGGTCTCAGAAAACTGCAAGGGCTTAAGAACTCTACTGCCAGGGACTGGGGACACAGACCAGTCACATGCTTATAATATCACAAAATCACACTGAGAGAGCAAGACTGAGCCTCTCGGAGACTCTGGGGAGACACTGATCAATCCCAGGATGGACGCACACTCAGCCCTCAGGGTCCGTGGGGGACTGATTCCAGATCCCCAAGGATACCAAAATCCACAGAGACTCAATCAAGTCTCTGATAGAAAATGGTGTAGTATTTGCATATGACCTGAACATATCCTCCTGTGTACTCTCAATCATCTCTAGATTCCTTATAACACCTAATATAGTGTCAATGCTATGTAAATAGTTGTTACGCTGTATTGCTTTTTTATTTTTATTTTTTTATATTTTTCACCTGTGATTGGTTGAACCCATGGACTGAATATATTGAGGACCACATGCAGAAAACTATTTTTACTTGAGTTTTGTAGAGGATGGAATAAATATTTCAATCACTTTACTATCACTATCAAAGACCACCAATCTTAAATCACCCTAGAAGGTCAGCATATTTGTTGATAATGGATGTTTGCTGCTTCCTTAGGAGGCAGCACCAATGTGCTGGCAGGAGGACAAACAAGGCATGAGTTTCAAAAGGTGAGGTTTCTCCAGGCGCAGTGGCTCAAATCTATAATCCCAGCACTTTGGGAGGCCGAGGCAGGAGGATCTTTTGAGCCCAAGAGTTTGAGACCAGCTTGGGCAACATAGCCAAACCCTGTCTCTACAAAAAATACAAAAATTAGCTGGGCATGGCAGTACAAGCCTATAGTCCCAGCTACTAGGGAGGCTGAGATGGGAGGATCACCTGAGCTGGGGAGGCGGAAGTTGAAGCAAGCCATGATCACACTACTGTACTCCAGCCTGGGTAAGAATGAGACTGTGTCTCAAATAAGTACATAAATAAAATTTAAAAATAAAAGGTGAGGTTTGCTGTCCAATGCTGGTCCCAGCCAAGTATGACCTTAGCATCTGCTTTCTGCAAAGTCCCAGGTCCCCACTTGCCAAGGACAACAGTTCCCAGAGTGACTGGCCTCAGAAAACAAGGTGTCTGAGGGGATGATCAGAGGAAGGAGCCTGGTGGAAATTGGACAGGGAAGGGCTCTGTCCATGAGGTGGCAGTCGCCCATAAGCTGTGGTGTGGGAGGAAGCATAGGGAACCTAGGTTGGTGCTGGAGATAGCATTTCCTGGTCCTGACTTGGAGGAGTTGTTAACCCCAACATTCCTGACTCCTCCTTTGAGGAGGCTCCTGGCCTGCAAATCTCACGGGGTTATTGTGAGGGTCACCTGGGATGATGGGTTTGGATGCACTTTGTGAATGACACAGTGGGCCTTCCTCTTTCTGTCACTGGCCCTTTGACCTTGAATATGAATTGCCGGGGATCTCCAAGTCTCAATGTCTAAATGTCTAAGCCTGACAGGGTATGAGCTGCTGCAATGGAACATTCTACAGTGCCTCCTGGAAGATTCCCTGCTTCTGTCTGCACCTGACATAGCCCCTACTCCTGTTCCCCAGCCCGGAGAGCTTGCCCAAGGGGCACCCGGGTGGTACTGGGCCTACCTTCTCTTTGGAAAAGGTGATGACTTCCTCATTTCAGCTCTCCATCTTCCTAGCTTGCCCCATGGAATTCCAGGGCTCTGGCACAGCATTTGCTGGACATGAGAGGGAGAAAATCTAGGGCAGGGATCTGCCCTGGGGTGGGGGTGAAGGAGTATCCTGGAAACTGGGTGTCAGGAGGGTGAGTCCCACCCAGCTGGCCAGCGCCCTGTCCCCATGACACTGCTGGGTGCACATCAGTCCTCCTATCTCCCGCACAAGCTCCCTTCCAAGGGTCGCTTTCCAGAGTGGCTACAGCGCGGTCCATGCTGTCATGGGTGATGGAACAGCCCTGGAGGCCAACATACTGCTGTGTGGGGAGCCAGGGAAGACACTTCTCTTTCCCATCACCTTTGAGGTCCAATGAGCCATCATGTCCCTGATCTCCTCACCCAGGGCCTGCACCCTCCCACCGACCTGTGCAGGGCCCAGGCCACCTGACATCGGAGCTGCCATGGGCAAAGAGCTATAAAACCAGAGGCACATACCAGCGTCCTAAAGAGACATGCACTACTGACAGACCACAGGGTGGGGCAGCCTTGTGCATGGATAGCCTTACTTGCCTCCCCCTTCAACCCACATGCTTCAGATGGATGAGGGCGTAGCTAGAGAGCACAGGTAAGGCAGGGCTGATGGGTTGGGACCCATCCATCTCAGCCTCTGCCACCAGGCACCCCTGGCACAGAGAACCTTTTAACACTGCGTCCGTTTACTGTCACTTTGAATTGTCACAGCCCCACAGAGACCAGCCCATAGCTGGACACACCCTATCTCCCTAAAATAACCAGTTCAAGAGCACCAGACAGTGGAAGTGCTCGTGTCCCAAGGGCTTCCTGCGGGCCTTCAGCAGGACAAGGTTGTGGCCACTAGTCCTAGGAGCACAGTGCCCTGAGCCTAGGCAAAGCAAGCAGGCATTACTCATCTAAAACAGCATCAGGAAAGACACCGAGAAACCAGGACGACTTGATTTTGTATTTGTGCAGCAGCAAACTCTTGAGGGACGCTAGAGGTAGTAGATGTGTCTGTGTGACTCCCAAATATACAGCAGGAGCCGATTTGGCAGAGAGACCCCTTGCCAATGCCATGTTCAGAGTGGAGGTCGACTTGAGAGCCACTGATCTGAGCAGCATGAAGTCCCCTGACATTAGCAGCATGAAGTCCCCTGACTTCAGCCACTTAGGTGTGGATTGCTGAGGGTTCAGGGCAGACAGTGTTTGAGTTCGGGCTGGGCCCACCTGTTTTCCCTCCAAGTGGCATCACCAGGTCCAGTGGGGAAAACACTGTTGTGGGTCTACATTGATTTACCTATACTGCTCAGAGAAGCTTCCTGTGGGCTTCCATAAACTGGCTTGGGTTGGTTATTACTGGCTGCAGCAGCAATTGATTGCTCTTCCTGTACCTTGTTACCCTGGAGATGAAAATCCAGACTTGATGGGGAGAAAAGAGAAAATCTCCATCAGGAGAATCAAGTGGTCTGTTCTCCTCCTCCACTGCCATTGTCATAAAGCATGGGGTTGGCTGTGGGGTCATTTGGAGTGCAGCGGTCCAAGTATCAGGAGCAGCGTACTCTCAAAAAGACTCACGGATGTGACCAAAACTGCAGCCTCCAAGGGTTTTGAGGCCTGCAGGCTGGGAGTTCTTGGCCTAGAGCATTTCACCCCTCTCTTCATTGCTTTCCTGGATGTTCCCAGGGGTCAATCTGGGCTGTTTTTGAGGTGGGATAAAGATTTAAATTGACTCGGGGAGGAGGGAAGTTATCTAAGGGTATAAACACAATATGGTTTTTTTTTATTTTTTTCTTTTGTAACAAGATTTTTAAAAAATCTCTTATTTAACTGAGAGTCATACTTTTGTCTATTATAGTAGCTAATTTACTATTATGATAGATAATAGAATTGGGTAAATAACAAGTTCTGTTCATCACTACAAAACACACACACACACACACACAGTATGTGAAAATGCTTCCTATAATTGCTGTACACCATGGCCAGAAAGACAGACTTGAAGATGTAGGTATTAATGATAATGTAGATTATAAAGTACAAAGAATACCACCAGTTGAAGTCATAGACAGGCATGCTAGAAGAAAATAATCATGTTTCATGGTTTTCCATACCCTAGTTCCACAATGCATATAAGGCTGACCTTAGGCAAAATCCCACATGCACAGTCCATGTGCACGAGGCACCAGAAAGCCTCCTGTAACATTCGCTCTCCCCCATAGGGTGTGATGGGGCCTCAGAGCCATCACCATCCCTAATGCTGAACAGCTTGCTTCACACCTGCCCTTCTGAAATTCTTAGTACCTTACAGAGGCACCAATTTTCACAGTGGCAGGACCTTAGTGATCTCCCAATTCAGTTTTCTCCCTCCACAATGAGAAAATTGAGGCCTAGAAAGGACAGTGACTTGCTAGGAATTACAAAGAGAATAAGAAGCATGGCTGGGAAGAGGGCTGTGCACTGCAAAGTCAGGTAATCCTTGCTGTGTGGAACACCCAACTGCCTTGGCTGGGGCCAGATCATATTCTAACCACCCAGGGGACGATGCATGAAAGGTACCCGGTGATAACTGTGGAAGGGCAAGTTGTGACAGGTGCTCACTCTACCTTTAATGGAAACTTAATTTCCTACAGGAGGGGACGTCAAGGGGTGCTGGCTAGGCTGTCAGCCAGGGGTCTGAGGAAAGACCCAAGAGAACATAAGCAGGGCCAGGGCCAAGGCCAGGCCCAAGAGTGAGCAACAACCAAGAACAAGTTGATCTGATGAACCTACACATCACAAGATGACAGAAAACCTGCCTCTCTGAGGTCACTATTGGAGCAGATGTGGACTGACGTTTGCAGTGAGGCTCTGCCCACTCTCTAGAGCTGGAGAGCTAGCTACTCTGTGCAGTACCACTTAATAACTTTACCCTTATGCATGAGGTAAATCCATAACAAGAAGTCATTCCATGAGGTTTTTCTCCTAAGTAATTTCCACACGTGTGGAGAATTGGCATTTTGCAAGCAAGGTGGCAATTACTGTTGGGAAAAAGCTGAGTGTTGGGAGAAGCTGAGGCAGGGCTTGCAAGTCTGACATAAGGTAAAAGAGTCTTGGAACATGTCTGGGGTCCAGGGTCTAAAACCCCTTGTGGCCTTTGGAACACCAAGCTCTGTGCTAAAGGGTGGAAGGCTACCCTGATGCACCATAATCTAAGCCCAGGGCATAAAACCCCTCGTGACTTGGATAGAATCCAGGGCTCGTGGCTCTGGAACGTGTCTACACTTGCTGGCTCCATGCTCCTTGCTCTCCCAGGATCGACTGTATCTTGAGTTAAAAGAACATGCTCTCCATTATCTCAAGTAGCAGAGCAAATGCTAAACCATCACAGGTGTAAATCATGTGCTTAATGCAATGCGCCCTTTCAACCTCCACATTCTCACCACCTGTTTCTTTGCTGGATTACCAATAAATAGCACTGGGCTCCCAGAGC
Organism: Homo sapiens; assembly: GCF_000001405.40. Classification (NCBI taxonomy): domain Eukaryota; kingdom Metazoa; phylum Chordata; class Mammalia; order Primates; family Hominidae; genus Homo; species Homo sapiens. Next base: position 110,398,921 of record NC_000002.12, read on the forward strand.
TTGGGGCCTTTGCAGCCTCCATGATTGCGATGGCCCCTTGGTCCCACTTCTGTCTCTCAAACTGTCTTTTCTCAATCCTTTGACTCCGCCGGACTTTGTCACCCCCACAACCTGGTGTTGGGTCTGATCACCCCAACAATTAGTGATGTTTACATTTATTTCCTGTTTGATGTAGCCAAAAAACTGCATCAATGCTTAGGAGAACCAGACATGATTCCTTTACAAAGATGGCTTATGTCTTTAAATTCAAGACTCAAAGAAGATTCCAGAATAGAAAGTGGGCTCAAATATTAAGAATTGTATCTCAAGAGATGTCTCCTGTTCCTTTCCATTTTGAAAGAATTCATTTAAATTTAGTGTTAAGTAGAGAGGATAGGCTACTAGTGCTGTAAAATTTTATATTCTTCAAAACTTTTACAGTGAATAGGACTAAACAGAAAATCACTCTTTGTCCTCTCACAGCCCTACTAGAGTCAGGAGACAGCCGCTTTGAATAGTGTGAATTCTGTTATGGTAAAAGATGTTCATGAACACGGATCAAGGATGCGCGGACATGATGTCAGGGCTGTTCGCTGTAGTGACCAGCACGTAGAGCTCAAATGCTATCTCCAGAATGTTTTCAAACTAAGGCGATCCCTCTGCTGTTTTCAGACCACTAAAGAGGAACCAAAAACATAAAGTGAAAACCACACACGTAAATTAATACACTGATACACTTTTTCCCTTTCAAGAGCACTCCTGCAGTGTTTGAACATGGAAGATTGTGTTTGGTGACAGATTGTGCCGCCAACAGGCTCAACCTAAATATGGGAGAATTCCCAGGCAGAAACTTCCAGAGAAGTGTGCTCATCGATTCCCAAAAAGCTTCAAGGCCATCAGGCAGAACATCAGCACACTGAACATGAACAATAGAAGACATAGAGGATATTGGGCAGGGTGTTCTGGAGGCTTTGGAAAGCCCTGCAGATCTATGGAGACAAAATGTTACTTTACTTACAAGAAACCAGCTAACTTTCGGCAAAAACAAACCATCACGTATCCTAAATCATATGCTTACCTGACGACTTTCAGGGAAGTTAATTAGGAAGACCGGCCTTAAGGCCCTTGACCATCTGATGCTGTGGATGTTAATAGCTTCCAGGGACCCACAGATAATCAGATCGATCAAGGTCAGCTGTGAGAGACACAGGCCAGAGATGTCAGTATTACACTGTCCAAGGACAGTGGATGGGTGTTCACCAACCCAGGAGAGGTACAATGTTATGTGAAAAAGCACGTTTCATAGACAGCATAGTACCACTTTTGTAATACGACATTAATAATAACTAATGTTTGACGTTTTACTGTGTTCCATGTACTATAACAAGCACCTCTTGTAGATGATTTTAGACTCACCACACCAATTAGGTGGGCACTATTCCTGGAGGAGGAGCTTGAGGCACAGAGAGGGTAAGCATGTAGCCCCTGATCACACAGCTATCCAGGGCAGAGCTGGGACTGGAACCCAGACAGTCTGAGGGCTCAGCCCTTGCTATTAATCACACTGGGACATCCTTCCACACTACACCCTATTGACCTCTTCAATTTGACATGTAAAAGAAAGGAGGTGTAGCCTAGTAACAGAGATGAGAATATCTAGAATACAGACAACCCCTATTAATCTTTATTAATGTCAGGTTTATGGGCAAGAGATTAAGGTGAAGATGGCCAAAAGAAGAACCTAGTGTATTTTAGAAAAATATAAGTAGAAAAGAACAATGTACCATCATCAAAAAAACTTGAATTTAGCCCCTTTGGTGGTAAGGCACAGAGGATCTAGTGAGCTCCTTCCCCTCAAAGGGCACGCCGCACGGGACGGGTGTAGGGTCCAGCCCTACACGGTCTGTGGATTTTTCTCCTCGTGTGCAGAGATGAGAGATCGTAGAAATAAAGACACAAGACAAAGAGAAGAAAAGACAGCTGGGCCCGGGAGACCACTACCACCTAGACGCGGAGACCTATAGTGGCCCCAAATACCTGGCTGTGTTGGTATTTACTGGACACAAGGCAAAAGGGGCAGGGTAAGGAGTGTGAGTGATCTCCAATGATTGATAAGGTCACATGAGTCACGTGTCCACCGGACAGGGGGCCCTCCCTGTTTGGCAGTAAGGCAGAGAGAGAGGACAGCTTATGCCATTATTTCTTCTATGCATTTCAAAGACTTTTAGTACTTTCACTAATTCTGCTACTGCTATCTAGAAGGCAGAGCCAGGTGTACAGGGTGGAACATGAAAGTGGACCAGGAGCGTGACCGCTGAAGCACAGCATCACAGGGAGACGTTCCGGGCTCCAGATGGCTGTGGGCGGGGCTGACTGGTGTCAGGCCTTCCACAAGAGGTGGTACAGCAGTCTTCTCTAACTCCCCCAAGGAAAGGGAGACTCCATAGTGCCTTCCATTGGCACTGACGCTACCGCTAGACCGAGGTCCGCTACGTAAGGGGCGTCTTCCCAGGTGCTGGCGTTACCGCTAGACTAGGGAGCCCTCTAGTGGCCTTTTCCAGGCGTAACAGAGGGCTCACGCTCTTGTCTTCCAGTCACTTCTCACCGTGTCCCTTCAGCTCCTATCTCTGTATGGCCTGGTTTTTCCTAAGTTATAATTGTAGAACAAAGATTATTATAATATTGGAATAAAGAGTAATGTTAACAAACTAATGATTAATGATATTCATATATAATCATATCTATAATCTATTTCTAGTATAACTATTCTTATTCTGTATATTTTCTTTATTATACTGGAACAGTTTTTGCCTTCAGTCTCTTGCCTTGGCACCTGAGTGGCTTGCCGCCCACAGGCGGGGGAAACAGCTAAGAAATGAGGCTGGTTCACAACTGCCGCACTGGAGGAAACCAGTGTGGCTGTCCCAGGGGAGCGAGGACAGGTGGATCACCAAGGGTTAAGATATTTGAGGGGCTTCATGGAGGAGGCACTCTTTGATGTAACCTACAGCACAGCAGAGCTTTAATAAAAACTCAGGAAGGTCAAGAGCTAGACAAGAAGATAGAATAAAAGGACTCTTGAGGAAGTACTGGGCTGGCATGTTGGGAAGCAGAGGGTCCTGGGAGTGGCGGCAAAGGGAAGCAGCAGAAAGTGATAAGGACCTATGGAAGGTGGCTTTGCAGGCCAGGCTAAAAAGGCAGGTCTCATTCCCAGGGCCTTTCAAATAACAGATGGAGCAAAGGAGTGAGAGGACAGCACAGGAGGCTGCATGAATATATCACATTCTACTTAAGACATATGTCTTATAATTTTTGTCTGGAAATCAGGTTGTTTCCAATTTTTCAATATTATAAACCGTCAGCCACCACCAATTTTGTGGCTAAATCTCTGAATGCATCCTTCTTTCCTACAGATAAATTCCCAGGAATGGAAGTCCAGGGTTAAAATATATTCACCTTCAAGGCTTTTGAAAGGAGCTGCCAAAGAGCCTTCCAGAAAGACAGTTTTATTCCTCTCTCCTGTAGGGTGTAAGAACATTTGTTTTATGGCAAAGACATGGAAGCAACTTAGGTGCTCATCAATGGTGGGTTAGGCAAAGAAAATGTGGTACATATACACCATGGAATACTATGCAGTCATTTAAAAAGAATGAAATTATGTCCTTTGCAGTAGTATGGATGCAGCCAGAGGCCATCATCCTAAGTGAATTAACAGAGAACAGAAAACCAAATACTGCATGTTGTCACTTATAAGTAGGAGCTAAACACTGGGTACTCATGGACACAAAGATGGCAACAGTAGACACTGGGGATTCCTGAGGGGAAGGGACAGAGGAGGGGAAGGGTTGAAAAACTACCTGCTGGATTCTAGGCTCACTACCTGAGTGATGGGATCAGTTGTACCCCAAACCTCACCATCACGAAATATACCCATGTAACAAACCTGCACATGTACCACCTGAATCTAAACTAAAAATTGAAATTACAAAAAGTTTGTTTTCAATCTTGCTAAGATTGTTTTATAGGCAAACACATGGTATTTTATTGTCGTTTTATTCTATAATTTTTAATTAGTGACGTTAAACATCTTTCCTATCGGCCATTTTACATATTTTTTCCTTATGAGTTGCCTTCACTTATCTTCAGCAAAATTATCTATTGAGATATCTTTTTTTTCCTGTAATTTGGAAGTGCTCTTGATATGCTGAAATGTCTGCACTGCCACATTTTGCCCTATTTGTTCTTCAGTTTGCGGTTTGCTTGCAGTTGTGCTTATGGCGTTCACTGTATGGAAGTGTTGTTGTTTCATCAAAAGCAAATCTATTGAGTCTTTTTTCTTCATGGCTCCTGCCTTTGGTCATAAACTCTTACAGGTACTACAATGAACACTCGCCACTGTGGTTACCATGGTGCAGATGTCTTTTGTATCCTTCCAGAAAACCATTTGAGGAGTGACTTTTGCAAAATGTACCAGTCTGCCAAAGTATGCAGTCAGGCAGAGTACTTCTGCTATTGAGGTGGCCTGCAAGGAGAAAACAGAGGCTGAGCACGAGGGCTTGCCATGGGGAGGCTCAGCTTTAGTTATCCAGTACCACCCCCTGTCCCCTGCCACTACCCTACCTTTCCTGCCTGGCACCCTCTGAGAATTTGTCATGTCCCTTAATTTTACTGAAAATTGCAGCAACATTTTCTGCCGGTTAGAATGGCTTCTTCCTCTGAAAGGGAAATCTGCCACTGAGTCACAATCTCCATGACCCACACTGGCAGGGATTCCTGGGAGGGGCTGCACCAGCAGGCTGAGGACCAAGAACACATTTCCCCAGAAAAGGGGGAGGTCAGAGGCAGAGATCGTCTATGCTCTCAAATTCCCCATGTTCAAATTCCAGACACCTAGAAGTCCCATTTCTCTAACGGTAAGGTAATTCCCCAAAGATGTGTTTGGGAATAATGGGTCCTTCCATAAACATCACTGCCACTGCAGCCCTGCTGCCTATATGAGGCTGGTTAGAGACGAGGATGGAGCCCACTGAGATCAAGACCGAAGTCCTGATGGGCCTCCCTCTGTAGATTACGGGTGCCAACTCCAGACTCCTGTACCTGCTAGACTTGAAGCCCATGACTGCAGCCCAAGGTTTGCCTGAGGCTGTTGGGATGCAGTAACAACTTCCTAACAAGGGCACGTTCCTCCATCAATAGGGAGAGACAGGTGGAAGATAGGAAGAGATGGAGAAAGGGACAACTTGACTTAGGCTAAAAAGAGGGAAAAGTCTTGAGTGAGAGCTAGAGACAGGAGGAAGGGGCTGGCTGTGGGCCTGAAAGCAGCAGGGGACACTATCATTGCCCCCTAGTTCCAGCCCTCATGGGTCTGTGCACAGACTGGGCTGCAGCCCCTTGCAAATGTTCTAGCTCTCAGTCTGTTGACTCTTGAAGAGCTATAGAGACCCAATGTCAAGTCCAGCTTTGCAAAAGGGCCTTAGGCAATTTCAGGACATCCTTGCTTAAAACAAGACTTGCGTGGTAATGCTGGATGGGGGCCAAAGCCCTCAGAACACACTGGACTTTGGAGATTTACAGTACAAGGGCTGGCTGAAGGAACACTCTGAAACTCAGGCAGCCAACCCAAAGTTATACATGACCAATAACAGACAGGGGATGAGGACTCAGGAAAAGAGGCAAATGGCTAAGAAGACCACTCTGTGGGATTCCTACCTTGGCCAGAGTGGACCAGTGCTAAGGAGGGATAGACAACACTCTGTCCAGGTTTGTGAATGCACAGCTCTGTTTCTTCAGATTTTGTGTTTGTGTTGACTGTTATTGGGATAAAAGTCTTCTATCCAGAGAATTCATTAATTGCCGGATCTTTATTGTAAGACAGTTGGTGGATGTCACTTGGGCAGCCCCAGTGAGCCATACTTACAGTTTTCACCCCCTTTGCAGTGGCCTCCCAAGTTGACTCAGGTTTTGGCATGTGATTGACAACAGGACATCAGCAAGTATGATGCAAGCAGAGGTTTGATGGTGCAGCACACTGGGATGCTCCTTCCTGGACCCAGCCACCCACTGGGAAAAGCCTAAGCCACGTGGAGCAGCTACATAGAAGAGGGCCGGGGCCACAGCTACAGCCAGCAGCTCCTGCCAGCCACGTGAGAGAGCTACCTTGATGTTCCAGCCTCCAGAGATCTAAGAGCTTCCAGACATCTACCACCCCAGCCACACCACCTGAGCCAATGTCCCACAGAGTCATGGGAGATAATAAAAGGCTGTTGTTCTCTAAAGCTAGGGGTTAGTGAACTCTTTCTGTTAAAGTAAACATGTGAAGCTTTGCAAGTCTTACAGTCTCTGTCACAACCACTAAACTGTTGATGTAGCTCCAAAGCAGCCAAAGACAACACATAAATTAATAAGTGTGGCTATGTTCCCATAAAACATTATTTGCAGACAGCAAAATTTGTATTTCATATCACTTCCATGTGTCACAAAATATTAATCTTCAGTGTCCTTTTTCCTAGTCATTTTAAAATGTAAAAACTATTTGTCTTAGTCTGATCAGGCTGCTATAAAAGAATACCATAGACTGGGTGGCTCATAAACAACAGAAATTTATTTCTCACAGCTCTGGAGGCTGGGAAGTCCAAGATCAAAGCACTGTCAAATTTGGTGTCTGATGAGGGCCCACTTTCTGGTTCACAGACAGCCATTTTTTTTGTGGCGTTCTCACTTGACAGAAGGGGCAAGGGAGCTCCTTGAAGCATCTTTTATGAGGGGACTAATCCCATTCATGAGATGGGCTCTGCCCTCATGATCTGATCACCTCCAAATACCTCCACACTGGGACTAGGTTTTGAAATACGAATTTTGGGAACACACAAACATTCCATTTGTAGCACCATTCTTAGCTCATAGGCTGTACAAAAATAAGCAGCAGCTGAATTTGTCCCACAGGCCATGGTTTCCCAACCCTTGTTTTAAGTGTTTGAGTTTTAGGATGGTTTGTAAATATGTTTGTGCAATTGATAACTGAAATAAGGAAGAATAAAAAAGGGTCTGTGTGGTTGTTAAAAAGCAAAAGCTTTGAAATCAGGCTTAGGCTTGAAGCCTAGTTCTGCCTTTGTTGCCTAGTAACCTTGGACAAGTTATACAATCTTTCTAGGCTCAGCTTCCTTATCTGTTAAAATGGGTATAATAACAGCAGGCACATCCCATTGAGTCCCTGTAAGGCTTAAGGAGAATACAGAGAAAGCATGAGATCACCCAGCAGATAGCAAGCAGGGAGCAAATGACAGCTATTAAGACAGAGGTAAGAGTAATGACGAATCAGAAATCAACATGGGCAGGGCACTGGTCTACTATTTAGACCTCTCTGGATTGGCTGGTGAATTTGATACATTACTCAAAATCAAATGTGATCAGCCCCTAAGCACCAATAAATACTCTAATAATTTATGACTATGAAAAAAAGCTGAAAATGTGGCATGTACAAGTTGCATATTACACTATATGAGAACATCATCTACTTGGCAGTAAGTAAATTGGCTTTGAAAACATCATTGAACCATCTCTGATTTTGTGTGTGTGTGCACAGAAGACCAAAATCTCCCACTGCACTTAAAATGCGTTATGAAGGAAGCATGTGTTTGGTGAGTAGACAGAACTTCTCTAATCCCCCAGCAAAAAAAATAAATAACATCTAATTCATATTTGTTGAAATTTGAGGGGAAAAAAAGAAGAGGCACAAGGCCCAATCATCTATGACCAAATCTGGCTAGCCATCTGCTATGGCTTGCTTACCAAGAAAGGCAGGGGAAGCAACTCAGGCTCTTCAAACAGGGCAAGAGCGAGGTCTACACAAATAAAGAAGTATGCGGCAACCTGCGTTGTCTAGTGGTTATAAAAATAGTAACGTCTGGAGGAGAAAAAGACAAAAGTGATTATAAACAACGAACAGGAGCTACACAGCACCCAAACATCTCTTTAAAGAACTAATGCTGGGTAAAATAAGAAAGTTAAGGCTTAGTCATGTTTCCTTTAAATTCTAGGGAGCAGGAGGCAGTATTTAATGATCATATACTATAAACACTAACACAAAAAAATCAAGCATATGATCATAACTCAAAGCACATTTTCTTAACAGTCTCAAGCTAAGATTATACCTTCCCATGGGGTTGTTGTGATAGTAATAAGAGAATACTTGCAGAGGACTTGAACAGTGACGGACACAGATTAAACCCTCAGTTAAAGTGGCCCATTATGATGTGGCATGGTGGCCTAACCCAATTTTAAAATGTACATCATCCCATCTTAACATGATAGACTCAGAAGAGATCTGGCAAAAGGTCATGCCAGTCTCTCCCCAGGTGGGGACAGTACCCCAAACATGCTCGGCAACATCCAGGGATGAGGTATTGGCTGCCTTGGGAGGCCCTGAGGCTGAGCCCTAGTGATAAACAGGCTGAGCACCTGTAGGGGGTGACAGAGAAAAAGCTGAATTCCCATGAGAAGAGCAAACATATGGATTGCATCACAAAACAATGGACAGGACAAAAAAGCCTTTTCACTTGAGGTAACTCTAAGAGGATGACATAAAAGGAAAAGACAATGGCAAGTTCTTCCCTTGAATGCCCTAGCTTCTATGCTGGGTATTGCTCATTTTACTCATTTGTCTGATCTTAATCTATTTATTGAATGCTTCCCTGCGTGTGAGGCCCATGCTCTTATAACTCAAAAAAAAAAAAAATTCAGCCAGGCATGGTGGCTCACATATCTAATCCCAGGCCTTGGTGGGAGGATCACTTGAGCCCAGGAGTTCAAGGCTGCAGTGAGCCATGATCACACCACTGAACTCCAGCCCAGGCAACAAAGCAAGACCCTGTCTCAAAAAAAAAAAAAAAAGTATTGGATTACGTCCAAATCTATGTGCTGTACCCTATATACTTCTCAAAATATCTGTGTAAACAATGCCTTCAGTTTGGGTTCAAGTTCAAGAGTATCAAGTGCTGAAGGACAGGTGGTTCCACATGATGGTTTAACATGTTAGTTACCTGATGGCCTGAGGTGAGTTTCAAATGGAACATTTCTGTTGTACTGGGCATCCAAAACATAGGCAGCTGCCAGGAGAAGGTCCTGTTCCCCATTGAGACAGAGTAAGGGAGACCAAGTCAGAGGAGGAGAGGATACTTTTCTTTTTCCTTTGTTAAGTATGCACTGAGTATAAAAGGAAGCTCCCCTTCGCCTCTCCACAGACCCACTCTCCCAGAGGTAGCCAACATCTAAACAGTGTTGTCTCCACACCTCCAATGTCTCTTTGAGCACCGAGAATCCTGCAGTGGGACCAGGTCCAGACACACTCCACTTTCTTGAATTCAAATATAGGCTCTCAGAGGAAATGTAAATAAGCATTGACTAGAGCATGTATTTGTACCTAAATGGTATATTCATACATACATATATTAATATATGGTTAGGTACACATGTATATACAAATATATATACGGTCATGTGCCCCATAACATTCTGGTCAACAATGAACCACATATATAACAGGGTTCCCATAAGATTATAATGAGCTGAAAAATTCCTACCACCTAGTGAGGTCATAGCACAACAAAATACAAAATTGTGGTGATGCTGGTGTCAACAAACCTCCACGGCCAGTCGTATAAAATTCTAGCACATACAATTATGTATGGTACATAATATTTGATAATGATAATAAATGATTATGTTACTGGTTTATGTATTTACTACACTATACTTTTTATGGTTATTTTAGATTGCACTCCTACTTATTAAAAAAAAAAGTTAACTGTAAAACAGCCTCAGGCAAGTCCTTCAGGAGGATTCCAGAAGAAGGCATTGTTATTCCAGGAGGTGACAGCTCCATAAGTGTTATGGCCCCTGAAGACCTTCCAGTGGGATGAGATGCAGAAGTGGAAGACAGTGATATTGAGGGTCCTGACCCTGTGTAGGCCTAGGCCAATGCATACGTTTGTGTCTTAGTTTTTAATAAAGAGTTTATGAAGTTAACATTTTTTAAGTTTAAAAATAGAAAAAAGCTTATAGGATAAGGATATAAAGAAAGAAAATATTTAGTATAGCTATGCAATGTGTTTTAAGCTGCTATTGCAAAAGAATCAAAACGTTTATAGAGTAGAAAATTTATAGTAAGCTAAGGTTAATTTGTTATTGAAGAAAGAAAAATATTTTTTATAAATGTAGTCAACTGTACAGTGTTTCTAAAGTCTACAGTAGTGTGCAGTGATTCCTAGACCTTCACATTTACTCACCACTCATTCACTGACTTACCCAGGACAACTGCCAGTCCCGCAAGCTCCATTCATGGGAAGTGCCCTATTCATCTTTTACCTTTTATACCATATTTTTACTGTACCTTTTCTATGTTGAGATACACGAATACACCATTGTGTTACAGTTACCTGCCATATTCAGTACAGTAATATGCTCTACAGGTTTGTAGCCTAGAAAAATAGTCTACAGCCTAGGTGTCTAGTAAGTTATGCCATTTAAGTTTGTGTAAGTACATTGTATGATATTTGCACAATGATGAAATCCCCTAGTGATCCATTTCTCAGAATATATCCCTGTTGTTAAGTGACGCATTACTGTATATATACATATACATACAAACAAATCTGTAACACAAAATTATATACTATGTGTATTTACACTACCTAATATATTTATATACATATAAACACAAAACACAAAATTCCTTTTATATTTGCAAGTTTTGCCAAAGATGTGGAGCAACTGGAACTCTCATACGTTGCTGGTTGGAATAGAAAATGGCACATTTACTTTGGAAGACAGTTTGGTAGTTTCTTAAAACGTTAAAAAGTATGACCCAGCCATGCTACTTTGAAGTGTTTTCCAAAAGGAAAGACAGCATATGTCCACACAAAGACTAGTACATCCACCCCAAGTATGTGGCTCATGTTAGACACCTCATCCCAAAGCTGCACACATACACATACGTTCATCCCAGCTTAACAGCCCAAAACTAGAAACCAAAATGTCCACAGACAGGTGAGTGGATAAACAAAGTGTACTGTATCTCTACAATGGAATACTACTCAGCAATAAAAAGGAATGAGTAACTAATAGATGTAACAAAATGGATGAATCTCAAAATAACTGTGCCGAGTGAAAGAAGCCAACCACCCCCCGAAAAGAGTACTCACTGTATGATTCCATCTGCATAAAATTCTGGAAAATGAAAACTAACCTACAGTGACAGAACCCGCATCAGTGGTCGTGTGTTGGCAGGGGGAGGAAGATGGGAACAGGCTGGGCATGGTGGCTCATGCCTATAATCCCAGCACTTTGGGAGGCTGAGGTGGGCAGATCACTTGAGGTCGGGAGTTTGAAACTAGCCTGGCCAACAAGACGAAACCCCGTCTCTATTAAAAATACAAAAACTAGCCGGGCATGGTGCCATGCACCTGTAATCCCAGCTACTTGAGAGGCTGAGGCAGGAGAATAGCTTGAACTCGGGAGGCGGAGGTTGCAGCGAGCCGAGATTGTGCCATTGCACTCTAGCCTGGGCGACAGAGAGAGATTCCGTCTCAAAAAAAAAAAAAAAAAAAAAAAAGAGTGGAACGAAGAGAACTGAGAGAGAGAGAGATTACAAATAGGCATAAGAAAACATATAGGGGTGACTGATATGTTCATTATTCTTATCATGGCATTACTATCCCAAGGGCATTCATACACCAAAACTCATCAAGCTGCATACTTCAAATAAATGTAGTTTAGTGTATGTCTATTATAATCTAAAAAAGCTGTTAAAATGCCCAAAATGAAAGACAAATACTTGGATTAAAAAAGTTGATGTAGAACAATAATCTCATAGATGAATTAACTGCCGTAAGAGCCGATCGCTTTTTGAGTAACAGGTATGCTCAGGGTTGGTATGGCAATTCTTACAGGCAGTTTATTAAAATCTAAGAAGCACCATGTAAATGTGTTTAACACTTATCACACATTTTTCTTTTTTTTTTCCTTTTCGAGATAGAGTTTCACTTTGTCACACAGGCTGGAGTGCAGTGGCACAATCTCGGCTCACTGCAAACTCTGCCTCCCGGTTTCAAGCGATTCTCCTGCCTCAGCCTCCTGAGTAGCTGGGATTACAGGCACGCACCACCATGCCAGTCTAGTTTCTCTAATTTTAGTAGAGACAGTGTTTCACCATGTTGGCCAGGCTGGTCTCAAACTCCTAACCTCAAGTGATCCGCCTACCTCGGCCTCCCAAAGTGCTGAGATTACAGGCGTGACCCACAATGCCCAGCCAAACATTTTTCTTTTACATATTTAAAAAACATTCTAGTAGGAAAACCATTAATATCAATTATTTTTTTCATTGAAAATCTTTAACACTGAGGAAGAATACAGTTCCCAGGACATGCTTAGAAATATATTTTAGGTAGAAAATGCCTCGCATCAGCAAGAGTTGATTTTTTTTTTTTTAATGAACACACACCAACTTTAAGAAAATTCCATTAAGCCTCAAAAAGATCATACTTGAAGAGTTCTGACATTGAGGCTTTTTAAAAAAATTGCTGGCAAAGATCTTTTAAGGCCACTGTTGTCCCCAGTGATGCTACAAACATCCTTACAGTCCCAGTGAGGCCACTTGTCCACAAACGTAAGCAGTTCAACACTCACGGATTTGAGATGCATCCTTCATATGCCCTCCAGGTAGAGAAAGGAAAAAAACACTCACCAGCAATGCCTCAGCCAGTCAGGCCCTCGGGGTCATCTCCATGAGACAGATCCCAGACCCCAGACATTGAATGACCAGCACCTCATCACCCCCACCAACTGCCATCTGAACTCATCCTTGCTGTTTTAAAATCTGCTGATTCTATCATAATAGCCATTTCACCCTTACACTAACGTTTCAAAGCTTTCCCATTCTTAACTGGTATTACATTTCTGACATCTATCTCCTTTTAAAATCGCATCTCCTTTATGCTTTGGTTCTAATTGCCTTCCTTCTCCTCCTCCCTCCCATTTGTGCGCAACTTCTAAGTGTCCTGCGTTCCGTGTGGGAAGCGGTACTCTTAGAAGACAGACTTTACTGTAATAAGCATGTTTATTTGAACTAAGGCCATTTGTATTTTCCCATAAAACAAACTGTTTTTACCCAACCCAAGAATGTGGATTATGTTAGACACCCCATTCCACAACTTCACATACTTTTCAAGTTTACATGCGAACCACTGTCCATATCTACCATGAAAATAGCAAAGACCAAATAGCAGATGTTTCCCCAGATGCAGCTTAAATGTGGCTGCAAACCTCAAAACAGCATCCCAACTATGGGAGGCATTGGCAACTGTGGGAGTGGTGATTCTCAATCCCCACAGCATATGACAATCATCTTAACAACTTTTAAAGATCCTACTGAAGTCCAGGTCACATGCAGACCCCAACTGCATCAGAACCTCTGGGAGGTAGAACCCAGGATTAATCTTTAATTATTATTATTAAGTTCTAGGGTACATGTGCACAACGTGCAGGTTACACATGTATACATGTGCCATGTTGTTTTGCTGCACTCATTAACTCGTCATTTACATTAGGTATTTCTCCTAATGCTATCCCTCCCCCATCCCCCCAACCCATGACAGGCCCCAGTGTGTGACGTTCTCCGTCTTGTGTCCAAGTGTTCTCATTGTTCAACTCCCACCTATGAGTGAGAACATATGGTGTTTGGTGCTCTGTCCTTGCGATAGTCTGCTCAGAATGATGGTTTCCAGCTTCATCCATGTCCCTACAAAGGACATGAACTCATCCTTTTTTATGGCTGCATAGTATTCCATTGTGCATTTGTGCCACATTTTCTTAATCCAGTCTATCACTGATGGACATTTGGGTTGGTTCCAAGTCTTTGCTATTGTGAATAGTGCCACAATAAACATATGTGTGCATGTGTCCTTATAGTAGCATGATTTATAATCCTTTGGGTATATACCCAGTAATGGGATTGCTGGGTCAAATGGTATTTCTAGTTCTAGATCCTTGAGGAATCGCCACACTGTCTTCCACAATGGTAGAACTAATTTACACTCCCACCAACAGTGTAAAAGCATTCCTATTCTCCCCATCCTCTCCAGCACCTGTTGTTTCCTGACTTTTTAATGATTGCCATTCTAACTGGTGTGAGATGGAATCTCACTGTGGTTTGGATTTGCATTTTTCTGACGACCAGTGATGATGAGCATTTTTTCATGTGTCTGTTGGTTGCATAAATGTCTTCTTTTGAGAAGTGTCTGTTCATATCCTTTGCCCACCTTTTGATGGGGTTGTTTGATTTTTTCTTGTAAATTTGTTTAAGTTATTTGTAGATTCTGGACATTAGCTCTTTGTCAGATGGCTAGATTGCAAAAATTTTCTCCCATTCTGTAGGTTGCCTTTTCACTCTGATGGCATTTTCTTTTGTTGTGCAGAAACTCTTTAGTTTAATTAGATCCCATTTGTCTCTTTCGGCTTTTGTTGCCATTGCTTTTGGTGTTTTAGTCATGAAGTCCTTGCCCATGTCTATGTCCTGAATGGTATTGCCTAGGTTTTCTTCTAGGGTTTTTATGGTTTTAGGTCTAACATTTAAGCCTTTAATCCACCTTGAATTAATTTTTGTATAAGGCATAAGGAAGGGATCCAGTTTCAGCTTTCTACATACGGCTAGCCAGTTTTCCCAGCACCATTTATTAAATAGGGAATCCTTTCCCCATTGCTTGTTTTTCTCAGGTTTGTCAAAGATCAGATGGTTGTAGATGTGTGGTGTTATTTCTGAGGCCTCTGTTCTGTTCCATTGGTCTATATCTCTGTTTTGGTACCAGTACCATGCTGTTTTGGTTACTGTAGCCTTGTAGTATAGTTTGAAGTCAGGTAGCGTGATGCCTCCAGCTTTGTTCTTTTTGCTTGGGATTGTCTTGGCAATGAGGGCTCTTTTTTGGTTCCATATGAACTTTAAAGTAGTTTTTTCTAATTCTGTGAAGAAAGTCATTGGTAGCTTGATGGGGATGGCATTGAATCTATAAATTACCTTGGGCAGTATGGCCATTTTCACAATATTGATTCTTCCTGTCCATGAGCATGGAATGTTCTTCCATTTGTTTGTGTCCTCTTTTATTTCATTGAGCAGTGGTTTGTTGTTCTCCTTGAAGAGGTCCTTCACGTCCCTTGTAAGTTGGATTCCTAGGTATTTTTTTCTCTTTGTAGCAATTGTGAATGGGAGTTCACTCATGATTTGGCTCTCTGTCTGTTATTGGTGTATAGAAATGCTTGTGATTTTTGCACATTGATTTTGTCTCCTGAGACTTTGCTGAAGTTGCTTATCAGCTTAAAGAGATTTTGGGCTGAGATGATGGGGTTTTCTAAATATACAATCATGTCATCTGCAAACAGGGACAATTTGACTTCCTCTTTTCCTAATTGAATACCCCTTATTTCTTTCTCTTGCCTGATTGCCCTGGTCAGAACTTCCAACACTATGTTGAATAGGAGTGGCGAGAGAGGACATCCCTGTCTTGTGCCAGTTTTCAAAGGGAATGCTTCCAGTTTTTGCCCATTCAGTATGATATTGGCTGTGGGTTTGTCATAAATAGCTCTTAGTATTTTGAGATACATTTCATCAATACCTAGTTTATTGAGAGATTTTAGCATGAAGGGATGTTGAATTTTGTCAAAGGCCTTTTCTGCATCTATTGAGATAATTGTGTGTTTTTTGTCTTTGGTTCTGTTTATGTGATAGATTACATTTATTAATTTGTGTATGTTGAACCAGCCTTGCATCCCAGGGGTGAAGCCAACTTGATCTTGGTGGATAAGCTTTTTGATGTGCTGCTGGATTCAGTTTGCCAGTATTTTATTGAGGATTTTCGCACCGATGTTCATCAGGGATATTGGTCTAAAATTCTCTTTTTTTGTTGTGTCTCTGCCAGGCTTTGGTATCAGGATGATGCTGGCCTCATAAAATGAGTTATGGAGGATTGCCTCTTTTTCTATTGATTGGAATAGTTTCAGAAGGAATGGTACCAGCTCCTCTTTGTACCTCTGGTGGAATTCAGCTGTGAATCGGTCTGGTCCTGGACTTTTTTCGGTTGGTAGGCTATTAATTACTGCCTCAATTTCTGAGCCTGTTATTGGTCTATTCAGGGATTCGACTTCTTCCTGGTTTAGTCTTAGGAGGGTGTATGCATCCAGGAATTTATCCATTTCTTCTAGATTTTCTAGTTTACTTGTGTAGAAGTATTGATAGCATTCTCTGATGGCAGTTTGTATTTCTGTGGGATCGGTGGTGATATCCTCTTTATCATTTTTTATTGCATCTATTTGATTCTTCTCTCCTTTCTTCTTTATTAGTCTTGCTAGCGGTCTATCAATTTTGTTAATCTTTTCAAAAAACCAGCTCCTGGATTCAATGATTTTTTCAAGGTTTTTTTTCTGTCTCTATCTTCTTCAGTTCGGCTCTGATCTTAGTTATTTCTTGTCTTCTGCTAGCTTTTGAATGTGTTTGTTCTTGCTTCTCTAGTTCTTTTAATTGTGATGTTAGGGTGTCGATTTTAGAACTTCCCTGCTTTCTCTTGCGGGCATTTAGTGCTATAAATTTCCCTCACATGCTGCTTTAAAAGTGTCCCAGAGATTCTGGTACATTGTGTCTTTGTTCTCGTTGGTTTCAAAGAACATCTTTGTTTCAGCCTTAATTTCGTTATTTACCCAGTAGTCATTCAGGAGCAGGTTGTTCGGTTTCCATGTAGTTGTGCGGTTTTCAGTGAGTTTCTTAGTCATGAGTTCTAATTTGATTGCGCTGTGGTCTGTGAGACAGTTTGTTGTAATTTCTGTTCTTTTACATTTGCTGAGGAGTGCTTTACTTCCAACTAAGTGGTCAATTTTGGAGTAAGTGCGATGTGGTGCTGAGAAGAATGTAGATTCTGTTGATTTGGGGTGGAGAGTTCTGTAGATGTCTATTAGGTCTGCTTGGTGCAGAGCTGAGTTCAAGTCCTGGATATCCTTGTTAACCTTCTGTCTCGTTGATCTGTCTAAAATTGACAGGGGGTTGTTAAAGTCTCCCATTATTATTGTGTGGGAGTCTAAGTCTCTTTCTAGGTCTCTAAGGACTTGCTTTATGAATCTGGATGCTCCTGTATTGGGTGCATATATATTTAGGATAGTTAGCTCTTCTTGTTGAATTGATCCCTTTACCATTATGTAATGGCCTTCTTTCTCTTTTGATCTTTGTTGGTTTAAAGTCTGTTTTATCAGAGACTAGGATTGCAACCCCTGCTTTTTTTTTGCTTTCCATTTGCTTGGCAGATCTTCCTCCATCCCTTTATTTTGAGCCTATGTGTGTCTCTGCATGTGAGATGGGTATCCTGAATACAGCACACTGATGGGTCTTGATTCTTTATCCAATTTGCCAGTCTGTGTCTTTTAATTGGGGCATTTAGCCCATTTACCTTTAAGGTTAATATTGTTATGTGTGAATTTGATCCTGTAATTATGATGTTAGCTGGTTATTTTGCCTGTTAGTTGATGCAGTTTCTTCCTAGCATCGACGGTCTTTACAATTTGGCATGTTTTTGCAGTGGCTGGTACCGGTTGTTCCTTTCCATGTTTAGTGCTTCCTTCAGGAGCTCTTGTAAGGCAGGCCTGGTGGTGACAAAATCTCTCAGCATTTGTTTGTCTGTTAAGGATTTTATTTATCCTTCATTTATGAAGCTTAGTTTGGCTGGATATGAAATTCTGGGTTGAAAATTCTTTTCTTTAAGAATGTTGAATATTGGCCCCCACTCTCTTCTGGCTTGTAGTTTCTGCCGAGAGATCCGCTGTTAGTCTGATGGGCTTCCCTTTGTGGGTAACCCGGCCTTTCTCTCTGGCTGCCCTTAACATTTTTTCCTTCATTTCAACTTTGGTGAATCTGACAATTATGTATCTTGCGGTTGCTCTTCTCGAGGAGTATCTTTGTGGTGTTCTCTGTATTTCCTGAATTTGAATGTTGGCCTGCCTTGCTAGGTTGGGGAAGTTCTTCTGGATAACATCCTGACAAGTGTTTTCCAGCTTGGTTCCATTCTCCCCATAACTTTGAGGTACACCAATCAAACATAGATTTGGTCTTTTCACATAGTCCCATATTTCTTGGAGGCTTTGTTCATTTCTTTTTACTCTTGTTTCTCTAAACTTCTCTTCTCACTTCATTTCATTAATTTGATTTTCAATCACTGATACCCTTTCTTCCACTTGATCGAATTGGCTACTGAAGCTTCTTCATGCGTCACATAGTTATTGTGCCACGGTTTTCAGCTCCATCAGGTCATTTAAGGTCTTCTCTACGCCGTTTATTCTAGTTAGCCATTCGTCTAATCTTTTTTCAAGGTTTTTAGCTTCCTTGCGATGGGTTCAAACATCCTCCTTTAGCTCAGAGAAGTTTGTTATTACCGACCTTCTGAAGCCTATTTCTGTCAACTCGTCAAAGTCATTCTCTGTCCAGCTTTGTTCCGTTGCTGGTGAGGAGCTGCAATCCTTTGGAGGAGAAGAGGTGCTCTGGATTTTACAATTTTCAGATTTTCTGCTCTGGTTTCTCCCCATCTTTGTGGTTTTATCTACCCTTGGTCTTTGATGATGGTGACCTACAGATGGGTTTTTGGTGTGGATGACCTTTTTGTTGATGTTGATGCTATTTCTTTCTGTTTGTTAGTTTTCCTTCTAACAGTCAGGTCCCTCAGCTGCAGGTCTGTTGGAGTTTGCTGGAGGTCCACTCCAGACCCTGTTTGCCTGGGTATCACCAGCGGAGGCTGCAGAACAGCAAATATTGCAAAACAGCAGATGTTGCTGCCTGATCCTTCCTCTGGAAGCTTTCTCTCAGAGGGGCACCTGGCTGTATGAGGTGTCAGTCGGCCCCTACTGGGAGGTGTCTCCAAGTTAGGCAACACGGGGGTCAGGGACCCACTTGAGGAGGCAGTCTGTCCATTCTCAGAGCTCAAACATTGTGCTCGGAGAACCACTGCTCTCTTCAGACAGTGATGTTTTAAATCTGCAGAAGTTTCTGCTGCCTTTTGTTCAGCTATGCCCTTCCCCCAGAGGTGGAGTCTACAGAGGCAGGCAGGCCTTGTTGAGCTGTGGTGGGCTCCACCCAGTTCAAGCTTCCTGGATGCTTTGTTTACCTACTCAAGCTTCAGCAATGGTGAATGCCCGTCCCCCAGACAGGCTGCAGCCTCACAGTTCGATCTTGGACTGCTGCGCTAGCAGTGAGCAAGGCTCCGTGGGTGTGGGACCCACTGAGCCAGGGGCGGGATATAATCTCCTGGTATGCCATTTGCTAAGACCATTGGAAAAGCACAGTATTTGGGTGGGCATGTCCTGTTTTTCCAGGTACAGTTTTCACAGCTTCCCTCAGCTAGGAAAGGGAAATCCCCTGACCCCTTGCACTTCCCAGGTGAGGCGATGCCCTGCCCTGCTTCAGCTCACCCTCCATGGGCTGCACCCACTGTCCAACCAGTCCCAATGAGATGAACCATGTACCTCAGTTGGAAATGCAGAAATCACCCGTCTTCTGCATCGATCACACTGGGAGCTGCAGACTGGAGCTGTTCCTATTTGGCCATCTTGGAATGGACCCTCCCACGATTAATCTTTTAAAGTTCACAAATGATTTGAACATGCAGTCAAGACTGAAAACCACTGATGTAAATATAGCCATTTTCCTAGTATTTCTTCTATTTTCCTTTCCTTTCTTTTTTTTTTTTTTTTTTTTTCTGAGGCAGGGTCTTACTCTGTTGCCCAGGCTAGAGTGCAGTGGCATGATCATGGCTTACTGCAGCCTCCACCTCCAAGCTCAAGCGATTCTCCTGCCTCAGCCTCCTGAGTAGCTGGAGCTACAGGTGCACGCCACCATGCCCAGCTAATTTTTGTTGTAGAGACAGGTTTTGCCATGTTGTCCTGGCTGTTCAAAATCTCCTGGGCTCAAGCAATCCATCCAGCTTGGCCTCCCCAAGTGCTGGGATCACAGGTAACAACCACTGCACCCCTCCTGTTTTCTATTTTAATTGCACCATGACAATAATTGCCTTCTCTTGATTTTCTCTTTCTCTTCTTCTCAGAGCTGTGATATTTATTTTCCTCCTCCCAAGACTTAAAAATGTTGTTAAGGATTTTGTGTTTTCTCTTCCATCCCCACCCCTCAACTCAGTAAGCCTTCATTCTGGGGAAGATGAATCCCTTGGAATCCCTTAGAGGGTGAAAGGAATGCAGGAAGGAGGGAAAGATAAGATTCCAGAGGCTCTCAGTGGAGAGAGCAAGAAAGTTCCTTCTCTATGAACCCAGCAAACGCCTCCTTCAGTATTAACTGTGGTAGTAATAAACCATTGTAAGCCCCCAAATACCTTTAAGTCAGTCAAAAATAACCTAGGCAAAATGCAAAGTTGTTGATAGAAGTGTTTTGAGGTCAGGTGTGGTGGCTCACGCCTATAATCCTAGCATTTTGGGAGGCCAAAGTGGGCGGATCACGAGCTCAGGAGATCGAGACCATCCTGGCTAACCCAGTGAAACCCCATCTCTACTAAAAATACAAAAAATTAGCCGGGCGTGGTGGCGGGCGCCTGTAGTCCCAGCTACTCGGGAGGCTGAGGCAGGAGAATGGCGTGAACCCGGGAGGCGGAGCTTGCAGTGAGCCGAGATCGCGCCACTGCCCTCCAGCCTGGGCGACAGAGCGAGACTCCATCTCAAAACAACAACAACAACAAAAAAAAAAAAAAAAAAAAAGAAAAAGAAGAAGTGTTTTGAAAACAGCCAATATGTCTTGGTTATACAGGTAAGAACATTAACATAATTAACTATAACTTAAGGTAAAGAGAAGTTCCCATAAATTTTAAGTTAAATTCTTCCACTTCTCCATTTTTCTTTCCAATTCCAATGCTCCTTTCCTTACTAAAAACACTACACAGTAGTCCCCCCTTAATTGAGAAGAATAGGTTCCAAGACCCCCAGTTAGTTCCTGAAACTGAGCATAGTACCAAACCCTGTATATACTATGTCTTTTCAATCTGATAACCCAACAGCTACTAAGTGACTAGTGGGCAGGTAGTGTCTACTGCATAGATACGTGGGACAAAGAGATGATTCACGTCCCAGGTGGACAGAGCAGGACATCCGGAGATTTCACCATGCTACTCAGAACAGTGCACAATTGAAAACTTATGAATTGTTTATTTCTGTAAATTTTTATTGGATATTTTTGGACTGCAGTTGACCTAGAGTAACTGGAACCGCAGAAAACAAAACCAAAAAAACCATGGATAAGAGAGGCTACTGTACCTTCTGTCTCCCTCAGTACACCGTGTCCTCCCACAAGCTCTTCCTGCATACTGATAGAATAGATTACTGCTTTCCTCATGAGACCCCCCCATTCAAAAGCATCAGGTGATTTCTCTCTGCCTAAAGCGATTTCTCTTTGTCCAATCGAGTGCAAAACCCTTGGCTTAGCATTTGGGGGCTCCACAATCTCTCCTCTACTCCTGTCTCCAATTTAATCTCCCTCACTTCCCCTATAGGAACACTTTTCTCTGGCCAAAATTGGTGGACTTGTCCACTGTCCCTCTATGAACCCACCTCCGTGCCTGATCTCACGCTCACTTAAAACCAGGAGTATTTTTTTCCACTTTCCTTCACTGGACACCTGTCTCAAATTTCACTTTCTCCATGAAGATTGGCAATCCCAGCAGCTTCTATTTCCACACAAAAAGACTGCCTGGAAAAGCTGGGGTCTTGACACACATTGTGGACATTTTATACGAAGAAACAGCTGCGGGGGATAGGACAGGGCACAGCAGTTGTGGGAGAAGGGTGACTGAGTAGGTGGCAATGAGGTATTAGGGTAAAGACCTTATGTTCCTCTATAAAGAAAGTAGCAAACCAACAACTGACAGGCCAAGTGCAGCCTAAAGTTGTGTTTTGTTTGGCCCAGAGAGTGTTTTTAGATGCTGGTTACTCATTCCAATTTTTTAAAAGCTGGAGCTTACACAAAAATTTGAACTTCTGGCTTCGCTTTAAAAGATTATAACATTCAGCCATGCTGCGCTGTATTTCAATAAGTTTTTGCTACCCACCCTGATTCTTGGTCACCTAAATAAACACTTATTATTTTCCCCAATTCTGTGGGTCAGCTGGGCAGTCCTGGTCTGGGCCAACTTAGCTGATCTCTGTGGTCATCTGGGACTGGATGGTCTAGAACAGCCTTGCTCACATATCTTGGCCATGTGCGTCCTGCAGCAGGCTAGCCAGGGCTCTTCCACGGGTCGTGGTCAAAGTTTCCCAAGCGCATCAGGAGAGCAAGCACCAATGTCTGAGTGCCTTTCACACCTCTGCCTGTATCCCATCTACTAATGTCCCATCAGCCAAAGCAAGTCTCATGGCCAAACCCAGATTCAAGCGCTGGAGAAACAGATCCCACCTCTTGATATAAGGAGTTGCAAAGGCACATTGCAAAAAGGGTATGTATTCAGGGATGGGAAGACTTTCTGGCCATTTTTGCAATCTATGATAGCCGTGGTCAACTGGAGGTGGGTAGCTGTGGTCTTCTTTGGGCAGGGGACATGCCATCAGGTCATCACAAACCCCACTCCTCTCCCTCACTGAATCATTGCTACCTAGCCCACTGGCTTTATGTTGCTCCTTGGACCACCTGAGTGGAACACTTTCTCAAGCCCTCCTGGTTACTGCAAACAACAGCTCTGCAAATTGCTAAAAGGGAGCACCAGTGGATTAAGACCGCAAAGCAGGGTAATGCAGGATCTGCATGAACAGGTTTAAGAACAAGAACATTCAAAAAGAAGCACATAAAAGTATCAAGAGGTTAACATAGAACTGTCACAAAGGAATGGCATAAGACACAGGCTCTCAACCCTGGTGGCACTTTTGAATCACTCAGTAGCCTGAAACTTACTACTGCCCAGGACGCATCCATATCAATTACATCAGAATCTCAGGGGTAGAGGCTGAACTGGATACAGTCCTAAAAGCTCCTTAGCTAATGCTAACCAATGGCAAAATTGAGAATCACTAGCATTGGGTTCTTTCTATTTCAAAGTTCAAAGTGTTGGTAAATTCCCCCAAAGAAGTAGATTGCCATCTTAGTAGCCAAAAAAAAAAGAAACTCCAATCACAAAAGAGTCTTAAAAATAAGTATTTGAAAGGAGAGGGGGTTAATGCATTTCAGGTGACTAGGCAGGTTCTAGTTACATGAATCCAAACTAATTCTTAAATAAGGTTAACCCAGTTATATTGGCCATTGAGTGCCCGAGGTCAGAACCTGGGGAGGGAAGAAGATCTAGATGCCTTCTCTGATTTAATGACTCAATCAATGATGTTATCTCAGATGGCAGAAGCAAGGCCAAAGCTGGGGACAAAGGAACTTCCCCCTCCTTTCCTTTACCTGCTCTCTCGAGGGATAGGACATATGGTAGAATGCATCTGTTGGATGTGGTCAAGCCCCTTTGGTGTGGAGGTTTTTCCATCAAAACCTCTCTGACCTGCAGGCCAGAGAGGGAGACGTATGCACCAGAGCTTTTTTTTTTTTTTTTTTTTTTAGATGGGGTCTTGCTCTTTTGCCCAGGCTGGAGTGCAGTGGCACAGTGATAGCTCACTGCAACCTCAACCTCCTGGCCTCAAGCAATCTTCCCATCTCAGTCTGTGGAGCAGCTAGGATTACAGCCTTGAGCCACCTCACCCTGACTGGCAGAGCTTTTCAACTCCACACACAAGCCTGCCCTGTGGACCCTCTCCAGCAGGCTTCAAGAGCCCAGTGGGAAGCGGCAGGGGTGATAATGCAGCAGCCCAGAGCTGAAGGGGGCCAGTTCAAGACTAAGAGGGAGACTGAACAAAAACGCTCTCCACCTCCCACACACTTGCACAACGCAAAGGAGATGCAGCATGGACCCTGAGGGGTCTAAAGATTGGCTGTCATGACTGTGCCAGGCACTGTGCCAGGCACTGTGCCAGGGCCTGACCGACGTTGTCACCCATGGTCTTCATGACTTCTGACGGCCCATCATATTGTAATTCAGGCCTCAGATTTCCTGAATCAGAGCAGGGGCTCCTGCCATTGAAGTCCTGCCTCCCTCTCCACTGTCTTAGTTCTTGTCCAGTGCAAGAAAATAGATCAAGAAGGGTCGCTTGGAAGCTCAAACTCTTTCGAAGAAGCTCAGGCTATCGCAGCGAAACAGACCCTGAGCGGCTGCGCAGCCCTTCTGCTGTGTCCCGCAGGCATCGGAAGACCCGGGGCTGCATCAGCACTCCCGGGGCCCACATCCTGCAGCCTTCTTTCCGGGCGTTTTCCTGCTGCCTTGGAGTTCTGTGGGGACGCGCATTGGTCACCAAACAAGGGTGCGCGCCTCACTGAGTGAGAATGGCCCCTAATCTGGAGCCCCAGCACCGATCCCTGCTCAGCCCCGGAGAGTGGGAGGCTTGTCGGGTCGCTTGACTACAACGTGCGGGCTGCGCTCTAGCTGGCGGTGCGCCTCCCAGCTGAGCAGCCCAATGAGCAGGGAACCGAGAAAGACCGAAAGCAGAGGGGTTCCTAGTCCCGCTGACCCCCAAGGGCCCTCATTCTCTGCAGCCGGCCGTGGCTTCCAGCGGGTTCGCTTTCTCCCTGGGAGTCCCGGAGGCGCCCGGCACCAGGAGGGCAACGAAGGGGCAGGAGGCGCTGCCGTCCGGGCGCCCTCCGAGCACAGCCAGGAAGTCCTCCTTACCTCATGGGTCTGCGGCTCCTCGCCGGGCTGCGGGCGCAGGCAGCTCACCACCGCGGCTAGGCCGGCCCCGGACATCGCGGCGGCGGGCGCGGCGAGCGGGGATGCGCGGGCGTCGGGGCGGCAGCCGCAACGGACTCTGCCCTCCTCGTGCAGGCCGGAGGCCCCGCCTGGGCGCGCGGCGCTCGGTCCTTCACGTGACCGCTGCGGGTGGGCCTGCGGGCGGAGGACGGGCGACGGCGGGGCGGGCTCCCAGGCTCCGGCCCCTTCCCTGGCGGCGCGCTGGGCCCAGCGCAGGGAAGCGGATCCGGCAGGGACGGGGAGTGGGACGCGCGAGGGGCAGCAGGGGTAAGAGCTCGGGCGGGTGGCCGCGTGGGTTAAAGGTCAAAGGTCAC
This sequence comes from Homo sapiens, assembly GCF_000001405.40. Taxonomy (NCBI): domain Eukaryota; kingdom Metazoa; phylum Chordata; class Mammalia; order Primates; family Hominidae; genus Homo; species Homo sapiens. The sequence continues at coordinate 110,424,053 of NC_000002.12, forward strand.
CTCCGCAAATGGCACCAACTGTGTAGCCTGGCAGTGGGACTTTGTCCAGCTTTCTGATCAGTAGAATAGAAGGATGCCTTCCTCCAAGACCTGTTTGGAGAATTAAACCAGCTAATGTAGGAGCCACGGCTGCCGCTGGGGAGGGCCCAGTAATTATTAGTTCCCTCCCCGTCCTAGGGGACCCCCCAGGAGAGCGTAGTGTGGGCTCCTAGTGGGGCCTCTCGAGGCAAATACCTCCCGAGAGGGGGCGCGCGCCCTCCCCTCTTCCCATGGGGCGCCCCCAGTTCCAGCCTGACCTGGAACTCAGGGTTGCCAGAGCTGCTGAATTTTCAAGAGAAAGCGGAAATCTGAGTTTTAATGAGACCGCTCCTGATTTTTTAAAACGTTGATCATGAAGTTAAAACAATAATAATGGTAAGTACTTGCCGGCCAACTGTCAGGTAAGCCCTGGCGGGCAAAGCAGGTGGTCCTGGGCTCCTGTACCAACCAACTTCACTGACTCCTCCCAGAGGAGGGAGAGGCCTGGAGGGACTGTGACAATCCCTGTCACCTGGCATGAGGTGTGATGTCCCTCTGGGTGGTTCATCAAGACTTGGTGCTAGGCCAAGCCAGTGGCTCATGCCTGTAATCCCAGCATTCTGGGAGGCCAAGGCGGGAGTGACAAGTGAAGCCAGCTGGACTCCCTGAGTGCAGTGGGGACTTGGGGAACTTTTCTTACAAGAGGATTGTAAAATGCACCAATCAGGAACTTTTCTGTCTTACAAGAAAATTGTAAAACGCACCAATCAGTGCTCTGTAAAATGCACCAATCAGCGGTATTCTAAAAGTAGCCAATTGCGGGGAGGATTGAAAAAAGGGCACTCTGATAGGACAGAAACGGAACATGGGAGGGGCCAATAAGGGAATAAAAGCTGGCCACCACCCCAGCCGGCAGCGACAACTGCTTGGGTCCCGGTCAGCTTTGCGGAAGCTTTATTCTTTCTGTTTTCACAATAAACCTTGCTACTGCAGGGTCCCTGCCATCTTTAAGAGCTGTAACACTCACCAGCAAGGTCCATGGCTTCATTCTCGAAGACCAGGAACCCACCGGAAGGAACCAACTCCAGACACAAGAGGATTGTTCAAGCCCAAGAGTTTGATACCTGCCTAGGCAACATATCCAGACCAGATCTCTTTAAAAAAAAAAGAGCTGGGCATGGTGGCAAACCTATAGTGGGCTAGTCTAGGCAGAGATGAAGGATGGCTTGAGCTTAGGAGGTTGAGGCTGCAGTGAGTGGTGATTGCACCACTGTAATCCAGCCTGGGCAACAGCAATACTGCTCTCTAAACATAAAAAATTAAATAAAGACTTAGTGCTAGGTGCTGATTTCTGGCAAGTTCCAGGTGGGAGACTGGCAGGCAGCATTATAGTCCTCTAAGAGAATTCAAACCCTAATTTCTGGGACTATGAATCTGTTACTTTACAAGGCAAAAGAGCCTTGTGGACAGGTTTCTAATCAGTTGACTTTAAAATAGGGAGGTTATCCTGGATTTATCTGGGTTGGCCTGGTGGAATCACCCTTAACCCCTAAAGAGCAAGACAGGGGAGAGGAGACATTTGAAGCTTATGAAAGACTCAGCGTGCCTGGATGGGACGCTGTTGCCTCGAGGATGAAGAGAACTGCAAGGAACTAAAGTTCTGCTGACAATTTGAATGAGCTCGAAAGTGAATTCTTCCCCAGGGCCTTGCAGAAAGGAACACAATTTGCTGACACCTTTATTCCCACCTTGTGAGACACCGAGCAGAGAATCCATGTGGCAATGTGTTATGCAGCATAGAAAACTAATACAGGACACTGACCTGCATTGCAACACCAGAATTGTGTCCTAGCTGGAGGCTGGCCTGCAATGAGAACTGCATGTGGCCACAGTTTCTCGGCAGGCATGCCAGGCATGGCACTTCACCCCTCTCCTCTGACTGTTACCACTCAGTTCTAACATCCCCTGAGAGCCCTTCCTCAACTTCTCCAGGCCAACAGGTGGCTTCCTTTCTGTGCTCACCACACCCTTCGTGAAAACAGCTACTTGGTGCTTCCTTTGATCTATGTGCACATGTTGCCTGCTTCCCACCAGGCCACAAGCACCTGTGGGAGGAAGGGAACTGGAAACATTTGTCTTTGAATCCCAAGCCCCGGGCAGACAGCAGGCATATGGTGGCTGAAATGGTAAAGTGAAATTTCTACCAGTGTGTAATCAAAGGTCCTTGTCTACAAGGTATCTTAATTACCTTTTTTAAAAAAGAAATTCAGTAGTTTTGGGGGAACTGGTGGTTTTTGTTACATAGATAAGTTCTTTAGTGGTGATATCTGAGATTTTGGTGCACACATCATCCGAGCAGTGTACGTTGTGCCCAATACGTAGTTTTTTATCCTTAACCACCCTTCCCCCATTTCTCCGGTGTCCCCAAAGTCCAATTTGTAATTCTTATGCCTTTGAATCCTCGTAGCTTAGCTTCCAGTTATAAGTGAGAATATACAATATTTGGTTTTCCATTCCTGAGTTACTACACTTAGAATAATGGTTTCAAACTCCATGAGGTTGCTGTGAATGCCATTATTTCATTCATTCTTATCACTGAGTAGTATTCCATGGTGTATATGTATATATATGTACACATATACACCACGTTTTCTTTTTCCACTCATTGGTGGATGGGCATTTAGGCTGGTTCCAAATTGTTGCAATTGTGAGTTGTGCTGCTATAAACATGAGTGTGCAATATCTATTTCATGTAATGACTTCTTTTCCTCTGGATAGATACCCAGTGGTGGGATTACTGGATCAAATGGTAGTTGTACTTTTAGCTCTTTAAAAAATCTCCACAGTGTTTTCTATAGTGGTTGTACTAGTTTACATTCCCAACAGCAGTGTAAAAGTGTTCCCTTTCCACCACATCCACATCAACATCTATTGTTTTTTGATTTTTAAATTATGGCCATTCTTGCAAGAGTAGGTAGTATCTCATTGTGGTTGTAATTTGCATTTCCCTGATAGTGATGCTGAGCATTTTTTCATGTGTGTGTTGGCCATTTGCACATCTTCTTTTGAGAATTGTCTATTAATTTCCTTTGCCCACTTTTTGATGGGATTATTTGTTTTTTTCTTGCTGATTTGTTTGAGTTCCTTGTAGATTCTAAATATTAGTCCTTTGTGAGATGCATAGTTTGAGAATATTTTCTCCCTCTCTGTGGGTTGTCTGTTTACTCTGCTGATTATTTCTTTTGCTATGCAGAAACTTGTAACTTAATTAGGTCCAATGTATTTATTTTTGTTTTTGTTGCATTTGCTTTTGGGTTCTTGGTAGTTAACGAACTCTTTGCCTAAACCAATGTCTAGGGTAGTTTTACTGATGTTATCTTCTGGAATGTTTATGATTTTGGGTCTTAGATTTTAAGTCTTTTTTCTTTTCTTTTCTTTTCTTTTTTTTTTTTTTTTTTGAGACAATCTCACTCTGTCACCCAGGCTGGAGTGCAGTAGAGCAATCTCCGCTCACTGCAACTCCCAACTCTCAGGTTCTCATGCCTGAGCCTCCCTAGTAGCTGGGATTACAGGCACCCATCACCACGCCTGACTAATTTTTTGTATTTGTGGTAGAGACAGGATTTCACCATGTTGGCAAGGCTGGTCTTGAACTCCTGACCTCATGTGATCTGGCCACCTTGGCCTCCCAAAGTGCTGGGATTACAGTTGTGATCCCCCATGCTCGGCCTAGATTTAAGTCTTTGATCCATCTTGAGTTGATTTTTGTATAAGTTGAGAGATGAGGATTCAGTTTTACCCTTCTACATGTGGCTTCCCAGTTATCCCTGCACCATTTGTTGAATAGGGTGTCCTTTCCCCACTTTATGTTTTTGTTTGCTTTGTCAAAGATCAGTTAACTGTAAGTATTTGGCTTTATTTCTGGGTTCTCTATTCTGTTCCATTGGTCTACTTGCCTGTTTTCATACCAGTACCATACTGTTTTGGTAACTACAGCCTTGTAGTATAAAGTCAGGTGATGTGATGCCTCCAGATGTGTTCTTTTTGCTTAGTCTTGCTTTGGCTATGTAGGGTCTTTTTTGGTTCCATTTGAATTTTAGGATTGCTTTTTAAAGCTCCATGAAAAATGCTGATGGTATTTTGATGGGAATTGCATCGAATCCATAGACTGCTTTTGGCACCATGATCATTTTCACAGTATCGAGTCTACCCATCCATGAGCATGGAATGTGCTTCCATTTGTTTGTGTTATCAGTGATTTCTTTCTGTCTTGCAGTTTTTCTTGTAGAGATATTTCGCCTCCTTGGTTCAGTATATTCCAAAGTATTTTATTTTATTTTTTGCAGCTGTTGTAAAAGGGATTGAGTTCTTGATTTGTTTCTCAGTCTTGTTGTTGGTGTACAGCAGTGCTACTGATTTGTGTACATTGATTTTGTATCCTAAAACTTTATTGAATTCATTTATCAGATCTATGAGCTTTTTGGGTGAGTCTTTAGGCTTTTCTAGGCATACAATTATATCATCGGTGAACAGCAACAGTTTGACGTCCTCTTTACTAATTTAGATGCCCTTTATTTCTTTCTGTTGTCTGATTGCTTTGGCTAGAACTTCCAGCACTACGCTGGATAAAAGTTGTGAAAGTGGGCATCTTTGTCTTGTTCCAGTTCTCAGGAAGAAAGCTTTCAACTTTTCCCCATTCAGTATCATGTTGGCTGTGGGTTTGTCATAGATGGCTTTTATAACCTTGAGGTATGTCTCTTGTATACCAGTTTTGCTGGATTTTATCAAATGCTTTTTCTGCATTGATTGAGATGATCATATGATTTTTGTTTTTAATGCTGTTGATGTGATGTGTCACATTTGTTGACTTGTGAATGTTAAACCATCCTTGCATTTCTGGTATGAAACCCACTTGATCCTATTGTATTACCTTTTTGATATGCTGTTGGATTCAGTTAGCTAGTATTTTGTTGAGTATTTTTGCATCTGTGTTCATCAGGGATCTTAGTCTGTAGTTTTCTTTTATTGTTATGTCCTTTCCCAGTTTTGGAATTAGGATGATACTGGCTTCATAGAATGATTTATGGAGGAGTCCCTCTTTTTCTATCTTTTGGAATAGTTTCAGTAAGATTGGTATCAATTCTTCTTTGAATGTCTAATAGAATTCACCTGTCAGTCCATCTGGTTCTGGACATTTTTTTGTTGGCAATTTTTTTTATTATTGTTTCAATCTTGCTAATTATTGGTCTGTTCAGAGTTTCTATTTTTTCGTGATTTAATATGGGAGGAATTTATCCATCTCTTCCAGATTTTCTAATTTGTGTGCATAAAAGTGTTCATAGTAGCCTTGAATGATCTTTTGTATTTCTGGGGTATTGGTTGTAATATCTCCAGTTTCATTTCTAATTGAGCTTATTTGGATCTTCTATCTTCTTGGTTAATCTCAGTAATGGTCTATCAATTGTGTTTTATCTTTTCAAAGAAACTGCTTTTTGTTTCATTTATGTTTTGTGTTTTTAATTTTAATTTCATTTAGTTCTGCTCTGATCTTTGTTATTTACTTTTTTTCTGCTGAGTTTGGATTTGGTTTGTTTTTGTTTCTCTAGTTCCGTGAAGTATGATGTTAAATTGCCTACTTGTGCTCTTTCAGACTTTTTGATGTAAGCATTTAATGCTTTAAACTTTCCTCTTAGCACCACTTTTGCTGTATCCCAGAGGTTTTGATAAGTTGTTTCACTGTCATTGTTCAACTCAAAGAATTTTTAAATTTCCATCCTGATTTCATTGTTGACCCAAACATCATTCAAGAGCAAATTATTTAATTTCCATGTATTTGTATAGTTTTAGGGGGTCCTTTTGGAGTCGTTTCCAGTTTTATTCCACTGTGGTCTGAGAGAATACTTTATATAATTTCAATTTCCTTAAGTTAACTGACTTGCTTTGTGACCTATCATATGGTCTATTTTGGAAAATTTTCTATGTGCTGAAGAAAAGAGTGTATATTTTGCAGTTGTTGGGTAGAATCTTCTGTAAATATTTGTTAAGTCCATTTGATCCAGAGTTAGTTTAAGTCCATTGTTTCTTTATTGACTTTCTGTCTTGATGACCTGTCTAGCACTGTCAATGGAGTATTGAAGTCCCCCACTATTACTATGTTGCCTTCTATTTCATTTCTTAGGTCTACTAGTAATTATTTTATAAATTTGGGAGCTTCAGTGTTCGGTGCATATGTATTTATGATTGTAATATTTTCCCATTTAACTATTTCTTTTATCATTGTATAATGTGCCTATTGTCTTTTTTTTACTGTTGTTGCTTTGAAGTGTGTTTTGTCTGATATAAGAATAGATACTCCTGCTCACTTTTGGTTTCCATTTGCGTGGAATATCTTTTCCCACCTCTTTACCTTAAATTTATGTGAGTCCTTATACATTTAAGTGAGTCTCTCAAAGACAGCACACACTTAGTGGTGGATTTTTATTCATTCTGCCATTCTGTGTCTTTTAAGTGGAGCATTTAGGCCATTTACATTCAACATTAGTATTGAGATGTGAGGTACTGTTCTATTCATCATGCTAGTTGTTGCCTTAATAATTTTTTTCATCGTGTTATATAGGCCCTGTGAGATTTATGCTTTAAAGAGGTTCTATTTTGATGTATTTCAAGGTCTTGTTTCAAGGTTTGGAACTCCTTTTAGCATTTCTGGTAGTGCTGGCTTAGTAGTGGCAAATTCTCTCAGCATTTGTTTGGCTGAAAAATACTTTTCTCTTTTTCATTTACGATGTTTAGTTTTGCTGGATACAAAATTCTTGACTGACAATTATTTTGTTTCAGGAGGCTAAAGGTGGGACCCCAATCTCTTCTGGGTTGTAAGGTTTCTGCTGAGAAGTCTTCTGTTAATCTGATAGGTTTTCCTTTATAGGTTATCTGGTGCTATTGTCTCACAGCTCTTAAGATTGTTTCCTCTGTCTTGGCTTTAGATAACCTGATGACTATGTGCCTAGGTTATGGTCTTTTTGCAATGAATTTCCCAGGTGTTCTTTGAGCTTCTTGTATTTGGATGTGTAGATCTCTGTCAATGCTAGGGAAGTTTTCCTCAATTATTCCCTCAAATTAGTTTTCCAAAATTTTAGATTTCTCTTCTTCCTCAGGAACACCAATCATTCTTAGGTTTGGCCATTTAACATAATCCCAAGTTTCATGGAGGCTTTGTTCATTTTTTAAAATTATTTTTCCTTTGTCTTTGTCTGATTGGGTTAATTTGAAAGCTTTGTCTTTGAGCCCTGAAGTTCTTTTTTATACTTGTTCAAGTCTGTAGTTAAAATGTTCCATTGCATTTTGTGTTTCTCTAGGTGTCTTTCATTTCCAGAAATTGTGATTGTTTTTTCTTTATGATATCTATTTTCCTGGATAAATTTTCACTCATATCCTGTATTTTCTTATTTCTTTATTTTATTTATTTATTTATTTATTTTGGGTCACTCTGTCACCCAGGCTGGAGTGCAGTGGTGCAACCTCGGCTCACTGCAACCTCCACCTCCCGGATTCAAGCAATTCTCCTGCCTCAGCCTCTCGAGTAGCTGGGATTACAGGTGCCCACCACCACACCCGGCTAATTTTTGTATTTTTAGTAGAGACGGGGTTTCACCGTGTTAGCCAGGATGGTCTTGATCTCCTGATCTTGTGATCCACCTGCCTCGGCCTCCAAAAGTGTTGGGATTACAGGCGTGAGCCACCACACCTGGCCTTCAATTTCTTTACGTTCGTTTTCACCTTTCTCTAGTATCTCTTTGAATAGCTTAATAATTGACCTTCTGAATTATTTATCTGACAATTTAAAGATTTCTTCTTGGTTTGGATCCATTGCTGGCGAGCCAGTATGATCTTTTGAGGGTGTTCTAGAACCCTGTTTTGTCATATTACCAGAATTACTTTTCTTCCTTCTCAATTGGGTAGACTAATACAGTGGGGAGATCTGAAAGTCAAGGCCTGCTGTTCAGATTCTCTTGTCCCACTGGGTAACCCCTTGATGTAGTGCTCTCCCCTTTCTTCTAGGAATGGGGCTTCCTGAGAGCTGGACTGCAGTGATTGTTATTTGTCTTCTGGGTCTAGCTACCAGTGAGGATACCAGGCTCTGGACTGGTCCTGGGGGATGTCTGCAAAGATTCCTGTGATGTGATCTGTCTTCAGGTCTCCAAGCCATGGATACCAGCACCTGCTCTGGTAGAGGTGGCAGGGAAGTGAAGTAGACTCTGTGAGAGTCCTTGGTTATAGATAGGTTTAGTGTGCTGGCTTTCTTGAATGCTGGTTGTCATAACAGTGAAATTGTCACGTGGACATCTTCAGGACCTCTGTTTAGCCAGGATGTTGCAGGCAGTAGAATTAGGTGTTGTCTTCTCCTTCCTAAGATCAGCATTATTCTGTCATGAGTTGCTGTAATGGCTTGAGTTGGTTGGCCTCCAGCGACGAGGTGGCACTTTCAAGAGAGCACCAGCTGCCATAGTAGTAGGGGGCTCTAAGCTTGTCCTAAGGTGGCCAGGGTAAGCATTTTGGTTTCTCAGGTGATGGGCATGGCCATAAAGCTCCCAAGAGGTTCTGTGTTTTGTGCTGGGCTACCAGGGTGGCTAGGGAAATACCATCAAGTGGGGGCAGGGTTAGGTGGGTCTGGGGTCAGACTCTCCTTGGACAGGGCTTGCAGTAGCCACTGTGGGGGAATGAAGGAGTGGTTCTTAGGCTAATGGAGTACTGTTCTAGAGTGGATCTTGGCCCTCTGCTGTGTTATATAGTTTGCCAGGAAAGCATTGGATAGCCCTTAATACGAGCTCTCGCCCAGTTCCCAAGCAGTTGGCGAGGTCGGTCTCACTCCCACAGTGCTCCTGCTCAGGCCGTGAGCTACCCTGCTGAGAAAGCAAGCGTGGCTTAAGGACCTCACCCCTCCCTGTCTGCCCACTCTGCCAGCAGCAGCTCCTGCACTCCTGCACTCGCTTGCTTGTATCCACAGCAGTTCCCGCTCATCCTCCAGACTCTGCTCGAGAAAGTTTGTGCCCGGTCAAAACCACTACCAATTTCAGTTGAGAGCTTCCTTTGCCCTGCAACTCCTCTCCAGTTCCACTGGCTGCCTTCCCTGAGTGGCTGTGTGAGATACAGTCAGGGATGGCTTCCTAGGGCTCAAGCTGGAGACTGGGAGTCCATTCAAGGCACTTCCCACTACTACTCTCATACTTTTATTTTTCTTACATCTCCCTAAACTCATTTCATCTCTGGTTAAGGTTAAATCCTTCTCCTATGATCTGGATTTTTAGATTCCCCAGTGGGGATGTGTGTTCAAAGGTAGGTTTCCCCCTTCTTACACTTTGGGAACTCACAGTTTTTCTCCTGTTCCACAGAATTTACAGTGGTGTGCGTCTTCTTTCAAAGGATCCGTGAATTCTTTTGGTTTTCCCAGTACGTTCCTATGATAGTTCTTGGAGCACAACAGGGTCACAGTGTGAGTCTCCACATGGTGTTTTGTCCATCCATGTGGGAGCTACACATTAGCACTGCCTCCTATCTGCCATCTTCCCCTGATCTCAACAATTACCTTTTATAACTGTTTATTGCGTGGATTACCAGAAAACTCTCTGGTGCTCTTGAGAAAGGACAAATATTCTAGGTCTATCCTAAGTGGTGACTTAAGGAATGATTGTTTTATGGCAAGATCTTTTAAAATGGCTTTATTTTTTAAAAAAGATAAATATGTTCATTGTAAAGAGTTGAAACTACTAATCAAAGTTAATCACTTGCACACACTTAAACACACTTGTATGCAGCTCTGTGGAGATGGGATTACATCCTACACCACAGACACTGCTGACCTCTGACCTACTATCCACACGCTTCCCACCCAAGATCCCAGACTTGGGTCAGGCATTCATCTCATCTCTCTCTTTAGAGGAGGATCCTGCTTAGTCCAGGCCAATCCACACAGGGCATTTTCCTGGCAACAGTTACCTATCTAAGGGAAGTACATGACTTTAGTTGGCTCAGCCTGACTAAAAAGAGCCATGAGCTTAGGGGGAGAGGTTTTCTTCTTCTCTTCCCTCCCCTTTTCCTATGAATGTAATTTTTAAAAAACCACATATTCCTAACAGCTTCTCCAGCCACCTTGGGTGAAGATGACACTGTGGATGGCAGAGGAGGAAGATACAAACAGCCAGGTCTCTGATGGCCTCTTCAAGAGACTACTTTTTGGTACCTGCATTCTTGGAACCATTTGGACCAACCTTCAGACTTAGAATTATGTGAGCTATATTGTATGACCCAGGAGACAGAATGAGGTGATCTGTACAGCCAATAGGAAAAGATCTACAAAATATCAAATGAGGATGGGAAGATAGTACCCTGCAGAGTTTGATTTATGCAGAATTTTAAAGGATGCATATACTTACATTTTCTGATAAATGCATAAAATATTTTCCTGGAAAGATCCATAAGTAAACTGTAATCAGTGCTTACCTTTGAGAATACAGCAGGAAGTAGAGGCATGAAGGGAAAGGGACTTTTTCTTCTCATTTTGTACTTGTCTATAAGTTTTTTTTGTTTTGTTTTGTTTGTTTGTTTTGAGACGGAGTTGCGCTCTGTTGCCCCGGCTGGAGTGTAGTGGCCTGATCTGGGCTCACGACAAGCTCCGCCTCCCAGGTTCATGCCATTCTCTTGCTTCAGCCTCCCTAGTAGCTGGAACTACAGGATAAGGTTTCATTTTTAACTGTATGCCTACATTACTTGTATGTGTTTGCAGAAAGTAAAATCAACAGAGATGTGGTGATAGAATCTAATAGCAATTTTGTCATTTTCATGAACAAATATTTTATGCAATGGAAAATATTAAAACTCTGGGAATAAAGCGTGTTAATGCCTGTTCCTGGTTGCATATCTGCCAGTGGGGAGAATGCATCCTTGCAGGGTGAGGAGTCAGCCTTAGAAAGCAAGGCCTTTAGGAACCAGTTACCACTAAGCATACCCTATAACAACTCTTTGAGGTGCTGGTTTAGTCTGCTCAGGCTGCCATAACCAAGTACTCCCAGCCAAGTGGCTTAAACAGTAGAAATGTGTTTCCTTACAGTTCTGGAAGCCAAAATTCTGAGATCAGGATGCGGCAGGGTTGGTTTACAGTAAGGGCTCTCTGCTTGGCTGGTAGCTGGCCATCTCCTCTCTGTGTCTTCACACGGTGCTCCCTCTGTGTGTATCTGTGTCCAAGTTTCCTCTTCTAATAAGGACAGTCCTATTGGATCAGGGCCTGCTCTAAGGACCTCATTTTACTTGGATTACCTCTTTAAAGACCCTACCATATTCTGTGATACTGGGGGTTAGGACTTCAACACATGAATTTTGAGGAGATACAATTCAGCCCATAAGAAGTACTGATTACAACATCCACATTAGAGCTTAGGAAATGCAGGTTCAGAGAGGAGCATCAGACTGCCTCAGGTCACACAGCTTGAAAATGGCAGCACTGGGATTGCAAACCCAGACCTACTAGCACAGAGGCATCTCTACTCTACTCTGCAGCTACTAGGTAGTTTCAGCTGGGAAAATGAACAAAGTCCATATTCAGCCTGAGAATTCCACCCAATTCTATTTGCCAGTTATCCCCTAGATTCCACAGGATTTTGTGGAATTCTTTTTAAAACACTGCAATGTGACAATCAAGAGGTAGGGGCAAAGTCAACAGTGGTGGTTGAAAATAGAGGCCAAACCTTCTCCAATGCCTTCACAAGGCAGGGCACGCAGGAGCCCTGCTGTCTTTGGCTCCATCTCCTTCCCCTTCCCCTCACTCACTCCACTCCACTCCAGCCTCAATGGCTTCCTTTATGCTCCTCAAACATTCCCCAGGGCCTTTGCTCTAGCTATTCCCTTAGCCTGGATGATGCATTCCCCAGACACCCAAGTGTTTGCTCAGATCGTACCTTCTTAGGGAGGCAGACCCTGATCCCCACCCTACTGAACTCTTCAGCCCACCGCTGCCCTCCTGCTCCCCTCCCCCTTGATCTTTTACTTCCTTGCATTGCCCTTATCACCTTCTGCCACACGATATGATTCTTTATATCTTCCATTTATTCTTAACTATCTGTGTACTCCTGATAGAACACAATCTCCACAAGGGTGGAGATCTTTAATTTGTGCACAGGTATTTCCCAAGCACCTAAAATAGTGTCCAGAAAACAGAAGGTTTTCAAAAACTGTTTGTTGAATGAGACTTTCTGTAAGTGGTGTGGAATGGTTTCCATTAAGAGGGGACTGGTGGGAAAAAGTGGAACCTTCACATAATGGAGTACTGTTCAGCCATAAAAAGAAATGGAGTCTGTCTCTGGATACTATGAAGTGATGGCCAGGATATATTCAGTGAAAAAGCAAGGTAGAGATAAATGTGTATAGCATATTGCTATTCATCTAAGATAGAATATGAATATATAAACATATTTGCTTATATTAAAATACCAAAGGCAGGACATACTAAAAACTTCTTTCAAAGTTATCTTTGGAAGAATGAGGAAAAGGACTCACCCTTAATGCTCAGATTGTAGTCCTTAAATAGCCTATTTTACAAGAAGAAGCAGAGATCCTTGGAGAAATGGATGATTCCAGGTCTGGAGAAGGAAATACACAAATAAACCTAAAACATCTTGTCATACCAGGAACCAAGGAGGCTGTCTGAGATGGCTAGCAGCATGTCCGAAGGGCTCAGGGACAAAATTAAAGAGCTTCTGCTAGCCAGAATAAGGCCATTTCTCCACCAATAAGGATAATAATGGCAAAACATTGAAACATATTAAGTATGCTAAAAGTCTGTGCATTTCTAATGATACAGATATATAACTAGAGAATGCTTAGAAAATCACTTCATTATTTAGAAAACTGGTAAGCAGAGGGGAAGATTCAAGCATCTTGAAAGGTGGGATACTGCTTTTCTGAGTCAAACTATATTCAGAGTAACCAAACTGTAGATAATGGAAAGCTTCTCTTTATTGAAGTATTCCAGCTGAGAAATGAAAAAGAAATGTACAATTAAAATATAACCACAAGCAATCCCTGATGAGTTAGTGGATATGGGCAATGACCATCAGTGACTACTAACATCACACAAAAAAGAAAAATGTCTTTTTCTCCCAATGCGAGAACACACTAACACCTAAGACACACTTTTGCCAAAAATTAGAACTTGAATCTGTCCAGGTCTCCAGTTCTAATGCTGAGTTTTGAGGAATACAGGCAACCAAGGAATGTGCTAAATGACACCAGAGGGATGTAATTAATAAAATCCAGATTGCAGAAAACTCTAGAGGACAAACCATCCATTTTCAACAAACAAACAAACAAACAAAGGGGAGTGGAGAGAAATCTATAGATCAAAAGAAATTTTTAAAAAATTTTTTGAGACAGGGTCTCACTCTGTCACCCAGAATGGAGTGCAATGGTCCAGTCATAGCTCACTGCAACTTCGAACTCCTAGGCTCAAGCCATCCTCGCACCTCAGCCTCCAGAGTAGCTGGGACTACAGGCATGTGCCACCATGCCCGGCTAGTTTTTTAAATTTTTTTTGTAGAGACGGAGTTTCACTCTGTTGCCCAGGCTCGTCTTGAATTCCTAGCCTCAAGTAATCCTCCTGCCTCAGCCTCCCAAAGTGCTTGGATTACAAGCATGAGCCAGCCTCAAAAGAGACTTAAAAGACATATTGGCCAATTGGCCAATTTCAATTTGGATCCTAGTTTGAACAAAAAAATTGTTAAAAAAATTATGTGACAGAGAAAATTGAACTAACTGGATATTTGATAATTTTAAAGGATTATTACATTTTTAGATGTGATAATGATGTTGTTATTACATTTTATAAAGAAGTCTTACTTTTTAGAGATGATCATATCTTTTTAGAGATGTTTATGCATAAAATGATGAGGAGTGAGGGGGCATACAAATGGAACATGGTTGACTATGAGTTAATCAGTGTGAAGCTGTATGACAGTGGCATGAGAGTTTATTATATTTTTCTTTCTACTTTTGTATATATTTTAAATTATCCATAATATATTTTTAAAATGTACAACTCTTTCCAATTTGACTCCTTAAATTTAGCAGCATTAATATTGAGAGTTACTTTAAGATATCCCCTAAAATTCCTGGGATTTTCATGGTCACACATCAGGTACCCAATAGCTACATGTTCCTGTCTCTAAAATATGGTGAAAAACATCTGACCTGTTTGGAGGCATCACCCAGTTGTTTGGAGGCAAACTTGTGCACAGTAGTGATCTCCTCGGTTCACTCTGAGTCATCAATTCTGGAGCTCTCAGTTTGTGGAGAAATTTTCTAGAAACTGGAGAGAGAGGGGTAAAATAATAGGAGACATACAATAAAGCCAATGACACCATAATGGGGCTGTCAGGAGGCAGAAAAGGAGACGAGCAAAAAGAAACAAACAACATAAACATATGGATACATAATAAGTAAGAGTTACATCAGCGTTTCCCAAACCTGGCTGCCAGGTAGAATCATTTGCAGCACTTGTTTAAAATTTAGATGCCCAAATCCTGTCTCTGAAAATGCTGACTTAGGTCTGGTGTTGGGTCCCCTGCACTGTATTTTGAAACAAGTCCACAGGTGGTTTCCATTCCTGGTAGAGTAGGGGAGCCACTGATCTGCACTGCTAATTACAAACAATTCACCAGGGTTTTTGGGGGGCTTACAGTGGCTGTAGTCTTCAAACCTGGTATTTTCAAAATCCATTACCTCAGCATGGGAAAAAAGACTAGAAAAATAAAGCCCTGGTGAGCAGGGAATTAGATTTTTAGAAGTGTACTGAAACTCAAAAGTTGAAGTACATTTGATTCTCATTATTCTGGTTATAAAGTGACCACAAACAGTGAATTAGCAAATACTGAACCATTGCTCCTAGAGGACATACAGGTTTGGGTTCCTGCAAGTCTCTGGTCACAGTATTTTCATCAATCAGTCAATATACAACGTTGTTTTATGTGCCAAATTAACCGACGCAGAGCTCTAAATTATGCAGCTCAACTTCATATGAAATACAGGACAACAATCAGGTCTTTGGGGGTGGAGGTGGGAGGATGTATTGCTCTGCATTCAAGCAGTAAAAACATGTGACACTCAAATTAGGAGGATATGAGGAGAGTTTAATCAAAGGACTACTTACAAAGGTGGGGGTGGGGGGTGAAATGTAGCAGGTCCAGAACAATCTCTAGGGCTGGGGAGGCAGAGCTAGCACCACCCTCTCAGCCCTGTCCTCAGGCCCAAGGGAGAAGGGGGAGGAGCAACTCCTGCCTGGAGGAGAAGGGAGTATGGAGAGACACTGCCCTCAGAGGGGCAAGTGCAAAGTGAAAATGTGAGCCCTTCTGTCCAAAAAGCAGGCAAAACGTGACATTAAAGCATAAATTATTTTGTTGTTCCTCAGGTAAGTCTCCCCACTTCTCCTCTCTCCTTTTTCTCTTTTATCCTTTTCTCTTCCTCTCTCCTTGTCACATTGCTATTTATTTGCTATTTAATGTTACAGTCCCTCTTCCCTCTGGCATGGGGATAGTGCATATCTTAGGGGACAGTGCAGACCCTCAAAGATGTCTATGGGCCCCACCCTGCATCTCAATCCATACTGCTTAGCCTTATTCTTTCCCAACCATTCATTTTAAGTCTCAGCTTTTTGGGAGACTGAGGCAGGATAATTGCTTGAACCTGGGAGGCAGAGGTTGCAGTGAGCTGAGATGGAGCCACTGCACTCCAGCCTGGGCGAAAGAGCTCAGTAAAAGAAAAAAAATTACTAGTATGCTTAATGAAGATTTGTTCAGGTTTAAATGAGCAGTTAAGGCTAGGCATGGTGGCTCAAGCCTATAATCCCGGTGCTTTGAGAGGTCAAAGGGGGAGGATCACTTGAGGCCAGGAGTTTAAGACTAGCCTGGGCAACACAGTATGACCCTGTCTCTACAAAAAACTAAAAATTTAGCAGGGTGTGGTGGTGTACACCTGTAGTCTCAACTACCCAAGAGGCTGAGACAGAAGGATCACTTGAGCCCAGGAGTCCAAGGCTATAGTGACTTATAATTGCCACTGCCTATCAACCTGGGCAACAGAGCAAGACCCTGTCTCTAAAAAAAGTAAAATAAAATAAAATAATTAAACGAGCCATTAAGATATAAATGATATATGCATGCTGTGATTTAGTCTATGGATTTATTCTAAAATTGCTAAAATGTCACCATGTAGTGACCATGAAAATCCCTTCAAAAAATCAATGAATCCAGGAGCTGTTTTTTTGAAAAAATTAACAAAATAGATAGTCTGCTAGCTAGACAAATAAGGAAGAAAAGACAGAATAACCAAATTGACACAATAAAAAATGATGAAGGAAATATCACCATTGATCCCACAGAAATACAAACTACTCTCAGAAAGTACTGTAAACACCTCTACGCAAATAAACTAGAAAATCTAGAAGAAATGAATAAATTCCTGGAAACAAACACCCTCCCAAGACTAAATCAGGAAGAAATCGAATCCCTGAATACACTAATAACAAGTTCTGAAATTAAGGCAGTAATTAATAGCCTACCAATCAAAAAAAGCCTAGGACCAGACGGATTCACAGCCAAATTCTACCAGAGGTACAAAGAGGAGCTGGTACCATTTATCCTGTAACTATTCCAAACAATTGAAAAGGAGGGACTCCTCCCTAACTCATCTTGTGAGGCCAGCATCATCCTGATACCCAAACCTGGCAGAGACACAACAAAAAAAGAAAACTTCAAGCCAATATCCCTGATGAACATTGATGTGAAAATCCTCAATAAAATACTGGCAAACTGAATCCAGTAGCACATTAAAAAGTTTATTCACTATGATCAAGTTGGCTTCATCCCTTGGATGCAAGGTTGGTTCAACATATGTAAATCAATAAATGTAATCCATCACATAAACAGAATCAATGACAAAAACCACATGATTATCTCAATAGATGTAGAAAAAGCCTTTGATAAAATTGAACATCACTTCATGTTAAAAACTCTCAATAAACTAGGTATTGATGGAACATAAAATAATAAGAGCTATTTATGACAAACCCATAGCCAAGATTATACTAAATGGGCAAAAGCTGGAAGCATTCCCTTTACAAACCACCACAAGGCAAGAATGCCCTCTCTTACCACTCCCTTGAATACAGGGAATTTGACAAAAAGATGCCACAGATCTAAAACTGTGCCAACCCCAAGGCTGGAGGAACCAAGGTAAGAGTTTGGGGTTCTCAGAACCTTAATGATTGAAGAAATAGAAAGTGGGGCTGAAATTCTGAGAAGGAACCACCACCTGGCTGAGGGAGGGGTGTCTCAGAGGTGGGACGACCACCTGACTGTGCTGGTGTCTCTGGAGTGGAGGGTTTCTCAGAGGTGCAATGACCACCTGGCTGTGCTGGTGTTTCTGGAGTGGTGGAGGATCTCTCAGAGGTGGGACGACCACCTGACTGTGCTGGTGTCTCTGGAGTGGAGGAGGGTTTCTCAGAGGTGCAATGACCACCTGGCTGTGCTGGTGTTTCTGGAGTGGTGGAGGGATCTCTCAGAGGTGGAATGAGAGTCAGGCAATAATCCCAAACAAAAACATGAAATTTGTGTGGTTTTCATTTTGGTTTTGCTTTGTATTTTAGTAGAGACAGGTTTCCACCATGTTGGCCAGGCTGGTCTTGAACTCCTGACCTCGTGATCTGCCCACCTCAGCCTCCCAAAGTGCTGGGAATATAGGCGTAAGCCACTGCGCCCACCCTATCTTTTGGTTATTAATCCCTTATCAGATAGATAGTTTGCAGCTAATTTCTCCCCTTCTGTGGGTTTTCCCTTCACTTTTTTCCCTTATTGTTCAAAGCCAAGCTCAAGTCCTACCCCTTTGTGAAAACTTCCTTGACCACTCTACTACAGTGTTCGCTTTTTCTATCCTTTGAGTTCCTATCACATTACTATCCCATTCCTCTGGCATCAGTCATCTATTATGGCCTATCTTTTCTTGTACTATTCCCTTTTTTGTGGTTGCAATAGTATGGTGAGATAAAGGGCTCTTGCCTGGAGAGGCTTGGCAGGACTGTGTATGGTAGAATGGCTTTGATGAAACCCCCACCATCCAGGATCTGATTCTTAGCTGACAAGACACTGTGTTGTCAGTATCCCAAAAGCCAACCAATGTCTGACAATTAATCAGCAGATATTTATTGACTGCCTCTGCCACGTCAGGTGCTGTGCTAGGCATAGGTCCACGTTAGCTACCCGTGTCCAACTTCCTATCTCTCACCAGAGCTTAACCTCAACTAAATGGGATTTCTCAACATTCTCTTATCACACCAGGCTCTTCTTACAGGCGGGTCTCTTTGCCTAAAAAGCCCACTCACCCCCCACCCCGCCCTCCGCCCTTTCCCCTTTCTCCCTCTGGAAAGCTCCTTCCATGTCTTTCAAACCCCAGTGCAGCCTTCACCACCTTTGGGAAATCTTTGCAGATGCCCTACAATCACCCAGTCTCTCTGAGCAATCTCTGTATCCCATTCATATATATACATATATATACACACATATATATATATATATGTGTATATATATTTGTTGTTGTCGTTGTTGTTGTTGTTGAGATGGAGTCTCGCTCTGTCACCCAGGCTGGAGTGCACTGGTGCAATTGCAGTTCACTGCAACCTCTGCCTCCTGGTTTCAAGCAATTCTCCTGCCTCAGCCTCCTGAGTAGTTGGGACTACAGGTGCCCACCACCACACCCAGCTAATTTTTGTATTTTTAGTAGAGACAGGATTTCGCCACGTTGGTTAGGCTGGTCTTGAACTCCTGATCTCAGGTGATCCGCCTGCCTCGGCCTCTCAAAGTGCTGGGATTACAGGCATGAGCTACCATGCCTGGCCTCCCATTCATATTTCTAACATTGATTCTTATCACATTATATGCTGATGCTTTTTTTTTTCTTTTTCTTTTTTTTTTTTAGAAAGGTCTCACTTTGTCGCCCAGGCTGGAGTACAGTGGTATGATCATGGCTCACTGCAGCCTCGACGTCCTGAGCTCAGGGGATTCTTCCACCTCAGCCTCCCGAGTAGCTGGGACTACAGGTGCATGCTACCACACCTGGCTAATTTTTTGTATTTTTAGTAGAGATGGGGTTTCGTTGTGTTGCTCATGCTGGTTTTGAACTCCTGGACTCAAGCCATCTGCCTGCCTAGGCCTTCCAAAGGGCTGGGATTACAGGCGTGAGCCACCGTGCCTGGCCTCTGATGCACTTCTTTTTTTTGTGGTCCTCAACCTTTTTTGTGGTCCTTGACCTTTTTGGCACCATGGACCAGTTTCATGGAAAGCAATTTTTCCACAGACGGTGGTGGTGGAGATGGTTTCAGGATGATTCAAGCATATTACATTTATTGTGTACTTTGGAGATGGTTTCAGGATGATTCAAGCATATTACATTTATTGTGTACTTTACTTCTATTACTACATTGTAATATATAATGAGATAATTACACAACTCACTATAAGGTAGAATCTGTGGGGGTCCTGAGCTTGTTTTCCCGCAACTAGATGGTCTCATCTGAGGGTGATGGGAGACAGTGACAGATCATCAGGCATCAGATTCTCATAAGGAGCACCCAACCTAGATCCCTCACATGCACAGTTCACAATAGGGTTTGTGCCCCTATAAGAATCTGATGTGACCGATGATCTGACAGGAGGCAGATGGTGATGCAAGTGATAAGGAGAGGATGTAAATACAGAGGAAGCTTCACTTAGGGACCACTGCTCTAGTTGTTCTTTTTTTTTTTTTTTGAGACAGAGTTTCACTCTTGTTGCCCAGGCTGGAGTGCAATGGTGCGATCTCGGCTCTCTGCAATCTCCACCTCCTGGGTTGAAGCGATTCTCCTGACTCAACCTCCCAAGTAGCTGGGATTACAGGCATGTGCCACCATGCCCGGCTAATTTTGTATTTTTAGTAGAAACAGGGTTTCTCCATGTTGGTCAGGCTACTCTCGAACTCCCGACCTCAGGTGATCTGCCTGCCTTGGCCTCCCAAAGTGCTGGGATTACAGGTGTGAGCCATCACGCCTGGCCAGAATGTCACTAATTTTTATTGCAAGGGTAAATGGCTTCTGAGATCTAAAATTTTACCAGGCAGCGTGACTGGTTCATCAGAGTGAAGGCTTTACTTTTAACTCTACTAAGTTAGAATTTGTGATAATTAAGACAGGAGCTGCTTAAAAGCAGCTAAAGCTCAGCATGGCTCCATCTATGGGGAAAATTTTGCCAAAAAATTATGAAAACAATATTGTAGCATATGCATTTAATTGATTTAACAGAGCAAGTTCAAAAAATAAAGTTACCATTTCCTATTATTATAGAATTTTGGCAAGCTGAAAGCACCATCTGAAGAGTCCCCTTTCTCTACAAAAAAAAAAAAAAAAACTCCAAACAAAAAATTTAAAAACCATTTCCGTAACATTTTGATGTATTCCCTCCATCTTTTCAAAAGGCCATTTTGCACATATTTATGATCATGTATAGTATTTTAGATCGTGCTTTTACTATTATAAGTATTTCCCAAGTAGATTTTTTTTAATTTAATTTTTTTTTTCAGACAGGGTCTCACTGTCCCCCAGGCTGGAGTGCAGCGGTGCGATCATAGCTCACTGCAGCCTTGACCTGGGCTCAAGCCATCCTCAGTCTCCAGAGTAGCTGGTCGCCATAGGCATGTGCCACCATGCCTAACTTTTTGATTTTTTGTAGAGACGGGGTCTCATCACCACACCTGCCTAGTTTTTAATTTTTTGTAGAACTGGGGTCTTGCTATGTTGCCCAGGCTTGTCTTGGAACTCCTGGGCTCAAGCAGTCCTTCTGCCATGGCCTGGGATGCCCACTCCCTATCCTCCTTCCCCGCCTGGCCAACTTCTGTTCATCTCTCAAGATCCAGCTCCTCTAGGAAGCCTCCCCTCTCCTCCCCTCCCTGGGCTCCTGCCACTATGGTCTAGCATGCTCTGTGCTCACCCCATCCAACACTTCCCACAGGGAGATGTAATGACCTGTCTCACCTCTACAGGGAAGGAAATGGAATGCAAGACTCAGACAGAGCCCCCAGGATTCTCTACATTTAAGGTGGATGCAGAGCTGGGCAGACCAAGCACTGGAAGAGGAATGCCCTGGTAGTGGGTGTCTTCCCAGCACACTGCACACAGTGACTCAGGGCTTGCTGAATTTTTTATTAAGCTGTATATCTCCTTTCTTTTTTTTTTTTTTTTTTTTTGAGATGGAGTCTTTCTTACTCTGTCACCCAGGCTGGAGTGCAATGGTGCAATCTCAGCTCACTGCAACCTCTGCCTCCTGGATTCAAGTGATTCTACTGCCTCAGCCTCCCAAGTAGCTGGGACTACAGGTGCACACCACCACGCCCTACTAATTTTTGTATTTTTAATAGAGATGAGGTTTCACTGTGTTGGCCAGGCTGGTCTCAAACTCCTGACCTCAAGTGATCCACTGGCCTCGGCCTCCCAACGTGCTGGGATTACAGGTGTGAGCCACTGTGCCTGGCCTGTATCTCCTTTCTTAAGAATAATAATAATTAAAAAACCCAGCATTTACATTGAGTAGAGGGAAGACTACACCATTGTTCTAGATGGTTCAAAATTTGGCTTATCTATAGTAACCAGGTCATTTTATTCATTTACTTGTTTCTATTATATATTCATGAATACTTCAATTTTCATACGTATTTCATATATATACCATTCAAATTAAACAATATACAACAGGTTATTGTTAACAATTATAAACATTTATTAAGCACCAAGAATATACTGTGGTGGTTGCTATATGAAAACATAATTACCAATATAGTATCCCTACCATTGAGCTTACAATCTAAAACGAAATACAAGGCTATGAGCCTATCTAAAAACTTCCTTAACTTAGAAATGGCTACTTTGGCAAATGAGTGAGGCAAAATGACCTATTATTCAGATGCAGTGCTAATAAGGCTCTGAATATCATCCAAAGAATGTTTTACTCGTACCCATTGTTCCTGATTATGTTACACTTGCTAAGAAAAACAGTACTTAGAATTTTGGCATGAACAATGAATTATTTCAAATTGTCTTGTAGGACTTTAAACAAAGAGATGCTTACTGGCCTAAGTTTTCCAGCAGCCAGGGAAAGCCCTATTAAAAATATTATGAACTAGACCAAGTTTCTCTTTTAATCCACTTACACTTTTTTTTTTTTTTTTTTGAGACAGAGTCTTGCTCTGTCACCCAGGCTGGAGTGCAGCGGCGCGGTCTCGGCTCACTGCAAGCTCCGCCTCCTGGGTTCAAGCCATTCTCCTGCCTCAGCCTCCTGAGGAGCTGGGACTACAGGCGACCGCCACCACGCCTGGCTAATGTTTTTTTTGTATTTTTAGTAGAGATGGGGTTTCACCGTGTTAGCCAGGATAGTCTCGATCTCCTGACCTCGTGATCCGCTCCCCTTGGCCCAAATTTCTGATGACTACAAATACACGCCCAAAAGTTGCAGGGGGGGAAGAAAGCAAAAGACAGAAACAGAACAAAAACATATTCCAAAGGACTAACCAAAGGAGAAAGTAGTGAAAATGATGACACAGGGATAGAAAAGTTTACAAACAGACTGGCTTTTTCTTTTTCTGCTTGTCCTTATCCTTTGCTTCTCTCTCCCGTTTGGCAAGTCGCCTCTTAAATTCTTCTGGCATTTTCTCATAACAGTGTTTGCAGACTGGCTTTAGGTCAATTTCAACAAACTTATCCCTTTGAGTAGGACAAAGAAGGAATAGAAGAAAGAACAGGGAACAGTTAAAGGAAGAACCTTTACTTTCAGAAGGCCTGAACAGAAAGAGGAAATAAGAAATCAAATAATTCTCTTTTTCTAAATTCTAGGATTTTTTTTCAGTGTCCCCCCAAAGTTTTCAGTCTTAGGATTCACACTGGACAAAACCGTACACTTACTTGAGTGTTAATTTAGTGTTGCAGGTAGAACAGGCAAAGCAGTTCACGCACCAGGCCTTATTAAGAGCAGAGACCACTGGAGAAAGAGGAAAGAGATCTGGTCACATGGAAATACATCAGTATGGGGAGCAGGGCAGCTTAGAATTTCAACTCTAAAACAGAACTACGACTGTGTCTGTGGCACTTGGTGGAGGTTCTCAAGAACGTTTTTTTTAAAAAATGAGACAGGGTCTTGCTCTATAGCCCAGGCTGGAGTACAGTGGCACAATCTTGGCTCACTGTAGCCCCAACCTCCCAGGCTCAAGTGATCCTCCCACCTCAGCCTCCTGAGTAGCTGGGACTACAGTGCATGCCACTATACCTGGCTAATTTTTTTTTTTTTTTTTTTTGAGACAGAGTCTCGCTCTGTTGCCAGGCTGGAGTGCAGTGGCGCAATCACAGCTCACTGCAACCTCCGCCTCCTGGGTTCAAGCGATTCTCCTGCCTCATTTTCCCAAGTAGCTGGGACTACAGGCGCGTGCCACCATGCCCAGCTAATTTTTGTATTTAGTAGAGACGAGATTTCACCATGTTGGCCAAGATGGTCTTGATCTCTTGACCTTGTGATCCGCCCGTCTTGGCCTCCCAAAGTGCTGGGATTACAAGTGTGAGCCACTGCGCCCAGCCTATACCTGGCTAATTTTTGTATTTTTTATAGAGACACGGTCTTGCCATGTTTCCCAGGCCGGACTTGAACTCCTGGGCTCAAGCAATCTGCCTGCCTCGGTCTCCCAAAATGCTGAGATTATAGGCATGAGCCACCATGCCCAGCCAAGAACCTCTTTCTTGAGAGCTTCTTTTCTTTTGTTTTTCAGACAGGGTCTCGCTCTGTTGTCCAGGCTGTATTGCAGTGGTGCGATCACAGCTCGAACTCCTGGGCTCAAGCAATCTTCTCATCTCATTCTCCTGTGTAGCTGGGACCATAGGTGTGTGCTACCACATCTGGCTAATTTTTAATTTTTATTTTGTAGAGATGGAGGTCTTGCTACGTTGCCCAGGCTGGTATCCAACTCCTGGCCTCAAGAAATTCTCCTGTCTCGGCCTCCTTAAGTGCTGGGATTACAGGTGTAAGCCACCACACCCGGCCCTCAACCTTTATGTATACAGTTGTTGCTCAATATGTGCAGGATACTATTTCTAGGATGCTGTGAGGATACCAAAATCTCAGACGCTCAAGTTCCTGATATAAAATGCATATAACCTATGTACATTGTCTTGTATACATTTATTTATTTATTTTTGAGACGAAGTTTTGCTCTTGTCGCCCAGGCTGGAGTGCAATGGTGTGATGTTGGCTCACAGCAACCTCTGCCTCCCGGGTTCAAGTGATTCTCCTGCCTCAGCCTCCCGAGTAGCTGGGATTATAGGCATGCACCACCACACCCAGCTAATTTTTTGTATTTTTAGTAGAGATGGGGTTTCACCATGTTGGCCAGACTGGTCTTGAACTCTTGACCTCAGTTGATCTGCCTGCCTCGGCCTCCCAAAGTGTTGGGATTACAGGTGTGAGCCACTGCGCCTGGTCCCGTCTCGTATACTTTAGATCATCTCTAGGTTAATTATAATGCCTAGTACAATGTAAATGATATGTAAATAGTCATTATACTGTACTATTTGTATTGTTATATTGTTATTTTTCTCTAAATATTTTTGATCCATAGTTGGTTGAATCCACGGATGTTTGGATCCAGCCCCTGGATACGGAGGGCTGACTTTAATCTTCCCCCATCCTTAAGTATCCTGTGAAGTTATAAATGATGTGTGCCATGTCTTACACCAGCAACTGTGCCCCCTTGGCCTGGGCACATGTGGCAACTGTCCATGCATCATGTTGTTTAGGTGAGCTTGCTGTTTCTGTCCCTACTGCTGTTGGCCCAACTAGGAAATATGAACTAGGTAAATAATTTTCAAAAATCCAGACATTAACTTATTTGCCTCTGTAGGAGTCTTTTTTCCAGAGCTGATGATAACAAGACAGTTTCCTCTGCAGCTTCTTTCACCTGGCATCTATTTCACAGAGGAGGGAGGTAAGTTTTATTTTCAATGGCACTAAAGATTGTTTTCCTGGATTGTTTTCACAAACTGCACATGAACAGTTTCAAAAGTATTTCCTGAATTAGGTGATGTCTGCAGGCAGCCATGAATCATGCTGAAAACAGTATCGTTCAAAACTTTGCCAGGAAGTCTCTGGCAGAAGTGTGTTAGCGAGTCTTAGCAAACACAGCTGCTTCCTTTCTGTTCCAATCAATCAGCCCAGCCTAATTACCACAGTACAAGGGTGGTAAGTCCTAGATATGCTTGCTGATAACTGCCAGCTTTTAGCATGTGCAGGTTAAAGTGCCTCTTGCTAACTACGATAGCAGATTAAACTCTTCCTAATAAACGTTGTTCTAGAGCTTCCTGAAACTGGACACAGAAACAGGTCTTAGGGTCCACCAGGGACAGTTCCCATGATTGCTGGCATACAACACTACAGCAGTGGCCAAAAGTAGTGTCATAAATCAGTAACAAATCCAACTCTTTGATATTATCATCTTACTGCTACAGATTACTTGGAAAATACGCCAAAGATAGAGAAAAAGTAACTGATAACGATCACATTTCAAACCATAGCAATCACCAACCTGAATTTCCACATTCCCCAAGTGTTTTTGTGTCAAAGTGGCACCAATCTAAAACTCACACAGATACTTACCATCACCTTCTATAACACGATTGCAGTGGAAGCAAACATCACCAAATAGCTGAAAATAAAAAAAGGTGGTCAAAGTTCAAGATGTGTTAGAATTTTTAGAACACTGAACATTTAAAAATAGCTGGCTATCTAAATTGAGGATTTATCACTACTAGAGAAAATTAGTAAAAGTTCTTTGACAAGTTTTTACTTCTTACAATGAAAGTAATTCACTCTCATCAATTAAAAGAAAAACTTCCCGGATGACAGTTTGAACACCCAAATAAGTGATGCAAAATATAGAAATCTGTGAGTCCATATGGATAAGAAATAGATAAATGAATAAACCTATAGACGGGAGAGGAGGTGGGTTCTTGCTCAGGCAGAGCGCTGAGGACCAGACTATGGGTGGAGGGCATGGGGCTGGAGAAGTATTGTTTGCAGCTGGCGCAGAGACAAGAATCATCAAGGGGTGCTGAATCTAGGGCGGGTTGATGAGGAACAGGACATTTCCATGGTCATAGAATGATTGCCCACAGATTGCTTCTTTCTTACAGAGGAGGGAAGGAAATTGTAATTCACAGTGATGTTATCAGCCAGCACCATGCCTGGGAGATCACCAGTGCAGGAGAGGTATAAAATGCTCCAGGGGCAAGGTTCTGAGAAGATGCCCTGCCACTGTATGAGGCCACAACCTGCTGTGTATAACCTCATCTAAGCACAGAGAAGCACCAGGTGAACCCAAGTGGAAAGTAGTCTATTAAAAAGGGGTTAGGGGCCCTCTGCATCCCTCCAAAATGTCAATGTCATCAAAAATTTTAAAAGACTCTGGAAACGTTCCAGATTTAAGAAAGCTAAAGAAACATCACAGCCCTAGGCTGGGTCCAGTCTGGGAGTGGAAAAAATGCTGTGAGGATATTACTGACTCAAGTGATAAAACTGGAATAAATGGGTTAAAGTACGGTATCAATATTGATAACTACAATTATGTTAGAGAGTCCCATATTCTTGGGAAATATACACTGAAGTATTTAGGGGTAAAGGAGTATGATGAACTTATTGGCAAATGCTTTAGAAACAGCCATCGTACTTGTATATAATATTTATGTAAGTATGTGTTTTACACAGGAAGACTGAGCGTGGGAAATGATAAAGCAAACTGTGGACTTGAATGAAAGACATACAGGTATTCTTTGTATTTTTATAGTTAGCTTCTGAGTCTGAAATTATTTCCCAAATAAAAAGTTAAAAACAAATCTCTACTGAACAATGTACATCTTCCAAGAGATTTCCTTGTAGCTAAACTACTGATAAGCTTAGGTTCATAAAAGTCTATCTAGCATCCAGTGACTAAGGTCAATACCTGGTTATAGTGAGTTTCACAATACGCCAGGCCTTTCCTCTCATAATGGCGATGTCCAAGAAAGGGTTTCTCACACTTGGCACAAACAAAATGCTGAAAAAAAATTGCTATAGGTCATTTTTGAATTGCCATATTTTATATCTAATAAAGTAAACACCAGAGTTAACCTATTTTCAGAGAAGATGAAGGAAAGTTTGAGACAGTCATTTCATTTGGCCATAGGTGGCCCCATAACATAATACTTCTGCAGTTGTAATTCAGGTGTCTGTCTTTGAAGGTTACTTTAAGACACAGCCTATTATAATAGCCCAAAAAGAGAATAGAGGTGAGCATCTCAGTAGCACCTATAAAGGAGGAGCTGCTGCTGGATACAGACCATGGCACTTCCTGCTTCAAGAAGGCTTTAGGAGCAAAAGTGCACATCTTGTATCATTACTGAGACATTCACAAAAGCAGTGTACCTTCTATATTCTTAGCTGTCAGCAAAGTCAATTGTCTTTAAAATGTCCACGTTTAATCTTTAGAGTCTCCTAATCTTGCCAGGACACCTGAATCATGAAGATTTGAAAGTACTGGTTATCCCTGAATCATGGAGATTTGAAAGGATTGGTTACCCCTTAATCATGGAGATTTGAAAGTATTGGTTACTCCTTAATCATGGAGATTTGAAAGGATTGGTTACCCTTTACCATTTAGAACTCACCTCCACATGCCACTGCTTGCCCATGGCGTTCACCACACGCCCTTCGATGGGCCGTCGGCAAGCGCCACAGATGGGGACCCCCATTTTATCATGGCATGGCAGGCAGTATAGCTCCCCTTTCAGCTCCTGTGCATCGGCAGTCAGATCCTTCCTGTCTGTGAGAAAGACACCCAGCTTAATACTAAGAGAGAAAAATGGCCAACCGATGGGGCTAGCACACTTTTTAGAAGGTTTTTAAAGATATTACTATGACAATCCCTGCAAATTTCTTTTTTCCCCTTTAGAGGTGATCAGAATAACCTGAATTAATAGGCCCGAACAGGTTTCAGACTCCTACCAAAACATCTGTATCTTAAAAGGATAAGATGCAAGACTAGGTCAGATACATACCACCACACCAGTCATATTCATAATTTCCTTCTTGTATTATCACATTCCATTTTAGTCCATTTGTCTTCCTTTAAAAGCTACAGGGAATAATCACAGTGCTGAGGGTAGACTCAGTAATACTACCTGCTATGGTGTGACTGTGTCCCCAAAGTTCATGATCCCCAATGCAGAGGTGTTGAGAGGTAGGACCTCTAAGGGGTGATTACATCATGAAGGCTCTGCCCTCACAGATGGATTAACACTGTTACTGAGGGGGTGGGTTCCTTATAAAAGGATGAGTTCAGCCTCCTTCCTTCTCTTCCTTCCCCCCTCCTCTTCCCCCACCATGTGATGCCCTCTGCTATGTAATGATGCAGAAGAAGGTCCTCACCAGATGCCAGCCCCTTGATCTTGGACTTCCCAGCCTCCAGAACCATGAGCCAAATAAACTTCTGTTGGTTACAAATTACCCAGTTTGTGGTATTCTGTTACAGGCGCATAAAATAGACTAACACACGACCTTTCCAAGCAAACTGAGAAGTTGGGAGACTAGTTCCATTTACTAACAATTATTTAAATTGTCACAAGCTGTTGAAAAGAGTTATAGGTTAATAGGTTTATTTTCATAAACAACAAAATGCCCAGAATTTTCCTTCTCCAAATACTCAAATTAAATATTATTTTCAGTCTCCTGCATCAATAAACATTTGGTCAGAGATGGTCCCAATTAGTCAAATGGACTTGTTTGAATTTCATCCCTTTTATGTAATTCTCTAGGAGAGATGCTAATGAAAAGTGGACAGAGGTGAATCCCCAAGAGGAAGGACAGGCAAGAAAACGAGATAAGGCACAAACTGATAATTCAATCACAAAAGATGAGATGGCTGAACTTATACAACCAAACTGTTTTCTTTCTTTCTTTTTTTTTTTTTTTTTTTGAGACGAGTCTTGCTTTGCTGCCCAGGCTGGAGTGCAGTGGCGCGATCCACACTCACTGCAAGCTCCACCTCCCAGGTTCACGCCATTCTCCTGCCTCAGCCTCCCGAGTAGCTGGGACTACAGCCACCCACCACCACGCCTGGCTAATTTTTTTATTTTTAGTAGAGATGGGGTTTCACCATGTTAGCCAGGATGGTCTCGATCTCCTGACCTCATGATCCACCCGCCTCGGCCTCCCAAAGTGCTGGGATTACAGGCGTGTGCCACTGCACCTGGCCCAAACTGTTTTCTTAGCATTTGGCCTACTGTTTCTTCTCCATCCCTACTATAATTTACCAAGTAAGTTCACATTAACTATAGTAAAGAATATTTTTTTAATTTTTTTTTGAGACGGAGTCTCGCTCTGTCTCCCAGGCTGGAGTGCAGTGACGCGATCTCGGCTCACTGCAAGCTCCACCTCCCGGGTTCCTGCCATTCTCCTGCCTCAGCCTCCCAAGTAGCTGGGACTACAGGCGCCCGCCACCGTGCCCGGCTAATTTTTTTTGTATTTTTTAGTAGAGACGGGGTTTCACCGTGTTAGCCAGGATGGTCTCGATCTCCTGTCCTCGTGATTTGCCCGCCTCAGCCTCCCAAAGTGCTGGGATTACAGGCATGAGCCACTGCGCCCGGCCAAGAATCTTTATGCACTAAATTTTTATACTAGGTGGCAAACTGAGAAAAATTCATAGCCTAACAATTTATCATAACTTATTGAAGACAAAAAATTAAATATATTTCTTTTAGATATAAACCAAGCCAAATTAAATAAATATAACAACATCTTTTAAGATAATATCTAATTATTACAACTGTAAAAGTTATGCATGTACAGAGATAAGACCTTTTTTTGTTTTTAGATCTTCGACTGGAAAAACATAGTGATGACAAATATTTCTGGGGCTACTGGGAATATTTTTAATATGGACTGATAGTTGATATTATAAGATTATTGCTAATTTTCTTAGGCATAATAAGAGTATTGTGGTTCTGGCCAGGTGCAGTGGCTCATGCCTATAGTCCCAGCACTTTGGGAGGCCGAGATGAGTAGATTGCTTGAGCCCAGGAGTTTGAGACCAGCCTGGGCAACGCAGCAAGGCTCCATCTCTACAAAAAATTTAAAAAAATTAGGAAGGGTGGTGTGTGCCTGTGGTCTCAGCTACTCTGGAGGCTGAAGTGGGGGGACTGCTTGAGCCCAGGAGGGTGAGGCTGCAGTGAGCTATGATTGCCCACTGCACTTCAGCCTGGGCAATAGAGCGAGACCCTGTCTCAAGGAAAAAAAAAATTTACAAAATGTATCATGGTTCCATAGGAAAATGCCCTTATTCTCAGGAGATGCATACTGGGAGTCATGAGAAATTTTAGAGGTATGCGTATACAGGCACATGTGCACACATACATAGGAGGGTGAAACGAGAATGTGGACTGTATACACACAAGCATGGCAAAATGTCAACTGGTGAAATGAAATTAAGGGTATACAGGTTTCATTATATCATTCTCCTGACTCTTCTATAGGTTTAAAATTTTCTAGACTAAAAATGGGAGAAAAACAATTTGGTTTGCTAGAGTAACAGAAATATAGATAAATGTAATCTTTCATTCCCACTGCTTGTGTAATAAAAAAGAAACAATTCCAGTACCCGCAGTTGGCGCAGTTGAAATGGTCTGGATGGTAGGGGTCGTTCTTGAATATCAGAGGCTGCTCATCGATGATAGCATGGCATTTCTGGCAGATGTATTTCCCAAGGCCTCTGGCTTTCTCACGATTATGACAGGGGCGACACAGGTGTCTAAACAGAGTCAAAACTTAAATTTAAAATTTTAGGTTCTTTCTAATGGTTAAAAAGAAATATGCTTCCCTTATCTCTGAAAAGAAATTAAACAAACCATTTCTTAAAAAAATCACTCCTGTGCTTCACGGGGCAGAATCAAGCCACATGAAAAATGTGTTCCAACCCTAATATGACTGATTTTTAAGAAACTCCATCTAGGTACATCCCCCATTGGTAGTTCAGCCATGCATGGAGCAGTTATGCCCTGTGAACAGCAACACAAGGGTCCACTCCCAGCAGCAGCACTCAGTCAACACACTGCAGTGTCTGAGTTCCCATGCCCTCAATTCAGTGTCCTACAGAACTGCCTTACATCCCACATGGAGAATACACATGATCTTGTCACAGTCACATTGTCCACCCACATCTGACAAGGATGAAAATCCACCTACCTCCCAGCATTCTTGACAAACCCGATATCTGCCAGAACTTCCTGGCAGAGGTCACAGCGGAAGCACTCCGGATGCCAGCTGTTATTCATGGCTTTGATAACTCGGCCAATGATGAATTCACCTGTGGGAAAGCAACACACAAAGGATGTTACTAAGTAACATCCTAAGTAACAGGCATGGCACTTTATTTACTGAGAGAGCAATTAAGGAAAAACAGTGAGGAAAAAAACCGTTGAAGCCTTTCTCAATAGAGGAACTTTTTTTTTTTTTGGAGACAGTTTCGCTCTTGTTGTCCAGGCTGGAGTGCAATGGCACCATCTCGACTCACTGCAACCTCTGCCTCCCGGGTTCAAGCGATTCTCCTGCCTCAGCCTCCCAAGTAGCTGGGATTACAGGCACCTGCCACCACGCCCGGCTAATTTTGTATTTTCAGTAGAGATGGGGTTTCTCCATGTTGGTCAAATTCCCGACCTCAGGTGATCCGCCCGTCTTGGCCTCCCAAAGTGCTAGGATTATAGGCGTGAGCCACCACACGTGGCCAGTAGAAGAACTTTTTATTTATGTGTCTACCAGAGTAAGCACATTAGCAAAAAAGTTTTTATTTCATCCGAATTTTTGTTTTTGATTCAGCAGCCACATTTTTGGGCTGTTTTGTGTCATCTCTGAATCTAGCTTTCCTTTCCAAATGAGCTACTAGGCTCTCTTGAATGCCTTTTGGTTATTTCTGGTCATTGTCAACATAGACAACTGAAATCTACAGCACAGTTTCTTATAACCCATACTTAATTTATTCTTTCATTAAACCTTTAGAACATTCTACCCAGTTTCTTCAATCTCTGGAAACCTGGCAGAGGTATTAGCAACCAGTGAAGTGGCCAACGTGCAAGCAAGTCCATCACTTATGCGCCGTGCAAGCAATGTTTAAGCATCCCTAAGCTTCTGAAGCACCTCACTGATTTCTTCCCTGCCTCTTTCCGGGCAAAACCAAAAGCAAGTAGGTAAAGGTTGTGTTAACACAGGAAAAGAACACTCCCAAACACCACCCGATAGGAGTCCTAGTTCATCCCAAAATACCTCTACCTTAAATGTCCTTAAAAATCAATGATCTCTAGGTTTTGATACTCCTCCAGCTTGTTCTATGTTAACAATAGGGAAGAGGAGTGATGAAGTATCCAACAGTTATTCATAATGAGCACTAAAAACCATTTTTACCATCGATACTTCACCAGTGTGAAATGACTGAAGTAATGTGGAAACTTACTTTTTTTCCCCGCAAGATGGAGTTTGGCTGTTGCCCAGGCTGGAGTGAAGTGGTGCAATCTCAGCTCACTGCAACCTCTGCCCCCTGGGTTCAAGCGATTCTCCTGCCTCAGCCTCTTGAATAACTGGGATTACTGGCACCTGCCACCATGCCCAGTTAATTTTTGTATTTTTAGTAGAGACCGGGTTTCCCTACGTTGGCCAGGCTGGTCTCGAATTCCTGACCTCAGGTGATCCTCCTCCCTCCGCCTCCCAAAGTGCTAGGATTACAGGTGTGAGCCACCGCGCCTGGCCGGAAACTTACTTTTTACTTGACATTTAGCAGTAAAACTTACCACACTGATGACAGCAAGGGGCAAAGAGCATCTGAAAGTCATGTTCACAGTACTTTCTTCCTTCAAACTGAAAGAGAGGGTACCACCAACTTACAGACACGAAACAATCACAGGAGAAATATAATTATTTGATGAAGATATACAGGAAAGATGTTTCTAAACTAAGAGTTCTACTCTAAGAATTTATAACTCTACTGGGATTTTAAAAAGCAGATACTCTTTTGCACCACCCATACATCTACATGTTGGTACAGGAAAGACATACGGAATAAGTAGAGGCTAGAGTGAACAGTACACCTACAGGGACTGGTGACCTGGCCTCTGACTGTGCTGAATTGTTTTCTGGCTCAAATACCCTGCCTTTAATGAATCTGATGAAAGCTATGGATAACCTCTCCCTCCAGAAAATATGCACATACATACAACTCTCCTCCCACATTTTTCAGGTCGATATCTGTAATTCTCACTGTAACCTCAAATATTTACAAAGGGCAAATATTCTAGCACATTGTATTTTATTATTTTTTTAAATGGGAGTCTTGCTATGTTGCCTAGGCTAGTTCTTGGACTCCTGGCCCAAAGCAATCCTCCCACCTCAGTCTCTCAAAGCACTGGGACCACAGGCGTTAGCCAGTACGCTCAGCCTTAGCACATTTTAAAATGACCAAAATCCATTAAAAAACATTCTCTTAACAGCCAAGATTTTTACATCTTTCATTTCTTGAATGTTTTCATTTTATGTGCTCCAATTTTATCCTAGTATATTTTTGTACTTGTCTTTAACTGATCACCCTATCATACTTTTCTGCAATTAAAAAATATATATAACATGAAATTTTAAAATGTGCTTTCTGAATCCATAAGGCTGTAAAGGTTAACATTTATTTTCTTCTGTATTATCATTAGAATGATTAGTATAGGACAAGCAAGACATAAACATTAATTTTTTTATACTATCTGTTTACTTGAAAAGCATATCTTAGTGATAGTGAAATGAGTAGGGCTGCCCTTTCCTCCCACAATTATTTCATGTATCTCATGCATCAATATGGCTTTCCACTAGAAGACTCAGGTTCAATATTAATTCTAGGTCTATTTTCTATTTTGGGTGTTGCTTTTTTTTTTAATATAGAAATGCTAAGAAGCCCTTTTCACATTACTAACTTGTGAGAAATGTTATAGTAATGTCTCCCCTTGAGTCTTTGAGCTCCTTACAAGTTATATGCCAAAAGTCATACACTGTTTGATTATTAAAATCCATTTTTAATGATATCCATTTTTAATGTATCAGTTGTCAACTCAATTTCCTCAAATTATGGCTATAGATTTAGTGCATCCAATTTAGTGAACATATCTACCACAGCTTAACTGGCAAAGTCAGTTCTTACTGTTGAACCAACCAAAGCAGATTTTCTCCTAGAAAGATAACTTTTTTTTTTCCCAGTCCCGCTCTGTTGCCCAGTCTGGAGTGCAGTGGTACAATCTTGGCTCACTGTAACCTCTGCCTCTTGGGTTCAAGCAATTCTCCTGCCTCAGCCTCCTGAGTAGCTGGGATTACAAGCACCCGCCACCATGTCCAGCTAATTTTTGTATTTTCAGTAGAGATGGGGTTTCACCATGTTGGCCAGGCTGGTCTCGAACTCCTGACCTCAAGTGATCCTCCCACCTTTGGCCTCCCAAAGTGCTGGGATTACAGGTGTGAGCTACTATGTCCAGCTTTCACTTTTTAATTCAAATGAATAAGATGTAGTATATTTAATGTATCTTTTTGTTTTTAGACTAGGTCTTGCTATGTTGTTCAGGCTCGTCTTGAACACTTGGGCTCAAGTGGTCCTTCTACATCAGCCTCTTGAGTAGCTGGGATTACAGGCACACACTACCTTGTCCAGATTAATGTATTTGGTTTTTAAACAGAAAGAATAAATTGATATGCTATTACTCAATACTATGCCATACTACATTATAATGTGCAGCCAAAAGTACAAGTATTTATGAAGCGTGATATATTTCTGATGAATGTATGCCACCTATACGTATAAAAATCTGATATTTAGCTTTTAGCAGTAATTAATGGAACTACCATATGATCCAGCAATCTCACTACTGGGAATATATCCAAAGGAAATGGAATCAGTATGTGGAAGAGATATCTGCACTCTCATGTTTACTGCAGCACTATTCACAATAGCCAAGATTTGGAAGCAATCTAACTGTCCATCAGCGGATGAATGGATTAAAAAAATACGGTACATATACCCAGCAGAGTACTCTTTGGCCGTAAAAAAGAATGAGATCCTGTCATCTGTGGCGACATGGATGAACCTGTAGGACATTACATTAAGTGAAATAAGCACAGAAGGACAAATACTACATGATCTCACTCATATGTGGCATCTAAAGAGGTTGATTTCATAGAAATAGAGTAAAATAGAGGTTGCTGGAGGCTGGGGAGAATGGAGTGGAGGGGATGGGGAGAAGATGGTCAATGGGTACCAAGTTACAGTTAGGACGAATAAGTTCTAGTGTTCTATTGCACAGTAGAGTGACTTTGGTTAATAATATATTGCATTTCAAAATATTTCAAAATAGCTATTTCAAAATAGCTAGAAAAGGGGTATTTTGAATATTCTTACGACAAAGAAATTATAAATGTACAAGGTGATGGATACGTTAAATACCCTGATTTGATTTTTACACAATGTATACATGTATTGAAACATCACACTGTGCCCCATGTGTGTAATTATTATGTCAATTAGAAACAAAAAAACAAAATGACCACAAAACAGCCTTCTGTATCTGCTGGGTCTGCATCCTTGAATTTGATCAACCAAGGATAAAAAAAAATGTGGAAGAAAAAACCCCAAACAATAAAAAAAACCAATAGAAAAATAAAAATAATACAAATTTAAAAACACAGTATAACAACTATGTACATAGCATTTACATTTTATTAGCTATTGTAAGTAATCTAGAGATAATGAAAAATATACAGGAGGATGTGCATAGGTTATATGCAAGTAAGTATACCATTTTATATCAGGGACTTGAGCATTCAAAGATTTTGGTAAGCTCTGAGGGTGAGGTGGGAGTGGGGTGGAGGGGGTGTCCTGGAACCAATCCTCTGTGGATACCATAAGACGACTGTGTAAAAACTCATAAATAACTCCATTAATTTAGATAGAAATGATCAACTTTTATTCTGTATTAAATGAAAGAGAAAGATGTATATTGCATAAAAACACTAAAAAGTAGCCCAGTAGTATATATATATATATAATTTTTTTTAGAAGGTTGAAAATATAATCACTGTATACATAAAATAAAATTAGGATTAACTATAATTTGGAAACATCTTTTAACAAGACAAGTAGGAGTCAAGAACACTGACCATGGATCCAGACTGCCTGTGTTCAAAATCTGGCTGAAAGACTCATTGTGTGGTCTTGGGCAAGTTGCTTAACCTCTAGGGCCTCCCAAGAGTCAAAAAGCAATACTGCTTTGGTCTGTTTGTTCTAGCTCATGGCATACCCTCACTGTGACATTGTGAAATACATATTTGGTCTTCCTCCCAGTTTCTTGGCATACAGCTCCTAAAATCCTTGGAATCTTAAAAGTGATGTCTCTGTATATGTTAATGAGGTGCCTCCTGACTGGCAGCCCCTAGGTAGATTTAGGATGGGACTGGTTACCAGAAAGACCAAGGCAGAATCGGATGGTTGGGGTTTTCAGCCCCACCCTCCAGCCTTCAGGAAAGGCAGAGAGGAGCTGAAGGTTAAGTTGATCACCAGTGGCCAAGTGTTTAATTCATCATGCCTACATAATGAAGCCTCCGTAAAAATTTAAAAGGACAGGGTGCAGACAGCTTCTGGATAGCTGAACACAGTGTAGTTTCCCAGAGGGTGGTGCAGCCAGAGAAGGTGTGGAAGCTCTGAACACCTTCCCCTGTATACCTCACCCTACGTATCTCTTCAGCTGTATCCTTTGTAATATCCTTTTTAAAAATTTATTTTATTATTATTATTATTATTTTTTTTTTTCAGAAACGGTCTTGCCCTGTTTTTTCAGGCTGGAGTGCAGTGGCATGATTATAGCTCACTGTAGCCTCCAACTCCTAGGCTCAAATGATCTTCCCACCTCAGCCTCCCAAGTAGCTGGGACTGTGTGTGCCATCATGCCTGGCTAATTTTGTTATTTTTTGTAGAGACAGGATCTCACTATGTTGTCCAGGCTGCTCTTGAACTCCTGGCTTCAAGCAATCCTCCCACCTGAGTCTCTCAAAGTGCTAGGATTACAGGTGTGCTCTACCGTGCCTGGCTGGTAATATTGTTTAGAATAAACTGGTAGAGCCAGGCATGGTAGCATGTGCCTATAGTCCCAGCTACTGGGGAGGCTGAGGCAGGAAGACTGCCTGAGTCCACGAGATGGAGACTGCAGTGAACTGTGATTGTTCCACTGCACTCCAGTTTAGGTGACAGAGCTTGACTTTGTCTCAAAACAAACAAATAAACATAATACTAATAATAAACCAGTAAAAGTGTTTCCCTGAGCTCTGTGAGTTGCTCTAGCAAATTAATAGAACCAGAAGAGGAGGCTGTGGGATTCCCAATTTACAGAGCATGTCAGCCAGAAGGACAGGTGAAGCAATCTGGGGCTTTCAATTGGCATCAGAAGGAGAAGACAGTCCTGGCGCTGCCCCTCAATCTGTGGTCTCCAGGTAGATAGTGTGGGAATTGAATTGGAGAACGCCCAGCTGGTGTCCACTGCAGAACTGATTGCTTGCTTGGCGTGTGGTGAAAAGTTCCCACACGTTTGGTCACAGAAGAACTTGTGTTGATTGTTGTGGTGTGCAAGCAGAGGGAAAATGGTTTGTGTTTTCTATCCACCTCATTCACAATTTCTTACCAACGCTCTTTGCTTTGCTCTCCCAGAGCTTTCCCTTAAAATGGATAAATTCTTCTGAAATTAGTCAGGGGATGAAAAAGGCTAAGTCCTAAAAGGAAAGCTGTTGGCTGGGTGCAGTGGCTCATGCCTGTAATCTCAGCACTTTGGAAGGCCGAGGTGGGCAGATAATGAGATCAGGAGTTCGATACCAGCCTGACCAACATGGTGAAACCTGTCTCTACTAAAAATACAAAAATTAGCCAGACGTGGTGGCATGCGCCTGGATTCCTAGCTACTGAGGAGGCTGAGGCAGGAGAATCGCTTGAATCCAGGAGGCGGAGGTTGCAGTGAGCCAAGATCACACCACTGCACTCCAGCCTGGGTGACAGAGCGAAACTCTGTCTCAAAAAAAATAAATAAATAAAAAATAAAAATAAATTAAAAAGGAAAGCTGTTGTAACTACTGCCTACGTCTCTAAATTCAGCATATGCAGTCATCTGCCAGATAACATTTCTGTCAACAATGGACCATATATACTACCATGGTATATGGTATATTTACTGTACTTTTTCTGCTTGGATACTTTTAGATACACAATACTCACCATTGTGTTACAACTGCCTGCAGTATTCTGTATAGTAACATGCTGTACAGGTTTGTAGCCTAGGAGGGACAGGCCATACCATATAGACTAGATGTGTTGTAGGCTATGACATTTAGGTTTGTTAAATACATTCTCTGATGTTTGCACAACAATGATCTTGCCTAATGACACCTTTCTCAGACATTTCCCTGTGGTTAAGGGGCGTGCATATCTGTACCTGAATACAGAATATCCAACACAGTTCCTAAAGCCAAGCTTCTCCTTAACGAGAAAATACATAAGGCAGGGAAAGACTAAGCCTTATGGGTTTCAGCACTCCCTAACTAATCCTTTTTGATGGGTATCCTGGAGCAATTAATGATAGTAAGATTTGAGATTTCTTTCTTTTGCAATGTGAGAGAAGTACTATTGTGAATATAAATATGTTTTCAGGCAAAGAGAAAAGGATCCAGAAATTGAGTCCTTCAAAACCAGAATAGGAGGACTTAGAAATAGATTTCCTTGCCACCATTCATCCTGCAAATCTCTTGCACTCTGGGCTATGCTTCTCCAGTGTCACAACTATTGTTAATTCCAGGTGGAGAACTTCTGCTATAATGAGCTGCCTCTTTTCTACAGTGTGTAGAAATGATCAAACATAGTATAGCTCAACTTTTGAGCCTGAGAGAAAGGCCAGAAGTTGATCCAAAGTAAAACTACGATATAAAATTTTTTAAAAATCAAGAATCATAAATTGGGAAGAATTAAATTTCTATAAATATAGCCTTTCTAGGTAACTACACATTACATCCCCAAACTGATTTAAACAATGAATACGATAAGCCTGTTAGAAATATTAATGGTCCAAATTAGTAGTATTTATAAACAAAATGCCTTAAGAACCCTGGGGTCCCACCGCTTGTGGAAATGGGTTGCTTTGTGTGGGGGAAGATGAGCTCCAAGAATGGCTCTAACTGTTTTAAGTTTTGGAGTTCTGTAAATATTCCCTTTAGGGGAAGAAACAGTTATTCTGAGCTGCTTTCAAGTAAGCTCAGAACGGGAAACCAGCTGAAAGTCTCATTTCCAGTCAAGTGCAAAGTTGCAAATCTTCATTTGGTACTTTATACTGGTTTGTCATAAACTGCCTTGAAGTGAGTGGATCCACAGATAAACAGATGTGCTGGTTGGAAGGGTCTTCCATTTCAGTTTCTGCCTTCCTGAATAATCAGAGTAAATGAGTGAAGAAACCTCTTTGTAAAACATCTTGCTACAAGACTACTCATCATAAACGGGTCTTTCCTGGCCAGGCGTAGTGGCTCACTCCTGTAATCCCAGCACTTTAGGAGGACGAGGTGAGCGGATCACCTGAGGTCGGGAGTTTGAGACCAGCCTGACCAACATGGAGAAACCCCGTCTCTACTAAAAATACAAAATTAGCTGGGCATGGTGGTGCCTGCCTGTAATCCCAGCTACTTGGGAGCCTGAGGCAGGAGAAGCACTTGAGGCCGTGAGGCAGAGGTTGCAGTGAGCCAAGATCACGCATTTGCACTCCAGCCTGGGCAACAAGAGTGAAACTCTGTCTCAAAAAAAATAAAAATAAAAATAAAAAATTAAAAAAATGGGTCTTTCCTGTTAATGCATTTTGTGATGGGAAAAAAGGGACACATTTGTGAAATCCAAACTAAGGAGAGAGAAATGTGAAGCACCAACAAAGAACCCAGCCCTGAGCATGTACTAAGTCAGGGTTAATCAGCTGCACACCTGGTCCCTAGTCCTTGGTTCAGTCCATCCCACTCTGCAGTACTTCCTGGACTTAAATCACTCTTGTAACTGTTGGCTCCACCACTCCCAAAAGTATTTTCTTATGGGAAAAATTAAAATACTTCTTTTACTGGAGATAATGCTGGATGTCACAAAGATTTAGGAACCACTATAGTTAGCGTTAGGGCCTCTGGGTTGAAAGGGTATTTCCCTGGGGAAATGGCATCTAATCACTTGAGCTCAGGAGTTCGAGACCAGCCTGGGCAACAGGGCAAGACCCTGTTTCTGCAAAAAAAAATTTTTTAATTATCTGGCTGTGGTGGTGTGTGCCTGTAGTCCTAGCTACTAGGGAGGCTGAGGTGGGAGGATTGCTTGAGCCCAGGAAGTCAAGGCTGCAGTGAGCCATGATTGTGCCACTGCACTCCAGCCTGGGTAACACGGTAAGACCCTGTTTTAAGAAAAAGAAAAGAAAGAAAAAAAAAAGAGAAACTGTAGTTGAGACAGAAATACTGGTGCTCATTTCTTCAGATATATGTTCTGGTAAGTGGTTAGGAAACAAGGATCTCATTCTATACTTGCCTCTGTGGCCAAAGGGAAGAGAATGTCCTATTTAATTCAAAGTACCAGAAAGTTATACCATAAAAGTAAATCACATTTTCAAGGGGAAGCGAGTGCACAGACCCCACCTCTAAGTCTTCCTAACTAGTCTTCTAGAGAAAAGAAAAAATAGAGGCTGTGGAAATCAGGGAAGGAAGTTGTTGTGATAACGAGACAAAAGCAATAACAAAGATATAGAGTGGCGAAGATGCATTTATTATACAAAGACTGAAGCACATCAGTCATGTCCCAAATGGAAGGCAAACTGGGTAAGTTTCCAAGCTTTCTTTTCTGGAGAACAACTTATTGCTGGATATAATTGAAAGTGAAGATTATTTGTTAGCAGCCTTGGATAGTTTTTTTTTTCTCTAATATCATTTAACCAAAAAGAAATGTCTTATTCTCCAGATGCAGGTTTACACATCCCTGGGCTGGTTTTAATGATAAACAATGTAGCCAAAATAGTAATCTTCCTCAGGACCCAATAGAGCTTGAACTGGGCAACAGCCCATGAATAGCCTAGTTCTGGGTATTCATCGCATCTTTTGGAATAACAGCACACAGACCCAGGGAGGGTATTTATAGTCCAGTGTGAGGGGTGGGCAGGACGAGATGAGTCATGCTTTATTCTTCGCTGCTCAAGGCTGTTCTGAGCTTTTCCCTCTGACTCAGCACCAGTGGCCTCACAGCTGACAGGGCCTAAATGCGGCAGCAGGAGCTCAGGAAGCGGTCATGCTGCTTAATGAAGGTAGCTTAACCATCACGTTCGTTCCTAAGTCACAGGCAAAATGGGAGAAAGAAGGTGACGGAGGGCTGGAGCTCCAGGGTGCTCACAGGGGAAAGAGCAAGCCAGGGATATAAGGAAAATGTTTGGGAAAACAAAGCCTGTCTTTTTCTCTGAGTTCTTCTCTATTGCTCCCCTGGACCGAGCTCTCCTAAGGCCTTTGTCATAATCACCCATTTCAATAAAAATATCTTATATTTAAAAAGAATATGTAAGGGAAAGAATATTGTATTGGATACTAGGAGACCAGCTAGGTTCTCATCTCTTTCATGTCGCAAACCTGCTATGTTATCAGACATTTCAACCTCTCTGGACTACAGGAGAAAAAAAAAAGAAGGGAGGGATACAGAAGGAATTCATATAGTGAGAAGACCATGCTCTCTCCAAGCCAGCTTTCCAGAATTCCCTTCAATGTGCCTTGGGAGTCTCACCTCCTTCCTTGCCATAGTCCCACCAGGCCTCCACGGTGCCGAGGTAGAAGCAGGTCCTCAGGTCCCTTTAACTGAATTGAGT
This sequence comes from Homo sapiens, assembly GCF_000001405.40. Taxonomy (NCBI): domain Eukaryota; kingdom Metazoa; phylum Chordata; class Mammalia; order Primates; family Hominidae; genus Homo; species Homo sapiens. The sequence goes on from NC_000002.12 coordinate 110,466,153, forward strand.
CATGGCTCACCACCACTACCACCAGCAAATGCCCTCTCTTCTTGCTGCCGCAGCACCTAGGGATTTCCTATTCCTTCTCCTCACCAGCTAATCACAGTCTACCTATAGCCTCGGTAGGGGGTCTCTATGCCTGATGCCTCCATTCACACCTCTGGAGCTCCTCTCCTGCCCTCTTCTGCTGTGGTACATTGGCCTCTCCTGCTCCTGTCCATCTTCACAACTGTCATTTGCCCATCCCTAAATCCATCATCCTTGTCCAAAAGATTCCCACTGCCCAGGGAAGGAGTCAGGAAGAACAGGAAGAACTGTAAGAAGATACATAGAGCATGTTTGGAGGCCTAAAGAAATAAACTTAAAAAAAAAAAAAAAAGAACGAGAAGAAAAGAGAAAACGAAAACCTCTTTCCACTGCTAAGGTTTTTGTTGTTGGGAATGTGTGTTTTGGGGACACAATAGGAGCTTAAAAAAATGTGTGCTAGTGAATAAAATAGCATTCCTTAACCCAAACCCTTAAAGCTGTTTCCAAGTTGACATTATTACATACTTGCTAGCCCTGTATTTCATGTACCCATGATGGGGTAAACAGCTTTTCTGTGGGCTGGCCTGGGAACCCCACTCTCATGTTTGTTTCTATGGGAAAATGCTGCCGGAGTGGCATACAATGGACTTACCAATGATCTTTGTCAACTACCTTTCCTTGCTCAAGCATGGTTTATATAACAGGGAAACATAAAAATCTGCTAGGCAAAAGAAGAAATCAAAGAGCAGCCATCTCCAGCTATAAAATAATTCTATATACATATATTATCATATATAGATGTGCATTTACGTACAAATATGTAAGAAGTAAGGTGGTAAAAGTAAATTACCTATTTGATCTAACACACACATACACCTCACTCTCACCGTCATTTATAGCCTGGGGTCAGCATCTCTAGATTATCCCCCAAAATACATGTTTACTGTGAGACAGGAGTTTCAGTGGGCCAGACATGGAGGTTCATGCGTGTAATCCTAGCACTTTGGGAGGCCGAGGATCACCTGAGCCCAGGAGTTTGAGACCAGCCTGGGCAACATAGGGAGACTCCGTTTCTATGAAAAATAAAATTAGTCGGGCATGGTGGCACGTGCCTGTAGCCCCAGCTACTCAGGAGGCTGAGGCTGGAGGATCACTTGAGCTTAGCAGTTCAAGGCTGCAATGAGCTATAATCATGCCACTACACTCTAGCCTGGGCTATACAATGAGACTTTGTCTCAAACAAAACAAAACAATAAAAAACAACAAGAAAGTGGTTTCGGTAATGTTGAGAATACCAAATACACTACAAAGGAAGTGCAGACCATATGCTAACACCCGAGGATCAAGAAAAACAAATATTTAGAAAAGAACATAGACACCCAGGAGAGCTAAATGTAGACAGTATAGTTCCCTAAAATACTTATTTTTTTTTCCCTTAGAAAATAAATGCATGGACGCTCCTGGCTCGAGGCTGGGAAGTTGTGGAGGGGGTGACGTACACCGCACGCTCTCCTTTAGAGCAGGTCCAGTGGTCCTCTGAGAAGGGGGAAAGACACAGAGACAGGAGTGGGTGAGGTGTGTGGGGGGCCTGAGTGTGGCTGAAGACTCGGAAAGAATTTTCTATGTGGAGCTGAGCTGCTTAGGTCTGAAAGGCTCTGTCATAAGGGACTCTGGGTTCTGAAATAGGACGATGAACTGAGCAATACAAATGCAGGGTCTGTGAGGGTGTCCCAATCACGCCACTGCCCATATGGGCCATAGAGATGCCACCTCTGACCTCACAGCTATCAAATACCTGGCATGCATGTGGCACTTCAGTCTTTCATCATGAAACTGAACATGAAGGAGGAGTCCTCAGGAAAGAAGGGCAGGAAGCGGGAGGGTGGGGAATGGCACCTCCCTGCTTTTGTCCAGTGCAACTCACCTCATAGAAGAGTCCTTCTGGGAACTGCTGGAAGCACTGAGCGCACACGAAACACTGCTCATGGTACAGCTCCCCATTACTGTTCACGATCGTCTCAGCGGGCGCAAAGCCGCCCTTGCAGCGCTCGCAAGTGGCGCTGGCCAGGGCGTTGGCCATGTTGCTGTAACACGCAAAGAACAGCAGGTTGCAGACCGTCAGCCACTTCTTAGATCGAAGATCAAACAACACTAAGAACCGAGCAGCAAATTCTATCTGATCACAAAAACCCTATTTTATCTAAAAAGCTCAATTTCTTGCTTGTTCCTTACATGCTCTGAACTCGGACACTTCAGCCTCTTTACCGTAGCATCTGAGGCTCTGTAAGGGTGTCCCACTTTGATTCTGTTTCTAACATTTTTGGCATTCTTCTTGCTGAATATACTATGAGTGAGTGCCTACTATGTGTTAGGCACCTGAGACAGAGATGAAAGTTACAAGCTGCTCTCAAGGAATTGGGTTTATAGCTTAATAAGTAGCTTAATTAAAATATCCAAAAGTCAACATCTCAAGGCCAGTTTCTTTCCCTTCTGAGAACAGAATCTAAAATGCATGTCAACTAAATGCCATGTCATATAACCTAGACACGGGTTATCCCTTTGATTAAATCCCGTAGAAAACAACTGCTTAAGTAGCCTTAAAACCAGCCAAGATGCCCCAGTCCTGTTACCTAATCGGTAAGACGAACCTGATTACCAATATTATAAAATGTATCTTAAAATCACAGAATTTTACATAATAAAGATCATTTTACAGATGGCAAAACAGGTTCACAGAGATGGAAGGATCAGACCAACATCACAAGGCTAATTAGTTAAAGGAAGGTGCAGGACTAGAAATCCAGGTCCCCTGCTCATAAAATCACACTGTCAATCAAAACAGATTACACCACGAATTTCAAACACTTGAAAGGACATGACAGGGATACCACCACGTTTCATAGGTTAGGAAAGTGACACCAAGTTGTCAAGTAACCACTGCTGCGGCTGGTGACGTGGGAAATTCCCCCATCGGTAGCCTCACTACACCTTAAAACACAGAAGGCATTCAATAAATAATCTCAGGCTCTAACCACTGTGCAGTTTGGAAGAAGGAAAGCAACATGGCAGATGGCTGCAGTGGCTCACGCCTGTAATCCCAGGACTTTGGGAGGCTGAGGACAGTGGATTACTTGAGGTCAGGAGTTCGAGACCAGCCTGACCAACATGGTAAAACCTCGTCTCTAGTAAAAATTCAAAATTAGCCGGGTGTGGTGGCACATGCCTGTAGTCCCAGCTACTTGGGAGGCTGAGGCAGGAGAATCACTTGAACCTGGGAGGCGGAGGTTGCAGTGAGCCAAGATCTCGCCACTGCACTCCAGCCTGGACAACAAGAACAAAACTCCATTTCAAAAAAGAAAAAGGAAAAGAAAAGCAACATGGCTTTGACAGGCATACAATTAGATGAGGATTTCACGTGAAGACCTATTTATTTCTTAAAAGTCCTAGAAATGGAGAAGGTCCCCCATGCCAAGCGGTCCTTCAATTTTTGGCAAGTTTATTTTCACAGGCCTACCCACAGCATGAGCTCTACACCTGTGTGTCTAGTTCCCTGGTACAGCTTCTGACCTTCCAGATATTTAATCAATGTACTTCATGAAGTTATTACCAATGTTCTCCTGAATTTTCACAACCAACTAGTGAGACAGACAGGTAGACAGTCTCCATTCTATAAACAGAGTAACTAACTGCCTTGCCCCTATTGGTTTCCAAGTTTTGCTGTTTCCTTAGCAAAAGTGGTTCCACTTACTTGCTTCACTCCCCTCCACACCTCTGGAAGACAACTTTCCCTTTGCCTTTCTCCCCAAAATGTTTCACAAAACAGTCATCCTGTTTTGTAGCCTTGCCATAAATAACTGCGTGCAGACACACCATGTTCATCACTTCAGACCAGTCAAAGCTCAACTTTATTTAACAGGTTTGAATGCAGAATTAAAATGTCACAAAAAAAAGGAAGGAAGGGAGAAAGGGAAGCACCTTCACTGCTCAGTAAACCTGGCCCAAGCCTCATGTTAAAATGAATTTCCATTTTGTCATTTCAAAGTTACTGTAGGTTGGGGAAAAAATCTGTAAAATTCTCATCATCGCCCAGCTTTGCCGTAAGCCAGATGATTGTGGCAGTTTTACAAAACTCTGGAGGGGTTTGTGCTTCTTCCCTCTTTCTGACCAAAGTCCACAGGTATTCCTGGATGAAGGAGCACGGTAAGCTCCACATCTGCCTGGTCATTCTCAGTGCTGTTCTCATTATTGTTCTGAGGAAAAAGTATTTTAAGCTATTTGGAAACCGTAAGATGCTGCTCAAATATATGGCTCTGTTGTTAATTCTAAACCCTCTCAAAAGATTCACCAAACCTCAACAATCTTAATGGGACTCTAAAAAAGCCCAAAAAGAATATTCTAGAATGTCCTGGATCATTATCACCTAAATCAGTCGTTTTCAAAATGTCAGCGTCACCATGACCCTTTCAGGAGGCAGAAAAGTCCTCTTTTCCAACTACATCTCTGTGGGAGGCCATGTTTTCTTCATATATTTCATCTAAAACAATAGACTGTAATAGGTTGAATGCAGAAACAAATCTGAGAAACTTTTATTAACAAGATTTGCAAAAATGTAACGCAATGCCATCCTTTCCTCTAAGCCTCTTCCATTTTGGAAAACAGTTATTTTTCATGACAACATTAATATTAACATTTACTATTATTAACACGTAATAAGCTTAGTGTTGTTTTTAAATGAATTAATAAGTATTTTAAATTGTTCCCAGTTTCAATTTCTCATATGGTAAATACTGATAAATGAAAGTCCTTTGGGAACCTTAATAGTTTTTAAGAGTGTTAAGAGGCCCTTAGATTAAAACGTTTGATTATCACTGACCAGTTTAAACTCATTATAATATAGATTGTTTCTACTTAAGTTCAAATACTCAAGTAGAATTAGGAAATAGGTAGATACATCATAAAAACAAGCACACAGTTACTTCCCACACACAGGAAAAATCCGCTAGTTTTAGAGGTAATATAATATATATTTTGCAAGAAGTATTCCTTTTCATCACAAGCAGGGGGAAAAAGGAAACAGAACAATCACCTTGCTGCCCCCTGAACCAGTCAGGCTTCCCTTTCCTCTTTTGCCTTTGACCCTCTGGCACAATGCCTGTTGTTGTTTTTTTTTTAAATGTTGATTTTATATTTAATACTACAGATGACAGAAATTACTTTAAAAAAGTCATTAGTGACAGTTATAGCTACCATCAGATTAGTTATAATTAATTAGCTAATTTTTTAGAAAAAGATTTTCACTAAAAAGTGTTGATGACAAGAAATATGTAAGTGGGGGAGTATCTATCTATCTATCTATCTATCTATCTATCTATAGATAGATATTTATATGTAAAAGTCAGGCCAGGCATGACTGATGAAGCTGATCCACTTCCACAAATCAACCTCACACAGCACAACTGATATCTTGCTTTCCATTATTCAAGTATGCAAAACAAATTGTTTGGTCCTAAAATGCAGCAATGTATAAATCCAAAAATCTTCTTGAGAGTTCACCAAGCAGTCAAAATATTGGTTACTGTATTATTACAATTCCCCAGTTACTGTCAAACAGAGCTCTCTGTGAGTTGTGAAGATAAGTGACATCTGTACCACAGAGCACGGATTATGGAAGTAGAGAACCGGGTCAGTTAAATTCTCATTAACTCTTACTTGACAAATTTGGGATACGCAGTAATTCTAAGCTCACAACTTTGAATGAGGTCAATAATCTTGAGCTGGTCTGATGGCTACTCTGCATTTTCTTAAAAAAATGTGTTTGCTAAAACCTATTTAATAATATAAATTAGCCTAGCTTTTTAGAGTTAACAGTATGTTCTATATGTGTATTGAGCTGCTACTTATACGATATATATATTTATTCATTCAATTAAGAAACCCAGTTAGCTTACTTCAAATTGTTGATTATTACACAAAACAAAAATATTTATCTTTACCAACAGTCTGTAATTTGTTTTTTTCACTGTCCCAACCCATCTGCCCCTTATCTTTGGGCCGTTTTAGACTGCAGAATTTTTCTAACGTAATTACTGACAATGACAACACTAAGCCTCCCTTGCGGACGACATGATGAAAATGCAGTTAGTTACCAAGTGATCAGGAACCTACTGAAGACGGGGCCGCCATGCTCTCACAGTGAGGGCAGCACCTCCCTCCCATCTGCGTGTCGCTGCATGTCTTACCGACAAGGCAGTCTCCTGTCTCCCTAAACATGCTGCGCTGCGAGCCCCTCGGAGCCCTACCACCCTGGAAAACTCCCACCCAAAGTCCAGTCAATAAAATTGTATGGGCCAGCTCAGGATGGCTCCTGAACAGACAGCCAAGAACGCTGGACCTGGAAGAGGGCACTCCAGGAGAGGAGACACTCACAATTTCGCATAAAAGTCACAGAACTCCTTGTAGACTTTCACGTCACTGTGCCTGCGCTGCAGTTTGGAAACAGCCCTCTCGTCCTCGGTCCCATTGGCCTCGTGGACAGTGTTAAGGGCTGCTCGGGGGATTTCTTCGTTCTCTGGGATAATGCAGGGGCGCGCTCGGCCTGAGAAGGCCATCGTGGGTGCTTGAGAGCTCTGAGCACAGGGATGAGAATGGCAGGACACAGAGCCAGGAGAAACAATATCCAGGCCTCCCTGCTTCCCAGCCAGGGTCACTCCCACTGTTCCCACGCACGTCAGCCTGGCCCGCCAGGGTCACTGCTGCTGCTTCATGTTAAGAGCTCAGCAGCACAGTACACAGTTACATGGCAGTCAGGATTTACTGAGGCATTCTGGAAGTTCTAAAATAACATTCCACAAAGTAGTGACACAGTCTTTGTCAGAGCGGCAGTCCCAGTGGACTATGCTATAAACACTGCACCAGGAGACCGGGGCTACCTTGTAAGCCTCCAAGAGAAAGAAATATCCACACGTGCCTTGCATATTTGCCACAAGACTTCATCAACAATGCCGTGCTTTTCACTCTGGAGGGCATAAGAGGCTTTTGGAGACCTTGTAAAACATCCCCCTGACAAGCTCTCCCTGAGGCTGAGGCTGCTGGCACACTCTGAGGAGCATTTGAACCCTGCCTGGACCTGGGCTTCCACAACCCTGGCCATGACTGCCAGCTATGCCTGATGGGTCCCTTCCCCAGGAGGCCATGAGCCCCTAAAACTAAGAGCTACGTTTGACTTCTATCACCTTTGCTACTGGTACATAGTCACAAATGTACTCAGTCCAATCTCAGCTTCAATGAATGGGCACAAGTGGAAACAGACAAGGGCCAGTGTTTAGTTATAACTCTTCTACTGGACTCCAGCTAACCTCAAAGCTTAGGTGAGCCGATGTTTCTCAGTCTCTATCATGACTAAGGAAACTGTTACATACTTTGGCATTCTTGCTATATTCAGTCCACACTCCTGTCTCCTGTGATTGAGTTAGCAATGCGAAAGGAAACTAAATCACTAAGCCAAGGAAAAAGTCAAGCTGGAAACTACGTCAGGCAAACTTGCCTCCTGTTTTATTGCTAAATAAGATAGCTACAAAGATAACAACCTACATCCCTCCCTCACCATTTGCCCGCAAGAAAACTCCTTACGGAAAAAGGACAGACACAACTCAAAGTCATCCCTTTGAGGCTCACCTGAGACAAATGCATAACTGATTGCTTCCTCTGCCCTATTGTTCACGTAAAAATGTAGGTTCACTGAGCCAGACACAATTGTGTATTCATCGGAAGGCTGATCAAGGACTCAAAAGAATGCAACTTTTTGTCTCTTATCTACTTCTGGCCTGGAAACCCCCTACTTCGAATTGTTCCACCTTACTGGACTGAACCAATGTACATCTTACATATATTGATTGATGTCTCATGTCTCCCTGAAATGTATAAAAGCAAGCTGTACCCCGACCACCCCGGGGCGCATGTTGTCAGGACCTCCTGAGGCTGTGTCATGGGTGCGTCATTAACTTTGGCAAAATACATGTTCTAAATTGAGTAAGACTTGTCTCATATACTTTTTGGTTTACAGCAATGATGACAATCATGATGTAGCACTAGAGACAACTAAAGGGCTCAGAATCTTTCTCACGTCCCCGTCCTCTCAGGGCAGTGTGCCACCCACCAAAACCAAGAGACTGTGAAATAAAATCTACAGAACAGGCGCAAGGCACACTGATGGACAGTCACGGAACCAGCAGCGACAAACAAAATGCAGCCAGAGACACCAAGTAACAACCATAAATAATGATATCCAAGAGTCAGTGAGTGCTTCCTATCACATCCCTTAATCCTTCCCACGGCTTCTGAGATAGGTGTTAGTTACAAATGAAGAAACTGAGGCACAAAGAGACTGAATAACTACTAAGGAGGTGGTGGAGTCAAGATTTAAACCTAGGCACTCTGAGTCCAGAGCCTATGTTGTTAATCCCTATGTGAGAAAATGTTAAACATAATTACTGGGAAGCACAATGGTTAGCCAGAAAAGATGAGGGAGTGGGTACCAGATAGGACTGGAAGCAGGGGACCAAGTCTTTCTACTTTGAATCCTAAAAATCTCAGAGGATAGGTCAAGAATTCAAAGGCTGTGGGCTACAGATCCTGCCCAGGCCCAAAGCCTATGGCTGATGAAACAAGGGAACCACCATATTTAAATAAGAAAGGAACAACCTCATGGTTTAAAATTTTTCCTTTCAATTTATCTACATTTCCTAATTTTTTAGGTTTCTTTTTTACAATGACCATGTGAAACAGTGAGGAGGCAGGGAGGGAGGGAAAGAAAGAGACAGACAGACAGATGGATGAGGACAGAGGCAGGCTGACTCAGACCAGAAATTTAATGCATCCGGTGGGGGTGGCATGGTAGGAGGCAGGAAGCCACGTGAGCCTTCTGCTCAGAATTCTCCCTCACAGTCTCCCCAGTGCTCACATCTTACGTGACTACAGTACAGGAGCAAAACCAGGAATCTGACATTGCAGCAATGCATGTGTGCGGGTCTCTGTCATTTCATCACATGGGCAGCTTCCTGTAACAACAGCCTCTATCAAGTTACAGGACTATTCCATCACCACAGACTTCTCTTTCATGTTATCTCTGACCATCACATACCTCTGCACACTCCAACACTCCTAACCTCTGGCAACCACTCATGTGTTTTTCATTTATATGATTCTGTTATTTAAAGAATGTTACCAAATGGAATCGTTCATGTGACATCTTCATTCAGCACAATGCCCTGAGACCAATCCAAGTTGCTCCACATGTCCACAGTTTGCTCTTGTTTACTGCCACGTAGTATTCCATGACATGGATGCATAGTTTGTTTCACTGTTCACCCGCTGAAGAGCATTTAAGTACTTTCCTTCCAATTTGTGGCACTGTGAATGAAACTATAGAAATTTCTGTATTGAATATATTTTTATTTCTCTGGGATAAATGCCCAACAGTAAAATTGCTGAGTTGTATGGTAAGTGAATGCTTAGGTTTTAAAGAAACTGCCTGTCATATTGTGACTTTTAATAATAAATCTATTCTTGGTCTCCGCCCCCATTTCCTGGCACAGGACTCCTAAAACTCTTGGACTCTCTGAAGTGGTAAGTGTCTTTTGTAGGCTAATGTGACAGGTGTGGGGGTGGCTGCTGGAGAATCAACCATGCAATAAGAAGGCTGCAACTTTCAGCTCCAGCCCCAACCCCTTGGAAGGGAGAGGAGTTGTGGTCAATGATCAAATCAATCATGCCTATGAAAAGAAGCCTCCATAAAAACTCAATAGGACAGTTTAGGGGAACTTCTGGGTTGCTGAACATATGGAGGTGCTGGGAGGGTGGCGCTCCCAGAGGAGAGAAGCTCTGCTCTGTTTCCCCACACCTTGCCCCATTATCTCTTCCATCTGGCTGTTCTTAACTCAAGTTATGCTATGTAAGGATTACTACGGGGAAGCAGATAGAGATCTTTCCTTTTATCTGGTTTCCTCTACTTACATCTGTGACTATTTTAATGAGGGTGGTTGGCACACAGTAACCCTAAATAGAACTCTTCAATAGAGGTCACCTTAACATGACCTGGTTTTATGATCAAAGGTACCATATACTATGAAGATATTTTTAAACTGTTTAATCAATCAATGTAACATTTTATATGAATGTAAAACAGGTTTCTGGCTCTGTTCCTTTGTTTACAATTTTGCTAGATCTCATTCTCTCCTCTTGGCCTTTCTTTCAATCAGGAATATCCTGCTGGGAGTTGGGAGGGAAAAGAGAAGCTGATGTTCTGAACGAAGAAAAGATGCAGCAAGAAAGCTAGATTGTCTTCTATCACACTCTATAGATCACCTTCCCATTAGCCTCTCCCTAGGAACTGATGACCCAACCAGTTGATTCTCATAATAATACAAGGCAAAGAAATTCTCTGCACATTACCCAAGCTACTTACACTGAAACAACAAAGGAACTAATGTGGGGGTTAAAGCCAAGCAGGAAGCTCAGACATGTCCTCCACTGCAATGGTGGGAGTAAACAGGCCCCGGGGTTTCAGGAGCTGGTGACAGCACTGATGGGCTGCCCTTCCTTTAGCAGCCCATTTTGGCATTCTGGTAAAGTCTACTTCTTCTAGAAAAATAGTTGCTCGCATTATTCCATTGTTGGCTTTACATCATTCCTGGACATATGGAACTTTTACTATGAGCCCATGATGCAATAGGCCCAATGTGGTGCCTAAGAAGTATCCAGCCCACCATCAGTAGAAGATACTACAATCTGCTGAATGAATGAATGAATGAATGAATGAATAAAAGTCATAGCCTCTGCTTCTATGACTATACAGTACATAGTTTGGTGCCCAGTGCTGAGTGAAGAAGGTTGTTTGTATGTCGTGAATAAGGATCTGTAACAGTGTGGCCATGGAAAGTTTAGGTGGTGGTCAGGTGCAGTGGCTCACGCCTGTAATCCCTGCACTTTGGGAGGCCGAGGCGGGTGGATCACCTGAGGTCAGGAGTTTGAGATTTGGCCAGGAGCCTGGCCAACATGATGAAACCCTGTCTCTACTAAAAACACAAAACATTAGCCGGGCGTGTGTGTGGAGGAAAAGTTAAATATTAAATTTGAACTCAATTGAACATGGACACAAACAATGGTCACCAAGTCCTGAAACAGGTTGAGTGAGCCCCTTGAGGCATTCATCCAGCGCTGTTTCAGAGAAATCTCTATTTCAATCTATTCTTACATGTCAGTTATTGAAAAACAATAGACAATCGCAAAAACAAGTTGTGACCTTTTTGTGTTCCTTAAGCCCAGTCACGAAGGCACTTGTGACTGGGTCTCATGCCAAACAACTTGTTACAAAAACAGCTAGAGTCCCAGACTGCACCGAAACTTCATGAGACCTTCCCTCGCTGTGCATGGACCAGTGGCTGACTCTGGAGCACAGGCTGTTGCTTCCCGGTCTGGTGATGAATCCTCCATAGTTTGGTGAGTGTAAAAAAATATATATATATATCTTTTCCCTTCTCCCCTTTTCATTGCAATTTGTTTATTGTATCATTTGTTTATTATATCTGCATTGCCTTTTACGTGGGATAAAGCTTGTTTACCCTTAAAGGTATTGTGTGTGTGTTTTTCTTCCCCCCTTAGGCATCTCCCGCACAGAACAGCATGGTGGCGGGTGCCTGTAATCCCAGCTATTCAGGAGGCTTGAGGCAGGAGAATCGCTTGAACCTGGGAGGCAGAGGTTGCAGTGAGCAGAGACTGCATCAGAGCAGCCTGGGTGACAGAGTAAGATTCTGTGAAAGAAAAGTGAAGAAAAAAGAGAAGAGAAGAGAAGAACAAAAAATTCTAAAATTTATGTGGAGTCACAAAACACCCGAATAGCCAAAGCTATCTTAAGCAAAAAGAACAAAACTGGGGGAATCACATTACCGGATTTCCAATTATACTGGAGAGCTATAGTAACCAAAACAGCATGGTATTGGCATAAAAACACACATATAGACCAATGGAACAGAATAGAGAACCCAGAAACAAAATCCACACACCTACAGTGAAGTCATTTTCCACAAAGGTGCCAAGAACGTACACTGAGGAAAAGACAGTCTCTTCAATAAATGGTGCTGGGAAAACTGAATATCCATAATGCAGAAGAATGAAACTAGACCCCTACCTCTCACCATAAACAAAAATCAAATCAAAATGAATTAAAGACTTAAATCTAAGATCTTAAACTATGAAACTAGTACAAGGAAATGTCTGGCAAACTCTCAAAGACATTGGTCTGGGCAAAAATTTATTGAATAATACCCCACAAGCACAGGCAACCAAAGCAAAAATGCACAAATGGGATCACATTAAGTTAAAAAGCTTCTGCAAGGCCAGGCGTGGTGGCTCATGCCTGTAATCCCAACACTTTGGGAGGCCGAGGTGGGCAGATCACCTGAGGTAAGGAGTTCAAGACCAGCCTGGCCAAAATGGTGAAACCCCATCTCTACTAAAAATACAAAAAATCAGCCGGGCGTGGTGGCGGGTGCCTGTAGCCCCAGCTACTCGGTAGGCTGGGGCAGGAGAATCGCTTGAGCCCAAAAGGCGGAGGTTGCAGTGAGCAGAGATTGCGTCACAGCACTCCAGCCTTGGCGACACAGTGAGTGAGACTCCATCTCAAACGACAACAACAACAACAACAAAAACAACAAATACAGCTTCTGTACAGCAAAGGAAAACAGTCAACAAAGTGAAAAGACAACCACAGAATGGGAGAAGATATCTGCAAACTAACCATCTGACAAGGGGTTAATAACCAGAATATATAAGGGGCTTAAACAACTCTATAGTAAAAAAATCAAATATAATAATCTGATCAGAAAATGGGCAAAATATATGAAAAGATATTTCTCAAAAGAAAACGTACAAATGGCAAACAGGCCTATGAAAAGGTACTCAATACCACTGATCATCAGAGAAATGCAAATCAAAAGTACAATGAGATCTCATCTCGCCCCAGTTAAAATGGCTTATAACAAAAAGACAGGCAATAACAAATACTGATGAGGATGTGGAGAAAAGGGAACCCTTGTACCCTGCTGGTGGAAATGTAAATGAGTACAATCACTGTGAAGAACAGTATGGAGGCTCTTCAAAAAACTAAAAATAGAGCTACCATAGGATCCAGCACTCCCACTGCTGGGGATATACACTAAAGAAAGGAAATCAGTATATCGAAGAGATATCTGCAGCACTGATCACAATAGCCAAGATTTGGAAGCAGCCTAAATGTCCATCAACAGACGAATGGATAAAGAAAAAATGTGGTACTTATAGACAATGGAGTATTATTCAGCCATAAAAAAGAATGAGGTCCAGCCATTTGCAACAACATGGATGGAACTGGAGATCATTATGTCAAGTGAAATAAGCCAGGCACAGAAAGACAAACATCGCTTGTTTTCATTTATTTTTGGGATCTAAAAATCAAAACAATTTAACTCATGGACACAGAGAGTAGAAGGATGGTTACCAGAGGCTGCGAAGTGTAGTGGTGAGATGGGGAATGGGAAAGGAATGGTTAATGGGTACAAAAACATTAGTTAGAAAGAATGAATAAGACCTAGTATTTGATAGCACAACAGGGTGACTACAGTCAATAATAATTAGATTGGACATTTAAAAATAACTAAAATAATATAATTGGATTGTTTGTAACATAAAGAATAAATGCTTGAGGGGATAAATATCACCCCCCCCCAATAAAATAATTAAACAGAAACAGGAGGTAGATTTGGCCCACAGACTGAAGTTTAGAGACTCCTCCTTAATAGGAAGAACTAAATACCATATTGGACAAACTTAAACAAAATATCATTACTATAGAGCCTTGAGAAAACAGATTTTTCTTTATAAGATGCTAACTCCTTAAATGAAATAGTGGCCACCACAATTACTGAAGGAATACCTTAAAGACCCACACAACCACAGCTTTTTGAAAGACCAGGGCTGCATTTACAATGACAGGAGAAACAGACACAGCTTCCGTGTTGCCTGAACTGGCATAAACAACAGAAGAAATGAACAGTGTCAGATTGGCACACATCTGCCTGGCCAGGGCCTCATTCCCACACTCCGTCCGTTCTCCCAAAAGGATTCCCCACCCACCACCCCCCAGATGGCTAGTATCCAACCATCAGGGCTCAATCCTAAGCAAAATATTGAACTAGCTGTTTTCTTCTCACTGGCCTGGTATCTGCAAAGCTAACCATCCGGCTGCCCTACCTTCAACTTTCCTTCCAAACATAGTACTCCTCAGTCTCTCCTTCCTCCTAGCCTATACAAAGTCAAAGTTTATGTTAATTTTATTAAAGCTATGCCAACAACAACAAAAAGTCTCAAATCATATCTAAGACATACCAGGTGACAAAAATTCATTTATAAACAAAAAAGTTTGGATAAAGTAGACATTTTTTTAGTTTACTATGAACTGATGATATACTGGCAAACTTACTAGATGGAGGGCTTTGAGCCAGCTACTTACACATCATGTCCTAATCTATGAAATAGCCCACGCTGCAGTTGTAGGGATGAGGGGTAAAGTTCATAAGCCACCCAGTGCACAGCCAACCACAGTGGGTGCTCATAATTGGTAGCTATTCCTAGGATGATGAGAAACAAGGATATATTAGAAAACATTCAGAATTCATCTGTAGAACAGGTGGGAGAAGGCTTTAAAAAAATAGCATTTCTGGCCAGGTGTGGTGGCTCACACCTGTAATCCCACCACTGTGGGAGGCCGAGGCGGGCAGATCACCAGGTCAAGAGTTCAAGACCAGCCTTGCCAACATAGTGAAACCCCGTCTCTACTAAAAAATACAAAAAATAGCCGGGTGTGGCAGCGGGCGCCTGTAATCCCAGCCATTCGGGAGGCTGAGGCAGGAGAATCACTTGAACCTAGGAGGCAGAGGTTGCAGTGAGCTGAGACTGCATCATTGCACTCCAGCCTGGGCAACATGCAAGAATCTGTCGCAAAAAAAAAAAAAAAAAAAAAAAAAAAAAAAAAGCATTTTTGCTTGTATTATAGATAAGTGAAACGGAGAAAAAAGAAACATGCACAAAGAAATTCTTTTAGTTATGCAGGTAGAGACAGTCTGTGTGTGTGCCTCTGTCTCTTTCACACAGACACACACACAAGCAAGCACATACACAGGAACTTACAATGACAACCTGCCGGAAAGAACTTGATGTTGTATGCTAGAAAACATCACCCTCTAGTGACTGCTAGTGTATTTGTTGCTTATTCAATTTATCAAGAATTCACAACATTTTAACTCTTCTATCCAAAAAAATGCTTTTAAAAAGTCTTCAGAAATGCAATCATCATTACAATCACGTGTTGCTGTGGCTGGACTGGGGGCATGAATTCCTGGAAGTTATACAAAAACTTTCTATGCATGTGCCTTTGTGCATTTTCTTCTATGAATGTCGTAAGTGTTGAGTCTCAAAGTGGTCTGTGAATAAAAAAAAAAGGTCAAATTAAGATGTTTTGACCAAGCACAGTGGCTCACATCTGTAATCTCAGCACTTTTGGAGGCTGAGGCAGGCAGATCACCTGAGGTCAGGAGTTCGAGATCAGCCTGGCCAACAAGGAGAAACTCCACTTCTACTAAAAATACAAAAATCAGCTGGGTGTGGTGGTGCGCACCTGTAATCCCAGCTTCTCGGGAGGCTGAGGCAGGAGAATCATTTGAACCCAGGAGGCGGAAGTTGCAGTGAACCAAGATCATGCCACTGCACCCCAGCAACAGAGCAAGACTCTGTCTAAAAAAAAAAAAAAAAAAAAAAAAAAAAGATGTTTCGTAGGGAAATTAATGAACCAAAGATGTTTCGTAGGGAAATTAATGAACCATCCCAAGTACTTCAAGTTCCTATTGCCTCAACATGTCCCCCTCCTTTTTAGTTTAGTTTAGTTTTTTTTTTTTTGAGATGGAGTTTTGCTCTTGTTGTCCAGGCTGTGCAATGGCGTGATCTCGGTTCACAGCAACCTCTGCCTCCCAGGTTCAAACGATTCTCCTGCTTCAGCCTCCTGAGTAGCTGGGATTACAGGCATGCACCACCACACCTGGCTAATTTTGTATTTTTAGTTGAGATGAGGTTTCTCCATGTTGATCAGGCTGGTCTCAAACTCCTGACCTTAGGTGATCTGCCCATCTTGGCCTCCCAAAGTGCTAGGATTACAGGCATGTGCCATGCCCGGCCAACATGCCCTTTCTTTACATACATCCCTAATGGGGAAAGTAAAATCTGAGACCTAACTGAATTCCATTGATCTGTTCTGTAAATCATTTTACATTTATGTTAATCTTCCAAAAAGTGTGCTCCCATTTTCCTCACCTCTTATTTTTAAAATGTTGTCATCATATATAACACCAGACTCCTGAGCCACCCTCTGGCTTTTCTGCTCCTTCCACAGCTACAGCTCATCTTCCATGGACCCTTTCATTTCCTCCTTTGGAAATTAAAGACAGCACATGCTCATTTATCTCACACTCTTTTGTAAGAATTACAAATTAACTCGTATTAATACTAAGAGTATTAATTATCGCTAATTAGAAATAAGCTGAGAAAGATAAAGTACTATACAAATGTTGGCCGCTGAATGCCTACAGGGACACAGGAAGTCAAAACAGTATCAGGTCTTTCTATGTCTGCGGCAGAATGCCAAAGCCCTGACACACATCCTTTTAGCAGCTTTAAGTCACTTCTGCAAGTGAGTACAAGGGGATCATCCCTTACTCCTGATCTTTGCTCTCAGGGGACCACTTCAGCATAAGCCTTCCACCCTCCACAGATAACCTCAGGTTCTCCTGAAGCCTCTAGATCTTATTTGACATTTTATTATAGGTGCAACTTCTTGTGGCCTGTTCTTCCATCTTCAAAGCACATTACTCTGACCTCTGTTTCCATCCTCACATTCCTTTCTCCTCTTTCTGATCCTCCTGCATCCCTCTTATAAGGACGACTGTGACTCCCTCGGGCCCCCAGATCATCCAGGATCATCTCCCATCTAAAGGTTCTTAACCATATTTGCAAAGTCCCTTTGCCATGTAAGTAACATATTCACAGGTTTTGGGGAGTAGGATCTGGACATATTTGGGGGCCATTATTCAGCCCACCACATGTCCTTCTTACACGCCTCCATCCTTTCTTTTCCTTCTGGTGCTACAAGATGTTCCAGCCTTATTTTGTGTATTCCTGGCTCCAGACCTAGAATTTCTCAGGCGTTTCTCCAGAAATACTGGGGTGTCACTGCTTCTAGGGCTTCTCAGAAGACAGAGTGAAAAAATATAGCTAAACAGATTAGTGTATTATACATGTGTATACATAGACACGCACACATTCATACTGATACCTCCCACTCTACTCCACAAGGCTCATTCTAACTTCCCCCCTTGCTTATTTGTAACTTTTTTCTCTGAGAGTGAGACCCCAACTTTCATTATCTACAACATATCTATCTATTTATTATACTTGTAGTTTCAAAATTACTGAGAAACAAATTTACTACCTAGAATACTGTGTTAATATACAATTTTCTTTAGTTTTACAGTATCCAGTCAAAAGGCTGTCTTCCAAAATTGCTTAGGTCAGCTACTTCTCCATGCAACTCTTTCAGTGAGGCTGTATCATGCGTTTGTAATATTGTTAGATTCATTTGTTATAGCCTGCTTTCTCCACAGGACTTCCTAACAGCCTATTTCTTTTTTTTTTTTTTTTTTGAGATGGAGTCTTGCTCTGTCACCAGGCTGGAGTGCAATGGCACTATCTTGGCTCACTTGCAACCTCCACCTCCTGGGTTCAAGTGATTCTCCTGCCTCAGCCTCCAGAGTAGCTGGGACTACAGGCGCCCGCCACCACGCCCAGCTAATTTTTGTATTTTTAGTAGAGATGGGGTTTCACCATGCTGGCCAGGCTGGTCTTGAACTCCCGACCTCAGGCGATCCACCTGCCTCCGCCTCCCAAAATGCTGAGTTTACAGGCATGAGCCACCCGCCCGGCCAGCCTGGTTCATTTTTCAAATTTGCGTGCACTAAAGTCCACTCTTTGTGGTGTACAGATCCATGTGTAGTTGTGTGTTTCTGGGCTTTTTATTCTGTTCCAGTGGTCAATCTGTCTCTTCATATGACAGTATCATACACTTTCCTAAAAGAGGATCTAGAAGTGTTTTTAATACCTGACAAGCTATTCTCTCTCCACAGCTTTTTATTCCAGGGTTCTTCTAGTTGTTCTTATGTTTAATTTTTTTCATATGGACTTTGGTATCAACTTTTCAAGCTCCATTTAAAAAAGAAAGCTTGTGGAATTTTTATAGGATTGCACTAAATTGATGGTGTTGCTAAGATTCAAACATAGGCAGTTTGCTCCAACACCTACATGAAGTTTGGGGCAAAAAAGAAAAAAGTAACATTTTTGTAGTGGTATTCAGTTTTTATTAATAGAGTTCGGTTTTGTTGTTATAACTAGGCTACTTTGTATTAACCCTGGAATTGAAACTTATTATGAAAATAATTTGCATGTAGGTTTACTAATAAAGAATCAGGCTCAAATGCACTAAAAGACAGACATGAAAATTGTGTTTCGACTACTCTGAAAATTCTTATCCCTATAATAGAAAATAATTCATCTGTGAAATGAAATAATAATCTAGAAACCCTCTGATGGCATGTAGAACTTGTTCTCAGTGGAAAACTCAGTCAACTAATTCTCAAATGTTTGCATACTTAAATTATACCCCAAGTCATAAATAACAACCTATTAAATAAATTTGCTTTGTGTCTTTGTGCTTTATTAATTTTTTTCTCATCTGACTTCTTTCCAAAAGCACTTAAAAAGATTTAAGTCTCTAGTTACACTTTCCTTCTTCTGCAAATTTGTCAGAGTGAAAATTTATTGTGTTCTTTGAAAGAATTACCTTTTGACAACTTGCACGAAGTCTTCACAAGCTTTCGCCAATTCCTCAGCCATCTTCTCCAACGAGGCAAATACTTCATTCTCCACTTCTTTCCTCTCCATTGAGATGAGCAGATGGCAAAGCTGAACGATCATTGGTGAGATGATTCTCTCAATGCCTTTGTTCTGTATCACAGAGCTGATGTCATCCAAGAGGAAAGACTCCATCTCTCTTAGTCTGTGAACAGAAGTTACAACATAGTTTAACTCACACTGACTGACATGTAAACCTACTTCTCTTTGACTTGATGTTCATCTAATTTTACTTCTATGATGAGAAAGAAATCTGCAAAATATCAAAGGGATAAGTTGGGAGAGATATTTTTAGGACCTCACAAGTATGGGATAGGTTGTGGCTTAGCAGAAACATTAAAAAATGGGACAAAGGCACAATGAGATAGATTCAGAGGTGCAAACAATGGCGAATGGACTCACAAACTATATGAAATAGAGGCAGTTTAAGAAATGGTTAATTGACAAAGAAACATTGAACTTAAATAGGACTTTACAGACATTTACAGAACACTCTACCAAACAACTGCAGAATATACATTCTTCTCATCAGCACGTGGAATATTCTCCAACACAAACCTCTATCAAGCCACAAAACAAATTTTTCTTTTTTTTTTTTTTTTGAGACAAAGTCTCGCTCTTGCCTCCCAGGCTGGAGTGCAATGGCGCGATCTCAGCTCACTGCAACCTCCACCTCCCAGGTTCAAGCGATTCTCCTGCCTCAGCCTCCTGAGTAGCTGGGATTACAGGCACCTGCCACCACGTCTGGCTAATTTTTGTATTTTTAGTAGAGACAGGGTTTCACCGTGTTGGCCAGGCTGGTCTCAAACTCCTGACTACAGGTGATCCACCTGCCTCAGACTCCCAAAGTGCAGAGATTACAGGCGTGAGCCACAGTGCCCGGCCAAAACAAATTTTTAAAAATTAAAATCATATCAAGTTCTTCTCAGACCACAGTGGAATAAAAACTTAGAAATAAATACCAAGAGGAACTTTGGAAACTATACAAATACATGGAAATTAAACTACATACTCCTGAATGATCATTGCATCAAGAAATTAAGATAGAAATGTAAAAAAAATTTTTTTTAATTTTTTTGAGATGGATTTTTGCTCTTGTTGCCCAGGATGGAGTGCAATGGCACGGTCTTGGCTCACCACAACTGCTGCCTTCCAGGTTCAAGCAATCCCGCTGCCTCAGCCTCCCAAGCAGCTGGGATTACAGTCATGTGCCATCACAATGGCTAATTCTGTATTTTTAGTAGAGACAGGGTTTCTTCATGTTGGTCAGGCTGGTCTCGAACTCCTGACCTCAGGTGATCCACCCGCCTCGGCCTCCCAGACCACGGGGAGTACAGGCATGAGCCACCATGCCCAGCTGGAAGTTTAAAAATTTTTTGAATCAAATAAAAATGAAAACAAAACATACCAAAACCTGTGGGATACAGCAAAAGCAGTGCTGAGTAAAGTTTATAGTATTAAACGCCTACATCAAAAAAAAGAAAGATTACAAGTTAACAACCTAACATCACACATCAAGAAGCTATAAAAGCAAGAACAAACCAAATGGAAAGTTAGCAGAAGAAAAGAAGTAACAAAGATCAGAGCAGAGCTAAATGAAATACAGATAAAAAAATTCAAAGGATCAATGAAATGAAAAGTTTGTTTTTCAAAAAGAAAAACAGATTGATAAGCCACTAGCTAGACTAACCAAGAAAAGAGAAAATCTGAATAAACAAAATCAGAAAAGATAAAGGAGACATTACAACTGATAACATGGAAATACAAGAGATCATCAGAGACTATTATGAACAACTATATGCTTACAAACCAGAAAACTTAGAGGAAATGAATAAATTCCTAGAAACATGCAACCTCCCAATATTGAACCAGGAAGAAACAGTAAACCTAAGCAGATGAATAATGAATAGCTAGATTAAATCAGTAATAAAAGATCTCCCAAGAAAGAAAAGCCCAGGACCAGATGGATTCATAGTTGAATTTTATCAAATGTACAAAGAAGAACTAATACAAGTCCTCCTGAAACTGTTCCAAAAAAACATTTGAGGAGAAATGAGTTCTCTCTAACTCATACTATGAGACCAGTAATACCTTATACCAAAATCAGAGAGACCATGACACATAAGGAAAGAAAAGTCCACACCAATATCCCTGATCAACATAGATGCAAAAATTTTCAAAAAATACTAGCAAACCAAATCTAACAGCACATCAAAAAGTAATACCCCATGGTCAAGTGGGATTCATCCCAGGGTTGCAAAGGATGCTTCAACATTTGCAAATCAATAAATAAATTTGATACATCTTATCAACAGAATTAGAGACGATAAACCATATGATCATCTCAATAAATGCAGCAAAAGCATTTGGTAAAATTCAGCATCTCTTCATGATAAAAACCTTCAATAAACTAGGTATAGAAGGAACATACTCTGAATTAATAAAAACCATATATAACAAACCCACTGCCAACATCATACTGAATGGGGAAAAGCTGAAAGCATTCTAAGTACTGAAACAAAACAAGGTTGCCTACTTTCACCACTCCTATTCAACATATTAATTAGTACTGGAAGTCCTAGCCAGAGCAATCAGGCAAGAGAAAGAAATAAAAGGCATCCAAATTGTAAAAGAAGTCAAAATATTCCTGTTCACTGATGATATGATTCTATATCTAGCAAAACCTAAAGACTCCACCCAAAAACTCTTAGACTTGATAAATGAATTCAGTAACACTTAAGAATACAAAATCAATGTATAAAAATCAGTAGTGTTTCTATACACCAATGAGGATCTAGCTGAGAACAAAATCAAGAAGGCAATCTCATATATAATAGCTTCAAAAATAAAATAAAATAAAATACCAACTAACCAAGGAGGTGAAAGATCTAAACAAGGAAAACTACATAACTCTGATGAAAGAAATTGTAGATGACACAACCAAATAGAAAGATATCCCATGCTCATTGGTCAGATTTAATATCATTAAAATGATCATACTGCCCAATGCAATCTACATATTCAATGGGATCTCTATCAAAATACCAATGTCATTTTTCAAAGAATTAGAAAAAACATGCTAAAATTAACATGTAACCAAAAAAGAGCCGGAATAGCCAAAGCATTATAAAACAACAACAACAAAGCTAAAGCTGTCACATTACCAGACTTCAAATTATAATACAAGGCTGTAGTAACCAAAACAGTATGATACTGGTACAAAAATAGACACATAGATCAATAGAATAGAAAAGAGAATCCAGAAATAAAGCCACATATTACAGCCAACTGATATTTGACAAAATCAACAAGAACATACAGTGGAGAAAGGACACCCTTTTCAATAAATGATGCTGGGATAATTGGATTGGCATCTGCAGACGAATGAAACTGGACCACCATCTTTTACCATATAAAAAAATCAACTCAAGATGAATTAAAGATTTAAATGTAAGACCCGAAACTACAAAAACACTAGAAGAAAATCTGGGGAAAACTCTTCCGGACATTGATCTAGGCAAAAAATTGATGACAAAGACCTCAAAAGCACAGACAACAAAAACAAAAATAGGCAAATGGGACTTAATTAAACTAAAAGGCTTCTGCACAGCAAAAGAAATAATCATCAGAGTGAACAGACAACCTGCAGAATGGGAGAAAATATTTACAAACTATGTATGACAGGGGACTAATGTCCAGAATTTACAAGGAACTCAAACAATGCAACAACAACAACAACAACAAAATAGAAAACAATCCCATTAAACAATAGGCAAAGGACATGAATAGACACTTTTGAAAGAAGACATACAAATGGCCAAGAGGCATATGAAAAAATGCTTAACATCACAAATCACCAGAGAAATGCTAATTAAAACCACAATGAGATATCATTTTACATCAGTCAGAATGACTTATTAAAAAGACAAAAATAACAAATGTTGGCAAGAGTACAGAGAAAAGGTCATACACTTTTGGTGAGAATGTAAATTAGTACAACCTCTATGGAAATCAGTATGGAGATTTCTCGGAGAACTGAAAATAGAACTACCATTCAATCTAGCAATACCACAACTGGGCATCTACCCAAAGGAAAAGAAATCATTATATCAAAAAGATAACTGCACTCATATGTTTATCACAGCATTATTCACAATAGCAAAGATATGGAATCAGCCAGGTGCTGTGGCTTACACCTGTAATCCCAGTACTTTGAGAGGCTGAGGCAGGTGGATCACTTGAGGCCAGGAGTTGAGACCAGCCTGGCCAACATGGTGAAAACCCATCTCTACTAAACATACAAAAAAAAAAAATCAGCCAGGCGTGGTGGTGCATGTCTGTAATCCCAGCTACTCTGATGGCTGAGGCACAAGAATAGCTTGAACCCAGAAGGGGGAGGTTACAGTGAGCCAAGATCACGCCATTGCACCCCAGCCTGGGCGACAGAACAAGACTCTGTCAAAAAAAAAAAAAAAAGATAGGGAATTAACCTATGTATCCATCAACAGATGATTGGATAAAGAAAATGTGGTACATATACACAATGGAATTCTATTCAGTCATAAAAAGAGAATGAAGTCATGTCTTTGGCAGCAACATGAATGAAACTGGAAGCCATTATCTTAAGTGAAAAAAGTCAGACATAGACAAATTCTGCATGTTCTCACTTACAGGTGGGAGCTAAATAATGTGTACACATGGACATAGAGTGTGGAGTGATAGACAGTGTTGACTTGGAAGAGTGAGGGGGTGGGAGGGGAGTTGATGGTGAGAAATTACTTAATAGGTAAAAATGTGTGTTATTCAGATGATGTATACCCAACAAAGCCCTGACAAGGATTTTGAAGCAGATGTCATGAACATACTTCAACAAGTAATTGAACACACTTAAATTTTAAAAATTACAATTCAAGAAAAAAAAGACATAGAAGGAAAAAATTTGAAATTTTAGAACTGAAAATATAATTAAAATAAATTCATTGAATGGGCTCAATAGCAGAATGGAGATGACAGAGGAAAGTCAATTAATTTGAACATAGATTATTACAAGTTTCTCAAACTGAACGACAAAAAGAAAATAGCTGAAAAAGAAATGAACAGAGATCCAGGAACTTGTGGGACAATAAGAAAATAGCTAACATTTTCAAGGGCTAAAATAAAAGAACTGTTCATCCTAATTCTATACCCAGTGAACTATACTTCAGGAATGAAGGGGAAATAAAAACATTTCTTGTCAAAATATAAACAAAAGTTACCCAGAAGAAACACAAAGCCTGAATGAATTATTAGCTATAGAGAGACTGAAATAATAAAGGCCTATATTTTAAAAGGTCATAGATCCAGAAGATTTTAATCCCTGAATTCTTTCTGGCCTTTAAAGAAGGAACAATTCTTACAATGCCTAAACAATTTCAGTACTTGGAAAAAGTGCAAAGCTTCATTGTTTATCTTATAAGGCTAACATTGCTTTAATTTTTAAAACTAGTAAGAAATATCAAAAAATTAGAGTATATACCATTTTTATAAAGGGATACAGACACAAAAATTATAATCAAATTATTAGAATATGAAATCCAATGATACGGAAAAAGAATAGTACTCCTTAACTAATCAGGGTTTGAGGAATGAGAGGGTGCTTCAACATTACAAACTCAACTGACCAGGATTCCTTGGACAAATGGCTGATTCAAGGACTGTAGCAGGAATAGAGAAGGTAAGCACAGAATCTCTTGAAATGACAGGAAATAAAGAAGTGCTCCCAAACAAAACCAAACCCACTTTGAGGGAGGTTTGTCAAAGGCACACAGGAGCAAGTGAAAGAACTTCCAGTGGCCAAAGGAGGCATGATTGGAGCAACACCATAAAGTAACACTGGATTCTAATCCAAAGTATGAAATAAGTATCTATGAACAATGATTGAGAAAATAAATAAATAGGGGAGACAAACCTCTCATGCAGAAGAATTCTAAATGATTGATGTCGATATTTCACCCTCAAACAGTGGAGAGCATAACTCTCCAATCCTTAAGTGTGGGCTGGAAAGGGATCGGGATCCCGATCCACACCCTAAGAGAGGATTCTTGAATCTTGCACAAGAAAGAATTCAGGATGAATCTGCAGTGCAAAGCAAAAGCAAGTTTATTAAAGAAAGTAAAGTAGTGAAAGCACAGCTACTCCATAGACAGAGCAGGGCGTTCCTGAAAGCAAAAGGAGGAACGCTTCCACCGTAGATACAATGTTGGTATACACACACACACACACACGATAAATACATACATATGTGTATATATGAGATAAATACATACATATGTGTATATATATATACACACACATATGTATATATATGATAAAAAAATCTTGGGGAGATGTGCTCTGCTACAGGGGTTTGTGATAAAGCATTAATTTTCCTAATTACTGTATTTTGCAAGAATCGATATGTTTAAAGCAAAATTAGGAATGCCCTTATTCTCCAGATATCGGGATATCTGGACACTCCCGAGTCTGCATCTGTTTAGTAAACATTATTAATCTGTTCCCTTAACCATAAACATCTAGGGGCTAGGAATTCCTCACTTTCTGGGAATGCAGCCCAGGAAGCCTCAGACACATTTTCCTAGCCCTCACTCAAAATGGAGTCACTCCAGTTCAAACACCTCTGACATAAGGACTTCCTTCCAAAGAGTACAGTAAGGAAAGGGAAAGAAAGAGGGACTTTTCTGTGGAGAAACGTAATGGACACCGTCTCAGCCAGGTGATCAAGGTCAGCATCAACAGGAATAAATCTCACCAGTATCCCCAAAACTGTCAAGGTCATCAGAAACAAGAAAAGTCTTAGAAACTGTCACAGCCAAGCGGAGCGTAAGGACAGATGACAACTAAATGTAATGTGATGTCCTGGATGACATCCTCGAACAGAAAATAATATTAGGCAAAAACTAAGGAGATCTGGATAAAATATTCACACTAGCTAATAATAACAAATCAATATTAGTTGAGTAATTGTTGCAAATACACCATACTCGTGTAAGATGTTGGTTATAGGAGACAATTGAGTACAGGGCATATAGGTGCTCTTTGTACGAATTTCTTAATTTTTCTGTAAGTACAAAACTGTCCAAAAAGTTAAGACTATTTTTTTAAAAAATTCAACTATCACAATATATTAAATCAACAATTTAAACTAGGATAATACGATTAAATCAATAAATACTAAAAAGCTTGTTTCTGATCTTTTTTCAAAGTTTCCAAGTAAAATGATTAAATATGATTCGTCATCAAGAGAAAGCTTTATACTAAACAGTAAAACACAGAGCCAATTTTATCCATCAGTTTCAAGCTGAAATATCAGCTGCCACCATTATTAAACATATTTTTTCAAAATTCTACTCAATATAATTCGATCAAAAATTGAAATAATTGGGGCCGGGCATGGTGGCTCATGCCTGGAATCCCAGCACTTTGGGAGGCCGAGGTGGGCAGATCACTTGAGGTCAGGAGTTCGAGACCAGCCTGGTCAACATGGTGAAACCCCGTTTCTACTAAAAATCCAAAAAGAAAATTAGCCAGGCATGGTGGTGCGCACCTGTAATCCCAGCTACTCGGGAAGCTGAGACAGGAGAATCACTTGAACCCGGGAGGTAGAGGTTGCAGTGAGCCGAGATCGCGAGACTGCACTCCAGCCTGGGTGACAGAGGGAGACTCCGTCTCAAAGAAAAAAAAAAAAAAATTGAAATAATCAATTTAAATGTTGGAAAGTAGGCAAAACCATCCAAGATATTTTAGAAAAGAAACAAAAACAGGCCGGGCGCGGTGGCTCACGCCTGTAATCCCAGCACTTTGGGAGGCTGAAGTGGGCAGATCATGAAGTCAGGAGACCGAGACCATCCTAGCCAACATGGTGAAACCCCGTCTCTATTAAAAATACAAAAAATTAGCCGGGTGTGGTGGCGGGTGCCTGTAGTCCCAGCTACTCGGGAGGCTGAGGCAGGAGAATGGCGTGAACCCGGGAGGCAGAGCTTGCAGTGAGCAGAGATCGCACCACTGCACTCCAGCCTGGGTGACAGAGCAAGACTCTGTCTTGAAAAAAAAAAAGGAACAAAAACAATCTTAAACGAATAAGTAAATTTGGTTAAATAGTTGCACATGTTTTCTCTATGAACAGAAATCAGAAATGGAAATGGAAAACCATGTCATTGAATAGCAACTAAATTCAAAGTGAAATAAAAATAACATCAAGGACATGAGTTTAACTTGAATAAAATTTTGTAGTGGACGTTAAAACTAAGTACATTGAGAGACACCGTATCTGAATGGGGAGACTCACTATCATAGGAATAAAAATCCTCCCAACATTAATAATGTATGGATATTGCTGCAGTTCTTACACAATGTGTTTGAGCTAGCTAAAAGGATTTCAAAAATTACATGGAAAAATAAATGCTTCAGAATCACCAAGACACTAAGTCAAAGAATAATGAGAGGGAATTGCGTTTATATCCACTATATAGTGGAGAATGCTAAACGCTGCCTGCATTAGTTACCTATTTCTATGTATATACAATCTAATGTTAAAATCTCAGAGAGACCAAAGGATCACAGTCATATTCAGTCACACAAAGGTCCCTTTAAAGAGATTAAGGGTGTTGCTCTCAGATTGTCTCAAACAATTAAACCTCTAGGGAGCTTAAGAGTATTTTTCCTCAGCCTCTCAGCAGAAGCTCAAGATAGTGAAGGGTTTATCCAGAGAGATTTGTAGGGTTTCGTCTAATGTAGTTAACACATTATGCAAGCAAACAAAAAGACCCACAAATTTCCTGAGAAATCTGTGTGTCAGTTTGGAGTGGAAAAGGCAGACCCAGTACAACATAAAAAGGAATTGTTGGACCTCCAAAATTCTAGCAGGAAGCAGGCTGAGAAAACAGATGCTACCTTTTCTTTAAAAAAAAAAAAAAAAAAAAGTCCGGGCACAGTGGCTCACACCTGTAATCCCAGCACTTTGGGAGGCTGAGGAGGGCAGATCGCTTGAGGTCAAGAGCTCAAGACCAGCCTGGCCAACATGGTGAAACCCCGTCTCTACTAAAAATACAAAAATCAGCCAGGCGTGGTGGTGGGAGCCTGTAGTCCCAGCTACTCGGGAGGCTGAGGCAGGAGAATGGCGTGAACCCGGGAAGTGGAGCTTGCAGTGAGCTGAGATCGCACCTCCAGCCTGGGCGACAGAACAAGACTCCTTCTCAAAAAATAAAAAAAAAACCATTCCACTTTGAACTCACTTCTTGTATTGCCTTGGGAGACATCTGGCCATTGGTACTCATTTCTGTTCTGGGTCGAAGGGACCTCACCTTCTTTTCCACCAGCCATGAGACAGGAAGGCCTCAACTGGTATCCCTGAAAGGGGGAGAGTTGGACTCTTGCCACAAGTCAGGTATCTCACCTACTTCTCTCTCCCCTCTTGTGACCTTTTCTCAACTACTGCCCCCTAGTGTGGTTCCAATGGTAAATGACGGATTTGGAAGAGGAAATAGACATCCCTTCTCCGGTGGGTTTGGGATTGGAGTCAGAATGGCCACTGTGAGGACACCTGGTGATCCCTGGACCCTCACCAAGACAAGACTCAGAGGGACACCAAGCAGCAGGGGGAAGTCAAGAGAGAATAAAATGCTAAAGACTTTTTGCTTTAGGAGTTGAAGAGATATATATTTGATATATATTTATTATGTTTGGAAACCATAAAATGAAATCAATAGGATGAATGAATGGCTTTTATTCTTGTTAAACAAGTATTTATTTGGTACCCACTACATGCTTTGTATAGTTGGCTCAACCTTCAAACTCTACCCATTATGAAGCCACTGTTTACCATGTCCACTGCCTATCTCTAATCTAGCCACCTTCACCTCTCACCTGGAGCGTGGGAACACACTACATCTATAACAGAAAATTATTGTTTAGAAACAACCCCATTGTTCCGCTATTACAGATAACAGTAGTAAATGTCTTTGCTGTAGATCACCCTTGTTTCTTTTTTAATTTTAATTTTTTATTTTATATATATATGTGTCTGTATGTGTGTGTGTGTGTGTGTGTGTGTGTGTGTGTTTGAGACAAGGTCTCACTTTGTTGCCCAGGCTGGAGTGAGATGGCATGATCTCAGTTCACTACAGCCTCGACTTCCTGGGCTCAAGCGATCCTCCCACCTCAACCTCTTTTTTTTTGACACAGAGTCTCACTCTGTCGCCCAGGCTGGAGTGCTGTGGTGCAATCTCAGCTCACTGCAAGCTCCGCCTCCCAGGTTCAGGCCATTCTCCTGCCTCAGTATCCCGAGTAGCTGGGACTACAGGTACCCACCACCAAACCTGGCTAATTTTTTGTATTTTTAGTTGAGACAGGGTTTCACCACATTAGCCAGGATGGTCTCGATCTCCTGACCTCGTGATCCGCCCGCCTCAGCCTCCCAAAGTGCTGGGATTACAGGCGTGAGCCACCGTGCCCGGGCCCGCTCCCATCTCAAGCTCTTGAGTAGCTGGGACGACAGCCGTGCACCACCACACCCTGTTAATTTTTTGATTTTTAGTAGAGATGAAGTCTCACTATGTTACCCAGGCTGTTCTTGAACTCCTGAGCTCAAGTGATCTTCCCACCTCAAGCCTCCCGAAGTGCTGGGATTACAGGCATGAGCCATCACACCCAGCCTTGACTCTTGTTTCTTCTTAAAAATTTCATTAGAGTAAGTTTGAAACATGAGATTACTTGGTCAAATGATATGAAGCCTTTATGGCTCTTGCTCTGTGTTATCCTCTTGCTTTTTCAAAGGGCCGTGAGCTAACAGGGAGCAGTTCATGACGAACTTCTACTAAAAGTATCACCATTTTTGTTTTCTTATTTTATAGGTATAAAACGATACATAAAATTCAAATTTATTTTATAATTTTTGATACTGTTGTATCAAAAAATCTGAGTCTGATTCCTAAGGGAGATGAAACAGCATGAGTCATGTGTGTAGGGAAAGAGAAGAAGGGAGCTTTTCCAGGTTGATTTGCAGTTTCTTGTTCAAGAAGCTCACCAGATGGTCGAACAAGTGACAGGAAGAAGATAGTTGAAAAGGGCGTTAACGTTTGGGAAAGGTGGATCATTGAATTAATGAACTGAATTGAATTCATTTATAAAGAAAGCATGAGATCCAGGTAGAAATCAGCTATAAATCTAAAGCATAGATCAGAAGATTCTAGCAAACTGAAACCACAGCGAGCTGTCACTACACTTTTATTAAAATGGTTAAAATAAGAAGTGGTGACAACTCACTAAAGAGTGAGTTCAGCCATATTATGGGATATGAGAGCAACACACAAAACTTAATCACATTTTTATATGCCAACAATGAACATGTGGAAACCAAAGTTAAAAACACAAAACTACTTAGCTGGGCGCAGTGGCTCACACCTGTAATCCCAGCACTTTGAGAGTCCAAGGCGGGCGGATCACCTGAGGTCAGGAGTTCGAGACCAGTCTGGCCGACTTGCTGAAACCCTGTCTCTATAAAAATACACAAATTAGCCGGGCTTGGTGGCAGTCACCTGTAATCCCTGTTACTCAAGAGGCTGAGGTGGGAGAATCGCTTGAACCCAGGAGGCAGAGGTTGCAGTGAGCTGAGATCGCACCATTGCACTCCAGCCTGGGCAAGAGAGCAAAAATTCCGTCTAAAAAAACCCCAAAAAACCACAGTACTACTTACAGTCACCCTAGAGAAAATGTGATGCTTGGGTATAAATTTAACAAGACATGTATAGGCTCTGTATGCTAAAAATAGTAAAATGATTATGAAGGAAGTCAAAGAGGACCTAAAGAAATGGACAGACATACTGTGTTCATGGATTGCAGGACAGTATAGTAAAGATGTCAGTTCACCCCAAACTGGTCTATAGGTTTATGTAATTCTTATCAAAATGTTAGCAAGATTTTTGTATAGACATGGAGCTTCTTTTAAAATTTACATGGAGGGGCCGGGCACGGTGGCTCACACTTGTAATCCCAGTACTTTGGGAAGCCGAGGCAGGTGGATCATGAGGTCAGGAGATCGAGACCATCTTGGCTAACATGGTGAAACCCCGTCTCTCCTCAAAATACAAAAAATTAGCCGGGCGTGGTGGTGGGCACCTGTGGTCCCAGCTACTCGGGATGCTGAGGCAGGAGAATGGCGTAAACCCGGGAGACGGAGGTTGCAGTGAGCCAAGATCATGTCACTGCACTCCAGCCTGGGCAACAGAGCGAGACTCCATCTCAAAAAAAAAAAAAAAATTTACATGGAGGCCAGGTGCAGTGACTCACGCCTATAATCCCAGCACTTTGGGAGGCCAAGGCAGGTGGATCACCGGAGGTCAGGAGTTCGAGACCAGGCTGGCCAACATGGTGAAACCCTGTCCCTACTAAAAATACAAAAATTAGCCAGGCATGGTGGAGGGCGCCTGTAATTGCAGGTATTTAGGAGGCTGAGGCAGAAGAATCGCTTGGGCCCAGCCTAGGCGACAAGACCAAGACTCCATCTCAATCAATAAATAAATAATAAAAATTCATATGGAAAGGCACAAGCCCTAGAATAGCTTAAACATCTTGAAAAAGAAGAATATAAGTGAACATGCTACCTGATATTAAGATGTATTTTAGAGCTATAGTACTTAATACACTGTAGTATTCATGAAAAAATAGAAACATAAATCAGTGGGGCCAGGCACGGTGGCTCTCGGCTGAAATCCCAGCAGAGGCCAAGGCGGGTGAATCACCTGAGGTCAGGAGTTCAAGACAAGCCTGGCCAACATGGTGAAACCCCATCTCTACTAAGAATACAAAAAAAATTAGCCAGGTGTGGTGGCGCATGCCTGTACTTTCAGCTACTCGGGAGGCTGAGGCATGAGAATTGCTTGAACCAGGGGGCAGAGGTTGCAGTGAGCCGAGATCACACCACTATGTGACAGAGCAAGATTCTGTCTCAAAAACAGAAGAAACATAAATCAGTGGAAGAGAATAGAGAACTCAGAAATAGACCAAAACATATATGCCCATCTGATATTTGAAAAAGGTGCAAAAGCCATTCAATAGAGGAAGGATAAACTTTTCAACAAATTGTACTAGATAAGGTGGATATCAACAGGCAGAAAAATGAACATCAACATAAGCTTCACACCTCATACAAAAACTAACTCAAAATGGATCGTGGACCTAATAATTTTTCAGAAAAGAGGAGATAGGGCTTGGCAAAGAGTTCTTGAGCTTGACTCCAAAAGTATAATCCATAAAAGTAAAAATTGATAAATTGAACCTCATCAAAATAAAACTTCTGCTCTATGAAACACCTCATTAGAGTATAAAAATGAGTTACAAACTGGGTGAAAGGATTTTTAAGTCATACATATGACAAGGGACTCAGATCTAGAATATGTAAACAACTTTCAAAACTTAACAGTAAACAACAACAGACACACAATCCAATTAGAAAAAGAGCAAACAGTAAGACCCCAGCTCTACAAAAAAATACAAAAATTAGCCAATGTGGTGGCACACACCTGCATACCTAGTATTCCTGAGAATTGAAAATATATGTTCACAAAAACTTGTATGCAAATCTTATAGCAGCATTATTCATAAGAGGCAGACAAGAATGGAACCAATGCAAACGTCCATCAATTGATGACTAAATGAACAAAAATGACTCTTCAGCCATAGAAAGGAGTGAACATGATGCTAATACACACTACAATGGGGATGAGCCTTGAAAACTTTGTGCTAAGTGAAATTAGACACAAAAGGCCACATACTGTGTGATTCCATTTATATGAAATGTCCAGATGAGACATCCATACATACAGAAAGTAGATTAGTGGTTGTCAGAAGCTGGGGTGAGGAGGGAGTAGTGAGTGACTGCTAATAGGTACAGAGTTTTTTTGGGGGGAGTGGTGAAACCGTTCTAAAATTAAACTGTAGTAGGCCGGGCATGGTGGCTCACACCTGTAATCCCAGCACTTTGGGAGGCCAAGGCAGGCAGATCACGAGGTCAGAAGACCAAGACCATCCTGGCCAACATGGTGAAACCCCATATGTACTAAAAATACAAAAATTAGCCAGGCATGGTGGTGCACACCTGTAATCCCAGCTACTTGGGAGGCTGAGGTGGGAGAATTGCTTGAATCCAGGAGGCGAAGGTTACAGTGAGCTGAGATTGCGCCACTGCACTCCATCCTGGGCGACAGAGTGAGACTCCATCTCAAAAACAAACAAACAAACAAAGAAATAACAACAAAAACTGTAGTAATGGTTTAAAACTCTTGAATATACTCAAAGCCATTGAACTGTGCACTTTAAGAGGATAAATTTTTTGGTATATGAATTATACTTCAAGCTATTAAAAAGGATATATCAATTATTTAATGTTAATGGACAATTCCAATGTATCCAGTTTTTTCTATTGCAATGCTGCAAGGGACGTACTTGAACATTCATCTTTATGCCTTTATCTTCCTGGTAGTTCTATAAGATATAGTGAAGGAAGGGGATTTATTGTTGTTATAGTCTTTATTGTGGTAGCCAGTGACTAGTACTAGAATGGTATTTATTTTGAGTGCTTAGGCACTACGAATTTCTGTAAAACTGACGTTTCATGGTTGTAGCCAGCCAAGATAGCGTTGACACCTGTATGGAGAAAGAGTTGGTAGGATAATCCTGGGTGCTCTTGAGGGGAGAAGGGAGCATGTGGGGGACTGGAGTAAGGAAGGGAGGGAAAAAGGTGAGCAGGACATTGAAAGCCTCTTGTGGGGTTTTTGCTGTTCGTATTTCCTTTCTGGCTTTATAGAGAGCTCTTGGTTTGAATTGGATTGGTTTCTCTTTTGCTTTTTCCCTGTTAGGTGAAGGCATTCTCATCTCCTCAGAGGCTTCAGAGCTTCTCCATTTCATAGACAACCAGGGCCCAGTGCACGTGATCCAGAAATATCTTGAGCACCCTCTGCTGCTTGAGCCAGGTCATCGCAAGTTTGACATTCGGTAATGCATTCATGTCCATAGCTTTTGTTTTTATTCATCTGAAAAAACTGCCATGGTATGTGGTGGGAAGGGGGACATGGAATATGAGGAAGCGTTTGACCATGTTTAATATGTTACCAAAATTGAGCACAGCTGAATGGAACTTACCTTCTGTACCTAATTTTCTATTTTTCTTTCTTGTTTTTTCCATCTAGAAAATGTTACTACGATTATGGATTTTCTTTTTTAAAAAATATTCTTTTCTGGCTGGGCACAGTGGCTCACGCTTGTAATCCCAGCACTTTGGGAGGCCAGGGTGGGCAGATCACCTGAGGTCAGGAGATCGAGACCATCCTGGCTAACACGGTGAAGCCCTGTGTCTACTAAAAATACAAAAAAAATTAGCCGGGTATGGTGGTGGTGCCTGTAGTCCCAGCTGAGGCAGGAGAATGGTGTGAACCCGGGAGGCGAAGCTTGCAGGGAGCTGAGATTGCGCCAGTGCACTCTAGCCTGGGCGATAGAGCAAGACTCCGTCTCAAAAAAAAAAAGCTAACTTGAAAATTGAAGTCCCTATAATCCTACTTCCTAGACAGAATCAGTGATCTTGCACTTTTAGTGTTATTTTCTGTCAATCATAGTTATATGTATCCCAGTGTAATACATATATTACTTAACATGAAAAATTTTAAGCACATAGAAATTTAAAGGAAATATGTTCATCTATGAATATTATAAAGCCACCATCTAGATTTAGCAGTTAATATTTTGCAGTGTTTAAATTTTTTTCACTGTAGTTTGAAGTAAATTACTTTAAACTTTTCACCCCTAAATACTTTAGAATGCATCTTTTTTAAAGAAGGAATTCTTTCACAATATAATCACACAATTTTCACACCTAATACAAGTAACAGTGCTTTCTAAATGTTCTCTAATAACCAGACTATATTCACCTTTCCCTTTTTGACCCCAAAAAATGTCTTTGAGAGCTGGTTTGTTTAAATAGGGTTCTAATTAAGGAGCATAGGTTGCATTTCATTGTTTGTCTCTAAGCTTTTTAAAAATCAAGTGTAGTACCTGGCCCCCCCTTTTTTTTCTTGACTTTGAACTTATTGGAGAGACCTAGCCAGTTGACTTACAGAAGTTGGGTCAATGTTCTCACTTTCTGTATTTATCTGATTGTTTCCTCATGGTGTCCTTTAACTGTATTCTCTTTTATTTCCAGTAAAGCAGAATTTTAGGCTTGAACACAATTACATTAAACATGTTGGACAACAATTCTTCACCATTGATATCATTTTCTTTCTTTCTTTCTTTCTTTCTTTCTTTCTTTCTTTCTTTCTTTCTTTCTTTCTTTTCTTTTCTTTTCTTTCTTATGCAGTTTCACTCTCGTCACCCAGGCTGGAGTGCAGTGGCACGATCTCGGCTCACTGCAACCTCCGCCTCCTGGGTTCAAGTGATTCTCCTGCCTCAGCCTCCCACGTAGCTGGGATTACAGGTGCTCGCCACCATGCCCTGAAAGTTTTTGTATTTTTAGTAGAGATGGGGTTTCACCATATTGGCCAGGCTGGTCTCGAACTCCTGACTTTAGGTGATCCACCCACCTCTGCCTCCCAAAGTGCTGGGATTACAGGTATGAGCCACCACGCCCAGCCTGATGCCATTTTCTTCACATAATATCTAGTGTACCCACTATTAGAGATTCTAAGATTATAGGGTTAACTATCGATTTATCTTCTTGCCACTGGAAAGTATTCTATGGGTTGGAACACTGAGATCTTTGACATCTTTCCCTTAATGGTTTTAGCATGCAGTAATGATTCTTTCTCAGATCAGTTACTTAATTAGAAGTTGCAAAATGGTGATTAAATTATCTTTTTTTTTCTACATTTATTAACTGTCATTCTTACCTCTAAAGAACTTTCCCTCATCCACTGGGGTTATTTTGTATCTAAAACTTAGTTCCACTGCAGAGAAAGAATACATTATTCTTTACTTACCTTTAATTACCAAGTTTTAGAATAAGAACTTGAATAACAGCCACCCCCATCAGTGATGATTAAGATGGTTTGTTTTCATCTTTATTGAGTATGATTATGGACTCAAGAATTTTTATGCTTTAAATGTCTTCTAGTCAATTATGGTTCATTACTCTTATTGATGCTCAAACTGTCAAAATGTTCCAGATTTGGCCAAGGGGAGTCCTTTCTGTTGGCTCCTGGGACCTTTTCATATGACTCCATTAGTCTTTTAAATGACTCTTTTCGTCTTTTGGAGTTTTAATATAACTTCATTAGTCCTGGTTCACTTTGTACATTCCTTACCCCAGACCTGAAATAAGCATCTCTCAAGCCTCCTGATTCCTTTTACTATGGAATTATATTTACACATTTATGATTGTTATGTCTTCTTGTTGAATTGACCCTTTAATAATTATGTAATATCCTTCTTTATTCATGGTAATCATCTTTGTTTGAAGTCTACTTTGATATTAATATAGACACTCTCATTTCCTTTTTCTTTTGCTTATTTTTTTAGATACAGGGTCTCATTCTGTTGCCCAGGCTGGAGTGCAGTGGTGTGATCATAGCTTGCTGTAACCTCAAACTACTGAGCTCAAGCGATCCTCCCACCTCAGCCTCCCAAGTAGCTAGGGTACATTATACCATGCATGCCACCATGCTGGGCTATTTAAACTTTTTTTTTTCATTTGTAGAGAAGGGATCTCATTCTGTTGCCCAGGCTGGTCTGGAACTCCTAGCCTCAAGAAGTCTTCCTGCCTTGGCCTCCCAAAGTGCTAGAATTACAGGTGTAAGCTACCACACCCAGCCTAATTTCCTTTGATTAGTATTTGCATTTTTCCACTTTTAATTTTATTTTTCTATATATATATTTTTGATATGAAGTCTCACTCTGTCACCCAGGCTGGAGTGCAGTGGCATGATCTCAGCTCAGTGCAACCTCCACCTCTGAGGTTCAAGCGATTCTCCTGCCTCAGCCTCCCAAGTAGCTGGGACTACAGGTGCGTGCCATTATGTCTGGCTAATTTTTTGTATTTTTAGTAGAGACGGGGTTTCACCGTGTTAGCCAGGATGATCTCGGTCTCCTGACCTCTTGATCTGCCTGCCTTGGCCTCCCAAAGTGCTGGGATTACAGGTGTGAGCCACCAAGCCCAGCCCATTCTTTTAATCAATTAAGTCTTTATATTGAAAGTGATTTTCTTATAAATAGCATGTACTCAGGTCTTGTCTGTTTAATGTAGTCTGACAATCTCTGCATTACAGTTGGTATATTTAGACCATTTACATTTAATGTAATTATTGATTTGGTAGGATTTAGGTCTACCATTTCTAATCTGTCGTCAAGTTCACAAACTCCTATCATTGTCATCTGCATTCTGCTATGTAGCCCATTGAGTGAATTTTTGAAAACTATTAATAATACATTTTATTGTTTGAACAATTACAGCTTATCAGAAAAGTGAGCAAACAGAAGAGAATTCCCATATGCCCTCTTACCCCAAACCCTCCCACCCCCGTTTCCCTTATTATTAACATCTTGCATTAGTTATAGTACATTTGTTATAATTGATGAGCCATTATTAAAGCTTTGTTAACAATAGTGCTTTGTGGATTACATTAGAGTTCATTCTTGGTGTTGTATAGTCTATGGGTTTTGACAAATGTATAATGACATGTATTCATCATTACAGAAACAGAATAGTTTCACTACCCTAAAAATCAGCTGTTCTCCACCATTTATCCACCCTCCCCGCCCCCAACACCTAACTCCTGGCAACCACTGAACTTCTTACTGTTTCTATGGTTTTGCCTTTTTCAGAATATATATATATATAATATTATATATGATATATATTATTATATATCATATATAAAGAACTATTTTTTTGCAAAGATTTTTTCCCATTTAATGGCTTACCTTTTCATTCTCTTAACAGTGTCCTGTGTGAGCAGAAAAATTTAATTTTAGTGAAGTCCAACTTACCAATTTTTTCTTTTATGAGTCATGTTTTTGATGTTATATCTAAAAAGTCATCACCAAATCCAAGGTCACCTGAGTTTTCTCCTATGTTATCTTCTAGGAATTCTGTAGTGTTGCATGTTACATTTAGGTCTATGATCCCTTTTGAGTTAATTTTTGTGAAAGGATTGAGATCTGTGTCTAGATAAGATATACTTAGGCAGGCCTAGTGGCTCATGCCTGTAATCCCAGCACTTTGGGAGGCCAAGACAGGCAGATCACCTGAGGCCAGGAGTTCAAGACCAGCCTGGCCAACATAGTGAAACCCCATCTCTACTAAAAATACAAAAAATTAGCTGGGCTTAGTGGCGGGGGTCTGTAATCCCAGCTACTTGGGAGGCTGAGGCAGGATAATCGCTTGAACCCAGGAGGCAGAGGCTGCAGTGAGCTGAGATTGCACCATTGCACTCTAGCCTGGGCAACAAGAGCGAAACTCCATCTTAGGAAAAAAAAAAAAGATATACCTCGATGTAACATTTTTGTTATTTATCCTATATGGTGTTTTTTGAGCTTCCTGGATCTGTTCCTTTATGTCTACCTTAGTTCATTTGGGCTGCTGTGACAAAAATTTCATAAACTGGAGAGTTTATAAACAACAGAAATTTATTTCTCACAGTTCTAGGGGCTGTGATGTCCAAGACCAAGGCACTAGCAGTGTCTGGTGAGGCCCTCCTTCCTCATAGATGGCACATTCTGGCTTTGTCCTCACATGGTGTAAGGGGCTAGCTAATTCCCTGGGGCTTCTTTCATAAGTGCACTAATCTCTGTCCTGAGGATAGAGCCCTCATAACCTGATTGACTCCCAAAAGCCCCACCTCAGTACTATCATATTGAGGATTAAGTTTCAATATAACTTTTGAGGAGACACAAACATTCAGACCATATCTTTATATATCATTAATTTGGGGAAATTTTCAGTCACTGTTGCTTCAAATGTTTCTTCTGTTTCTTTCTTTCTTTCTTTTTTTTTTTTTTGAGACGGAGTCTTGCTCTGTTGCCCAGGCTGGAGTGCAGTGGCACGATCTCAGCTCACTGCAAGCTCCGCCTCCCAGGTTCGCGCCATTCTCCTGCCTCAGCCTCCCTAGTAGCTGGGACTACAGGCGCCTGCCACCATGCCCTGCTAATTTTTTGTATTTTTAGTAGAGACAGGGTTTCACCGTGTTAGCCAGGATGGTCTCGATCTCCTGACCTTGTGATCTGCCCGCCTCAGCCTCCCAAAGTGTGGGGATTATAGGCATAAGCCACCACGCCCAGCTTTCTTTCTCTTTTTCTTCTCTTTCTGGTATTTCCAAAAAGTCTCCATGTTCCACCTTTTGTAATTGTCTCACAGTTCTTGACTCTTGTTCTGTTTTTTCTTTTTCATTCTTTTTTCTCATTGTGTGTCAGCTTTTGAAGTATCTATTGACATCTCTTCAAGCTCACTGATTCTTTCATTGGCCATATCCATTCTTTTGATGAACCCATCAAAGGCATTCTTCATTTCTGTTATGGTGTTTTTTATTTCTAGTATTTCATTTTTATTTCTTCTTAGTGTTTTTATCTCTTTGCTTACATTACCCATCTGTTCTTGCATGTTATGCTGTTTTTACATTAGAGCCCCTAGCATGTTAATCTTAGTTATTTTAAATTCCTGGTTGGACACTTCCAATATTTCTTTCATATCTGAGTCTGGTTCTGATGCTTGCTCTGTCTCTTCAAAGTGTGGGGTTTCTTGTCTTTTAGTATGCTTTGTAATTTTTTGTTTGAGGCTGTATATGATGTACTGGGTGAAAGGAACTGAGTTAAATAAGGCTTTAGTATGAGATTTTGTATTTCTCTGGCTAGGAGTTAGGCTTTGTTTACTCTTTGCTATATAGTCATGGATGTCAGAGGCTAAAATTTCCTCTAGTGTCCCTGTGTTGTCTCCCCTGTCTTCTCTGGGGAGCTCCCTAGAGGCTTCTTTGTAAAGTAGCTCTGAGTCTTGCAGTGTCTATCCCTAATCATGGGAAAACATCAAACAAACCCATATAGCAGGACATCTGACAAAGTACCAAGTGTCAAGGATCATGGATTGAATCCTGAAACAGAGGAAGGACACTGAAGGAAAGACTGGGAAAACCTGACTGAGGTCTGGAGTGTAGTTAGTGATACTATACCAAGACTAATTTCTTAGTTTTGATAATTTATTAACAGTTATGTTAACATTGGGGGTAGCTGTGCAAGGGGTGTGAGAATGCTGTTATATCTTTAACCTTGGCCCATGGTTAAGGTGTTTCCAGTGTAAGGTCACTGTTATTCCTTGTAGTTAACATATATTTGGCACCACAGGATTCATTCTGGAATTCTTGGCTTATTTATAACTTTTTTTCTTTTTCTAGTAGTGAGAAACCTGGCTTTCGTGCAGAGTTTACAAACGCCAATTTAAACTTTTGTTTTGTCATAGGCAATAATTTTATTACCTTTATTACCTGTATTTATTTCAGAGCTTATGAATTTTTAATTATTCTAAGGGCTAACAGAACTTTTTCATGTTTTCTACTCTTCAAGAGCAGGTAAGACTTTAGTTTGTAATACATTACAAGAGGAATCCTGTGGTTCTCTAAGAGCTAATTTGTCTTGGCAAAAGGCCTTAGCGAGCTGTGAGTGGTGGCTCATGCCTGGAATCCCAGCACTTTGATCTGAGACGGCTGGATCACCTGAGGCCAGAAGTTTGAGGCCAGTTTGGCCAACATGGCGAAACCCCATCTCTGCTAAAAATACAAAAAATTAGCCAGGCATAATGGCATGCACCTGTAGTCCCAGCCACTTGGGAGGCTGAGGCAGGAGAATTGCTTGAACCTCGGAAGTGGAGGTTGCAGTGAGCCGAGATCGTGCCACTGCACTCCAGCCTGGGAAACAGCGAGACTGTCTCAAAACAAACAAAAAAAAACAACAAAAAAAAAACAAAACAACAAAAAAATTAGACGGGCGTGGTGGCATGCACCTATAGTCCCAGCTACTCAGGAGGCTGAGGCAGGAGAATCGCTTGAACCCAGGAGTTGGAGGTTGCACTGAGCAGAGATCATGCCGCTGCACTCTAGCCTGGGTGACACAGTGAGTATCCATCTCAAAACAACAACAACAACAACAAAAACAAATTAAAAAACCCAAC
Organism: Homo sapiens; assembly: GCF_000001405.40. Classification (NCBI taxonomy): domain Eukaryota; kingdom Metazoa; phylum Chordata; class Mammalia; order Primates; family Hominidae; genus Homo; species Homo sapiens. The sequence goes on from NC_000002.12 coordinate 110,507,386, forward strand.
AACAACAAAACCAGCAAACAAGAAAACTAAACAGGCTTTAGGGAAAGAGCAATCTAATTATCTGATTATATGATTGGCACTAAGATGGGAATGACTCTGGCCTAATTTCTTCAATTTACATTTTAAAACAGGAGCTTAGTTAGCCCCCAAATAATATGTAATTGATGTATTAGGGTTGGGGAGTGAATATTTTTCAAAGCAGAAGATATTTCTCAATTCTTGCTTACTTTTGGAGGTTGAAGTTCAAGGAAGCCCCTGCCTTGGCACTGTATTCCAGGGAGGTATTTGGAGTTAATTTCAGGGCTTAGCAGTGACTCTTTAGAAAAGCAGTATACGATTGAAATGTAATGTGGTACAAATGAGATCACTACAAGTAATTTAAAAATGTGCTAGTAGTGTTTCTTTTTCTGAGACGGAGTCTCGCTCTGAAGCCCAGGCTGGAGTGCAGTGGCACGATCTCAGCTCACTGCAAGCTCCGCCTCCCAGGTTCGCGCCATTCTCCTGCCTCAGCCTCCCTAGTAGCTGGGACTACAGGCGCCTGCCACCACTCCTGGCTAATTTTCTGTGTTTTTAGTAGAGACGGGGTTTCACCGTGTTAGCCAGGATGGTCTCGGTCTCCTGACCTCGTGATCCTCCCACCTCAGCCTCCCAAAGTGCTGGGACTACAGGAGTGAGCCACCACACCCAGCCTCTAGTAGTACTTTTATCAAAAGTAAATAGAAACATGGAATTAATTTTCACAATACATTTTATTTAAACTAATATGTTCACAATGTTAAAATTTCAACATGTAATCACTATAAAAACTACTAGTGAGATATTTCACATTACTTTTTTCATGTAAGCCTTTGAAATCTGGTGTGTATTTTATATTTACTGTACATCCTGATTTGGAATAACCACATTTCAATCTTTCAATAGCCACATGTGGCTAGTGGCTACTGTGTTAGAGCAGTTCTAGAACAAAGGAGTCCCTTTCAAACTATTTTGAAGTCATCGTCTATAAGGCAATATGAAAGCTGATCTGAATGATTTCTCCTTTTCCAGGAAAGGAAACAAAAATGAAATCATGTTAGGGCTGCATATTTTATGGGTCCCAGGACAAATAGACATAGTCTGAAAGAATGATCTCAGTCAGAAACTCAGAATGAATCATATGAATTAAACATTGGACAATGTCCAATGCTCAGCATGTGTTTTTGGTTTATACTAAGAACATATTATGCCACCAAATACAGATATTTACTATTATACTTAGTGTAGGAGGTATATTGAGACATTGTTCTACACTACCACAGTTCCATATTTTGTGAAAAGCTATATTGCACTTTTTTTTTTTGCGAGTGTGCCCAGGCTGGAGTGCAATGGCATGATCTCAGCTCACTCCAGCCTCCGCCCCACCAGGTTCAAGTGATTCTCCTGCCTCAGCCTCCCTAGTAGTTGGGATTACAGGTGCGCACCACCACGTCTGGCTAATTGTTGTATTTTTAGTAGATACGGGGTTTTGTCATGTTGGCCAGGCTGGTCTCGAACTCCTGACCTCAGGTGATCCACCCGCCTCAGCCTCCCAAAGTGTTAGGATTACAGGCGTGATCCACCACGCCCAGCCTTATATTTCACTCTTTGGGAATTGTATCTTACTGTAATCTTAAACTACACTAAAATAAATAATGTAAACCTTTTGTCAAATTGCTCAGAGTAGGTTTCTACTTTGGTTATAAGGAATAAAATTCATGCTTTTGTGTACACACTAGACATCTAAAGCAATCAACTATAGTTAACAAGCAGTGCTCTTACCAAAAGGTAACTCTTTCTAGAATCTGTCACACCATTTAATATCAGTATGAGCATATGGTGGGTTTAATAATTGTTTTCCATGTTTATAGGTTTTCTTTAGTTTTATAAGCAGTTAAAAAGAATCCCTTTCACTGAAATACAATCTGTGGTGAGACTTCTAGCTTTTCTCGATCTTACGCTGCCAGATTTATGTCACTGCCAAAGCTATGCAATGGGTGATATTTACACTGTGCTCAAACAAAGCAACCAGAAAAACACATCACTGAATAATACAGATATTCTGAAGTCAAGCAAGCCAACTTTCATTAACAGATCAATTGCCTTAGAAAAGTTGACGAAACTAAAGACTGAAGTTCAAACAAAAAGCCCTCTCAAGGGGGTATGAATTTCTGGTAACTTATGGGGTAAGAAAAAGAGCAAGAAACTTGAAAGTAGGGAAGAGAAAAAAGAAAAGGAGCAAGAGGGGATAGCCAGCTCTCAAAAGAGTCTCCAATAGGAAAGCAAAATCTGTATCTAGCCAGTACCAACATGTGAAGAAAGAGTGAGCATAGCAAAATTTAGAAAGGTTGCTTGAAAACCAAACAAAAAACCAAATACCTGTAATCCTAGCACTTTGGGAGGGTGAGGTGGGCAGATTGCCTGCACTCAGGAGTTCAAGACCAGCCTGGGCAACATGGTGAAACCTTGTCTCTACTAAAATCCAAAAAAAAAAAAAAAAAAAAAATTAGCCGGGCATGGGCTGGGCGCGATGGTTCACGCCTGTAATCCCAGCACTTTGGGGGACAAAGGTGGGCAGATCACGAGGTCAGGAGATCGAGACCATCCTGGCTAACACAGTGAAACTCCATCTGTACTAAAAATACAAAAAATTAGCTGGACGTGGTGGCGCGTGCCTATAGTCCCAGCTACTCGGGAGGCTGAGGCAGGAGAATCACTTGAACCCAGGAGGTGGAGGTTGCAGTGAGCTGAGACCATGCCACTGTACTCCAGCCTGGCGACAGAGCGACACTCATCTCAAAAAAAAAAAAAAAAAAAAAAAAAAAAAAAAAGTCTCTTTTGGCCAGGTGTGGTGGTTCACACCTGAAATCTCAGCACTTTGGGAGGCCGAGGTGGGTGGATCACTTGAGTCCAGGAGTTCAAGATCAGCCTAGGTAACATGGCAAAACCTCGTCTCTACCAAAAACAAACAAAAATTAGCCAGATGTGGTGGTGCACACCTGTAGTCCCAGCTACTTGGGAGGCTGAGGCAGGAGAATCACCTGAGACCAGGAGGCAGAGATTGCAGAGAACTGAGACTATGCCAAGGCACTCCAGCCTGGGTGACAGAGCAAGACTCTCTCTCTCTCTCAAAAAAGAAAAAACAAAAAGCCTCCTTTAAAAAATGCAGTTTGATGCTATAAATTTATCAGTTAATAGTTTTTGGGGCAAAAAATGTTTTCTGACATTTCAATAAGAGCTATAGACGAAGTCCAGCATTAGTCATGACTCTGGACTAAGTCTGGAAATCTGGAATCTCTTCCCAGCTCTGGGAGGTACAAAGTTTTAAAAAATAAGGTCAAAATGCTGGAAAACATTCAATTTATTTCCTTATTAACACAATTGTTCACTCATAAACGACAGTAACACTTGGTGCTGTGGGTCATGCACTGAGGTCAGAACAAGGAACAGAAGAAAATGAGGTAAATTGGTAAATCTTTTTGCAGGCTGAGAAGTGAGAGAATGCTGGCATGCCTACTCTGTGCTGGGTTTTTTTTTTTTTGTTTTTTTTGTTGAGATGGGGTCTTGCTCTGTCGCCCAGGCTGGAGTGCAGCGGCGCAATCTCGGCTCACTGCAAGCTCCGCCTCCTGGGTTCACGCCATTCTTCTGCCTCAGCCTCCCAAGTAGCTGGGACTACAGGCACCTGCCACCATGCCTGGCTGATTTTTTGTATTTTTAGTAGAGACGGGGCTTCACCGTGTTAGCCAGGATGCTCCCGATCTCCTGACCTTGTGATACGCCCACCGTGGCCTCCCAAAGTGCTGGGATTACAGGCGTGAGCCACTGCGCCCAGCCCTCTGTGCTGGGTTTTATTATGTCATCCAATAACTCACAACTATGTAATTTATTTCCTTTTTACAGATAAAGAAATGGGGGCTCAGAGCAGTCAAGAACATGCCCCAAGTTATTCGTCAGTGAGGCAGAAATTGTGGTGTCCTTGTGTAAGTTCACAGTTTATACTTTACCATTATACTGTGCTCCAAATTATCTGATATTTACTTTCAAAGCATGTGTAGGAAGTTTACTATGATGATGCAGAGACATTGTACAGAATCCAGTCCCTTGACTCTCAGGTCCCCAGAACACTCACTTCACGATTTTGTTGACCTCTTATGTCAACTTAAACCTGGCACTCTCTTGGCTTTCTCTGCTCTTTCTGGGCACTCCAAAGCTTCTGTACTTACATGCTACAACTCCAGTCACAGGAAGATGCTGAGTTCTTTAGTCCCAGATCCATATTCCTGAGAAAACCTAATTGCCTAGGCTCAGGTCATAACTCTGTGTCTGTTTCAGTTGATTATGGCTGGGCCTACTGCCCCTCTGTATGGTGGTGGGGCAGAAGTTCCCAGAGAGAGGCAGGGGTGACAGAGACTGTTGTCTCAAATGCTAGGCAGACATCTGGAGTGGTAACCACTACATCTGTTCACAGTGAGCACATCCTTGCAGGGAAACTGGGTTAATCATCTCTATTATTGAAACTCAGAGGTATAGTGTTTCTTCATAGGAATTTTCTTTCCTTATTTGAGATGGGGGTCTCACTTTGTTGCCCAGGCTGGAGTGCAGTGGTGTGTGATCTTGGCTCACTGCAGCCTCCCCTCCCGAGTTCAAGCGATTCTCCTACCTCAGCCTGCTGAGTAGCTGGGACTACAGGCATGGGCCAACATGCCTGGCTAATTTTTGTATTTTTCGTAGAGACAAGTTTTCACCATATTGGCCAGGCTGGTCTTGGACTCCTGACCTCAGGTGATCTGCCCACCCTGGCCTCCCTAAGTGCCGGGATGACAGGTGTGAGCCATCGCGCCCAGCCTATTTATAGGAATTTTCTGTAGGTATATAAGTAATAATTTGAAGGTCACAACTAGATGACTTTTTGTGTAACCGTATCTTGAATGGAACAAACATTTTCTTTCTACGTAATTATACATAAATAACCCAATGCTTTTTAATACCCACGAAAAGCCATTAGCTCAAAGACACTTGCAAACTTGTATCAGGTTGTTTTCCTTGGTGTGTATTAAGTTTGAAGCAAAGGGGATTTTCACATACCAAGACGAAGCAGAAGTCTTCCACCAAGTTGAAATCATCACGTTGCAATTTAATCATATGATACAACCAATTTTTTGATGTGTTATGCCATTCGCCAAATACCATACAAAGTACGGTATGCCTTCTCAGTGCCTTGTTAGTAATTCAGTTACAGTTCTGCCGAACTTTCTTTAAAGGAATACAATTCTCAATCTTACACTGTTCAGAGCACAAGCATAGCTTATTGTATGCAAGAGATGTGCATCAGTTCCCACTCCTCAGGGACTGTATGAATTTGGCTTTATTTTTTTGACAGAGTCTCACTCTGTCGCCAGGCTGGAGTGCAGTAGTGTGATCTCAGCTCACTGGACTCTGCCACCTGGGTTCAAGTGATTCTCCTGCCTCAGCTTCCCAAGTAGCTAGGACTACAGGTGCACACCACCATGCCCAGCTGATTTTTTGTGTGTTTTTAGTAGAGACGGGGATTCACCATGTTGGCCAGGATGGTCTTGATCTCTTGACCTCATGATCTACCCGCTTTGGCCTCCCAAGGTGCTGGGATTACAGGCATGAGCCACTGTGCTGGGCCAAATTTGGTTCTTAGAAACCAAGGAGTGATGTGTGCACCAGGCCCAGGGCTGAAGAGCTGCTTCTCACTAGATGCCTCTCTTGGTCTGGCTGCTGTGTCCAGTCCTATCCAGGGTTAGCTCTGTTCCTCCTCCTTGTGGCATCTGTGTTTCTCTTTCTGCTCTGCCTCTCCCCATCTCCTAGTCCAAACATCCAAAGAAATAAATTACCTCCAGGAGATCGAGACCATCCAGGCTAACACGGTGAAACCCTGTCTCTAGTAAAAATACAAAAAATTAGCCGGGCATGGTGGCCGGCGCCTGTAGTCCCAGCTACTTAGGAGGCTGAGGCAGGAGAATGGCGTGAACCTGGGAGGCAGAGCTTGCAGTGAGCCGAGATCGCGCCATTGCACTCACGCCTGGGCGACAGAGCAAGACTCTGTCTCAAAAAAAAAAAAAAAAATTAATGACCTCTGCCCCTAACTGAACAAAGCCCTTCATCTAAGGCCACCCTTTGGTTGGCAGCCTTAGCCAGACATCTGCTTCTGGTCAAATCAATGTCTTGTCCACAGGGAGGCCCAGCGCTGTTTCTGGTTTTAGCTGGATGCAGGGTGTCAGACATGGCAGGTACTACGGTCTACCTGGCGGGTATCAAAGAGTTGGTCGACGTTCTCACAACAACCTAATAGGGACCAACCATGGAAGGCCAGTAGTAAAGGAGTTTGAAGTTCCCTTTCAGAAACCAATTAACAACCCCAAAGAGACAGTGGGTAACATAAAAGAGCAGCCATAAAAATATACAGTTTTAATAGAAATATTAAAATAATCATTACACTTCCTCTCATTGCAGAAACCATGAAAGAATATGCCTTTTGTAATCAAAGTAATTTTTTATCATGCAAAAAAGTATTTTGTTATGACATTCGTAAGTGGAGACTGTATTTCAAAACAAGTTTATACAGACTTCAAAAGGTCTAAAGTCAAAGTGAAATATATTTAAATATGATTAGTTACATCTAATGCAGCTGGCATACTCATATTCACAGTTTATAAAGTAAAAAAACTAAACTCTTCATGTCGGCTCTGAAATAGATGCATTTTCATTCATACATTCGCTAGTTAGGTCTGTTCTTCTAAGGAGGAAAGACGAGATATATGAGATATTTTTTAAAGAACAAACTCAACATATCAGCAGCAAATTTCAGTTAAACTAAATTGGAAACCAATGTTCTGTGTAACCAAAGTGCAAAGTCAGTTCCCCAGCTCAGAAAGAAAATTAAGAGTATAAACTGAAGGCTTAAGAGAACTTCAGAGAGCACACTGTGTGATTAATACATAAATATTAAAAATTATCCAATTTTTGATTTAAGAACAACACAGTTTGGATCTAGTCATTAAAACATATGCACAGGTGTCAAAGGCAAGTAACACTACCACCTAAGGTTATTCGGAGGAACTGTGAAGATGTAGCACGGACCTCTAAGGTGTCTAAAATCCCTTCTGATGGAAAGGTTATGGAACACTATCTGCCAAAAACACTGAAAGCACCACTTTTATATTTAGATCCAATGCTGAGTGATATAGTCACTGTTGGGATAGGTTTTTATTTGGGAAAATGGAGAGGATTCTCAAAACAGATTCATGGCTTGCATGCAGTGACACCCTATCAAGAGCCTGGAAAGACACCATGAAATCACCTCAACTCAAGTGGTGGGCCCACCTACTCATAGTCAGTGTTACACTAGCCAGCTCTAGGGCTCTGACAACATAATGAGTTTTGAGGTAGTATACTTTAAAGAAAAAAAGAAGAGTTTATTTTAAAGCAAATAACTAAACTGTATTTTAACTTAGCACAATTAACTGCAGCATATTTACTTCATAGCCCCTTAACATGTCACTTTTACCAACAAAGCTTTTTCCTTCATATTCTAATCACAAAAATTTCTCAACAATTTATAACAATCTGTAAATCTGACCTTGCAATAAATAGTCATAAAACGTTATTTTTATTACTATTATTATTTTTAGAGACAAGGTCTCGCTCTGTTCCCCGAGCTGGAGTGCAGTGGTACAATCACAGCTCACTAGCCTCAAGCGATTCTCCAGCCTCAGCCTCCCAAAGTAGTGGGATTTCAGGCATGAATCACCACACCTGGCCTTGAAACATTATTTTTAAAGCCTAAATTCCAGTTGGTATGGTACCAAAATTTAGTTTAACTTCAAAATTCACAGTACTGCCGAGAAATGGGCGGGTCCTGAGGTTCCAGAGAAGTGGGGAGTGAATTCATTCCTGGTGGTTTTATTCTGGCAGCATGCATGGGAGATCACATGAGTTAGAGGGCTGTGGCCTGGTATCAACACTTCAAGCTGTTGTACTTTTACTTCAAGTTGAAACTTTTAAAATACATCTGTCATACAGATGTACAAATATATGTAAATGCAAACATATATACACACTTTTTGACAAAAGAATAATGGTAACACACACGAACCATTTTTGTAAACAGATTCTATTTGGTTAATAGAAGTATTCCTTCCATCAACCTATCGAAGTCCAAACCAACTACGAAGATAGGATGCTCATCCAGAAGAACGGGAAGCATTTTCTTCCTCATCTTTAGAAAGTAAAACAAAGAAAAAAAAAAGAAAAAAGAGAGTATTAAAATTTCTCAATGTAAAATCTATATTTTAGAACCACTCTACAATATAAGCAAATAATGTCTTTTTTACTGATCACATGCCTTTTTTGGTGGGGGGGGGGGGTTCTTTTTTTTTTTTTTTTTTTGAGATAGGGTCTTGCTCTGTCACCCAGGCTCGAGTGCAGTGGCGTGATGAGACTTCAATGCAGCCTTGATCTCCCAGGCTCAAGTGATTCTCCCACCTCAGCCTCCCAAGCAACTGGGACCACAAGGTGTGTACCACCATGCCTGGGTAATTTTTTGTTTTTTTGTAGAGATGCAGGTCTCACTGTTTTCCAGGCTGGTCTCAAATTCCTGGGCTCAAGTGATCCTCCCACTTCAGCCTCACAGTGTTGGGATTGCAGTCACGAGCCACTGTACCCAACCATATGTCATTCTTTAGACACACTGCTTACTAAATTTCTCTTTTTAAAGGATATACTGAATTTCCGGTTGAGCCAACTTAACAGCTAATTTTCTATTTTAGCTTTAAAACATTGATAAGCAACATGAAGCAATCTAGAACTTAACCTTTAAATGGCTTTATTAAAGCAATCCAGCTATGAAAATTATGCAGAAATGATTATCTACAATCTTACCAGCACATAAGAAATTCTTCCTCTATTCTGAAATACCATCTTCTCACAATATACTTTGATGTTATGAATCAATGTCTGTTCTTGAACATTATTTATTGTCTTTCTCTATTAAACAATTCCAAAATAAAATTTCCAGCACAACTAAATATTGTTGACGATAAGGGGATTTAAAAAAAAATTCTTTTAAAACAGAAGCTTATATACAACTTAGAATCTAAAACCAATAGATTTATGGGAAACCTTAAAACTGAACCACAACAAACAAAAACCAAAGTTTTAATCATTTAAAAATCATGTTTATTGAGGTACAACTTACTTATAGTAAAACCTGCCCTTTTCAGCATATAGCACTGAGTCTTGACAAATGCACAGTTACGTACCACCACCGACCAAGGCCTGGCACATTTTCATCTCCTCAAAGTTCTCCCTGGCTGCTTCTCCCACTCCTTGGCAACCGCTAACCTGTTTTCTGTCCTTATAGTTCTGCTTTTTTCAGTGTCATATAAGTAGAATCACACTGTACATAGTATTTTGAGTCTGACCTCTGTCAACTGGCATAATGCATTTGAGAATTACCCATGTTGCTGAACTGGCAGTGCATTCTTTTTTATTGCTGAGCAGTATTCAATTGCACGGCTGTACCAGTTTGTTTATTCATTTGCCAGTTGAAGGATAACTGAGATCTTCCTCGTTTTTAGCAATTTTAAAGAAAGTTTCTACGAATAATTGTGTACAGGTTTTTAATTAAATGTTTTGGAGATATAATTCATATACCACATAATTCACCTTTTTAAAGTGCATAATTCACTGGTTTTTAATATATTCACAAGGTTTGTGCATAGGTTTTTGTGTGAATACTGGTTTTCATTCCTCTTGGATAAAGATTTAATTTGGTATTACCCTTCCAGACACCTTTCTGTGTTTTCATACGTATATATGTATGACAGTTTGACCTTAGGCAGAGTAGCATTTTCAAAATTTTACATGGGGAAACTTTCTAGAGTTAAAGTCATTTTATTTTTCTGTTCTGTCTGGTTTTATCTGCGTGTTATTTACAATCTGCTGCGTAACAAATTACTACAAACTTAGTACCTTAACACATATTTATTTCACAGTTTCTGTGGGTCAGGAGATCAGAAATGGTTCTATTTCAAGGTCTCTCACAGGGCTGCAATCAAGATGTTGGCATGGCTGGGGTCTCATCTGAAGGCTGGACTGGAGAAGAATCTACTTCCAAACTTATGTGGTAGTTGGAAGAATTTAGTTCCTCAAGGCTGCTAAACTGATGGCCTGTGTTCCTTGCCTCTGGGATGGTAGCTTGCTTCAACAAAGTGTGCAAGCAGAGAAGACAGAGAGAGGCCGCTAGCAAGATAGAAGCCACAATCTCTTGTAATCTATCATTCTTGCTGTATTCTACTGGTTAAACATAACTCATTAGGTTAGCCTACTGGCTCTCAAGGGGAAGAGATTATACAAAGGCATGCATTTCTGGAGGAGGGAATGAGGGCAAACAATTCTGAAAAGTCTGTCTTCCACAACCTGAAGAACTTCTAGAAAGTAGGAGGAAGCGATATTGCTTAGGGATGGACAACTTGGCACTGGTTATGTGTTCCAAGTGAGGTAACCTTGTTCCCAAGAATAAAGAGAACCAGACGACTGTAAACATTTCCCTAAACTGAAATGCAGACTGTTGTATGTTCACCTGAAATGAATGGTGTAAGCTGAATATAAGATTTTTGACAAAATAAAAATTTTGCTGTGTTCTCAGATCTGGCAGGCTCCTGCCCTTGTGCAAACAATGTTCCTGGCAGCTATTCATCTCCTTAGGTAAATAAGAATTGGAGAAAAGCTGTGCTTAGATAGGGTGCATTTGCTCTTGCCTTGGAAGGCTGTTTTCTGATAAGGTTCTATATCCTCTGCAAATCAAATCAGGCACTTACAGTGTGAGTATGCATTCTCTTCCTGCCAGTCTGGAGATGATCAAAAAGCCTATAACAGGCTTGGCCTATTTTCCTATTGGGTTGCTGGGCTTTTTTTCTTTATTTACTTGTAGAGAGTTTTAGACCTCTGTGTATGTATGGTGTACAAGTGACAATATTCAGATCTGTAAACTGTAACCCAGTCTGGGAGCAAAGAAGATATACAAAAATGACTTTTACTTCCAGCTTGAGTAGTAAAATTGAGATTCAAATTTTGCATATAGAAGTACTATATGGCTAACTTATTTGGGGAGCAAAGCTGACTTACCATAAGTCTATCTCAAATAGAAATGAAACACTCAATTTGTGAAATATGCTGAGTTTTAATGCGTGTGGGGGCAGGGTGAATTAACATTTGTGATGCAAGGAGAAGAGCAATCTATACTTACCACTGTCTATTTGACATTGGGGACTACTGCTACACTCTAAGTCATTTTACCTTATAACGCAGAGTTGTAACATGCTACTCTGAGCAGCTCATGACATCTGCTTGAAATTTAAGTTGGGCCCCTAATATGTGTTTATTATAAAGATTTTGATGCTGCTTTTCAGAGTTGGGTAACCTACTTTACCCTCCTAAGCTAATGTTTCCCAAATACACCCAAACCCACAGAAAGGAAAACTATTCCTCATTAACTCACAGCCAACATCATAAACATTTTATATCTAGAGCTGATGATACAGTCAGGTATTTACCAACACTCATGTATGTATGTAGAGTTTCAAGAAATAATTGCTTATCCTTACCAGATTCAACATATTCTAACGTTTCACATATTATTTTTATTTCTTAATATTTTTTTAAAGATGGGGTTTTACTCTGTTGCCCAGGCTGAAATGCAGTGGCGTGACCAGGATTTCGACCAGAAGTTTGACTGCAGCCTCGAACTCCTTCTAACAAACAATCCTGCTGCCTTAGCCTCCCGAGTAGCTAGGACTATGGGCACATGCCACCAGATCTGGCATATTTTAAAATTTTTGTAGACATAGGGTCTCGCCATGTTGCCCAGGCTGATTCTGAACTCCTGTTCTCAAGCAATCCTCCTGCCTGGTCTTCCCAAACTGTTGGGCTTACAGGTGTGAGTCATTGAGCCCAGCTTGTATTCTTTTGATTTAAAAAAAAAATATCCTGAATGTGATCCACCAAATTAATTTCACCATCCACTAATAGGTAGCAACCTGAATGAAAAATACTGTTATAAACTTTACACAAAACCAGAGATTATAAACATTTGCCTCCAAGGAGATGAGAGAGGCAAAAGGTACTTGTTTGCTCTGATGGGCCCTGTTTCCTTCAGTGCCAGGAAGAGTGGCTCTCAGACCTTTCTTCTGGCATCCCTCATGTATGCAGTGTTGGTTATTATTTTCAAGGCCTTGGTAACAAAATGCCCCTAGTGTGACCAGTCAGACTGACAGTCCATATCTGTAATATGGTGGTAAGTTTCCTTTGCATGTCTTTCTTTCTAGCATCTTAGACCTTTTACCTAGGAAATTTTCTTTTTGCTTGAAGTACATCATTAAGAATTTCCAGTGAAGGCAGATTCTTAAAGTTTTTGTTTTCCAGAAGAGATCTTGGAAAATATAAAAGGTTGGCAGTTATTTCTTTTAGTACATGAGATAGTATTACACCAATGC